>NC_000019.10:25560741-25886768 GCF_000001405.40 Homo sapiens
CTTCCTTGTGTTGTGTGTATTCAACTCACAGAGTTGAACGATCCTTTACACAGAGCAGACTTGTAACACTCTTTTTGTGGAATTTGCAAGTGGAGATTTCAGCCGCTTTGAAGTCAAAGATAGAAAAGGAAATATCTTCCTATAAAAACTAGACAGAATGATTCTCAGAAACTCCTTTGTGATGTGTGCGTTCAACTCACAGAGTTTAACCTTACTTTTCATAGAGCAGTTAGGAAACACTGTGTTTGTAAAGTCTGCAAGTGGATATTCAGACCTCCTTGAGGCCTTCGTTGGAAACGGGATTTCTTCATATTATGCTAGACAGAAGAATTCCCAGTAACTTCCTTGTGTTGTGTGTGTTCAACTCACAGAGTTGAACTTTCATTTACACAGAGCAGATTTGAAACACTCTTTTTGTGGAATTTGCAATTGGAGATTTCAAGCGCTTTGAGGCCAAAGGCAGAAAAGGAAATATCTTCGTATAAAAACTAGACAGAATCATTCTCAGAAACTGCTCTGTGATGTGTCCGTTCAACTCTCAGAGTTTAACTTTTCTTTTCATTCAGCAGTTTGGAAACACTCTGTTTGTAAAGTCTGCACGTGGATAATTTGACCACTTAGAGGCCTTCGTTGGAAACGGGTTTTTTTCATGTAAGGCTAGACAGAAGAATTCCCGGTAACTTCCTTGTGTTGTGTGCATTCAACTCACAGAGTTGAACGTTCCCTTAGTCAGAGCAGATTTGAAACATTCTTTTTGTGCAATTTGCAAGTGGAGAATTCAAGCGCTTTAAGGTCAATGGCAGAAAAGGAAATATCTTAGTTTCAAAACTAGACACAATCATTCCCACAAACTGCGTTGTGATGTGTTCGTTCAACTCACAGAGTTTAACCTTTCTGTTCTTAGAGCAGTTAGGAAACACTCTGTTTGTAAAGTCTGTAAGTGGATATTCTGACATCTTGTGGCCTTCGTTGGAAACGGGATTTCTTCATATTCTGCTAGACAGAAGAATTCTCAGTAACTTCCTTGTGTTGTGTGTATTCAACTCACAGAGTTGAACGATCCTTTACACAGAGCAGACTTGAAACACTCTTTTTGTGGAATTTGCAAGTGGAGATTTCAGCCGCTTTGAGGTCAATGGTAGAAAAGGAAACATCTTCGTATAAAGACTAGACAGAATGATTATCAGAAACTCCTTTGTGATGTGTGCGTTCAACTCACAGAGTTTAACCTTTCTTTTCATAGAGCAGTTAGGAAACACTCTGTTTGTAAAGTCTGCAAGTGGATATTCAGACCTCTTTGAGGCCTTCGTTGGAAACGGGATTTCTTCATATTCTGCTAGACAGAAGAATTCTCAGAGTCTTCCTTGTGTTGTGTGTATTCAACTCACAGAGTTGAACGATCCTTTACACAGAGGAGACTTGAAACACTCTTTTTGTGGAATTTGCAAGTGGAGATTTCAGCCGCTTTGAGGTCCATGGTAGAAAAGGAAATATCTTCGTATAAAAACTAGACAGAATGATTCTTAGAAACTCCTTTGTGATGTGTGCGTTCAACTCACAGAGTTTAACCTTTCTTTTCATAGAGCAGTTAGGAAACACTCTGTTTGTAAAGTCTGCAAGTGGATATTCAGACCTCTTTGAGGCCTTCGTTGGAAACGGGTTTTTTTCATATAAGGCTAGACAGAAGAATTCCCAGTAACTTCCCTTGTGTTGTGTGCATTCAACTCACAGAGTTGAACATTCCCTTAGACAGAGCAGATTTGAAACACTCTATTTGTGCAATTTGCAAGTGTAGATTTCAAGCGCTTTAAGGTCAACGGCAGAAAAGGAAATATCTTCGTTTCAAAACCAGACAGAATCATTCCCACAAACTGCGTTGTGATGTGTACGTTCAACTCACAGAGTTTAACCTTTCTGTTCATAGAGCAGTTAGGAAACACTCTGTTTGTAAAGTCTGTAAGTGGATATTCTGACATCTTGTGGCCTTCGTTGGAAACGGGATTTCTTCATATTCTGCTAGACAGAAGAATTCTCAGTAACTTCCTTGTGTTGTGTGTATTCAACTCACAGAGTTGAACGATCCTTTACACAGAGCAGACTTGAAACACTCTTTTTGTGGAATTTGCAAGTGGAGATTTCAGCCGCTTTGAGGTCAATAGTAGAAAAGGAAATATCTTCGTAGATAAACTAGACAGAATGATTCTCAGAAACTCCTTTGTGATGTGTGCGTTCAACTCACAGAGTTTAACCTTTCTTTTCATAGAGCAGTTAGGAAACACTCTGTTTGTAAAGTCTGCAAGTGGATATTCAGACCTCTTTGAGGCCTTCGTTGGAAACGGGTTTTTTTCATATAAGGCTAGACAGAAGGATTCCCAGTAACTTCCCTTGTGTTGTGTGTGTTCAACTCACAGAGTTGAACTTTCATTTACAAAGAGCAGATTTGAAACACTCTTTTTGTGGAATTTGCAAGTGGAGATTTCAAGCGCTTTGAGGCCAAAGGCAGAAAAGGAAATATCTTCGTAT
The DNA here is from genome assembly GCF_000001405.40 of Homo sapiens. Taxonomy (NCBI): domain Eukaryota; kingdom Metazoa; phylum Chordata; class Mammalia; order Primates; family Hominidae; genus Homo; species Homo sapiens. The sequence goes on from NC_000019.10 coordinate 25,563,265, forward strand.
AAAAACTAGACAGAATCATTCTCAGAAACTGCTGCGTGATGTGTGCGTTCAACTCTCAGAGTTTAACTTTTCTTTTCATTCAGCGGTTTGGTAATACTGTGTTTGTAAAGTCTGCACGTGGATATTTTGACCACTTAGAGGCCTTCGTTGGAAACGGGTTTTTTTCATGTAAGGCTAGACAGAAGAATTCCCAGTAACTTCCTTGTGTTCTGTGCATTCAACTCACAGAGTTGAACGTTCCCTTAGACAGAGCAGATTTGAAACACTCTATTTGTGCAATTTGCAAGTGTAGATTTCAAGCGCTTTAAGGTCAATGGCAGAAAAGGAAATATCTTCGTTTCAAAACTAGACAGAATCATTCCCACAAACTGCGTTGTGATGTGTTCGGTTCAACTCACAGAGTTTAACCTTTCTTTTCATAGAGCAGTTAGGAAACAGTCTGTTTGTCAATTCTGTAAGTGGATATTCTGACATCTTGTGGCCTTCGTTGGAAACGGGATTTCTTCATATTCTCCTAGACAGAAGAATTCTCAGTAACTTCCTTGTGTTGTGTGTATTCAACTCACAGAGTTGAACGATCCTTTACACAGAGCAGACTTGAAACACTCTTTTTGTGAAATTTGCAAGTGGAGATTTCAGCCGATTTGTGGTCAATGGTAGAATAGGAAATATCTTCCTATAGAAACTAGACAGAATGATTCTCAGAAACTTCTTTGTGATGTGTGCGTTCAACTCACAGAGTTTAACCTTTCTTTTCATAGAGCAGTTAGGAAACACTCTGTTTGTAAACTCTGCAAGTGGATATTCAGACCTCTTTGAGGCCTTCGTTGGAAACCGGATTTCTTCATACTGTGCTAGACAGAAGAATTCTCAGTAACTTCCTTGTGTTGTGTGTATTCAACTCACAGAGTTGAACGATCCTTTACACAGAGCAGACTTGTAACACTCTTTTTGTGGAATTTGCAAGTGGAGATTTCAGCCGCTTTGAGGTCAATGGTAGAAAAGGAAATATCTTCCTATAAAAACTAGACAGAATCATTCTCAGAAACTGCTCTGCGATGTGTGCGTTCAACTCTCAGAGTTTAACTTTGCTTTTCATTCAGCAGTTTGGAAACACTCTGTTTGTAAAGTCTGCACGTGGATAATTTGACCACTTAGAGGCCTTCGTTGGAAACGGGTTTTTTTCATGTAAGGCTAGACAGAAGAATTCCCAGTAACTTCCTTGTGTTGTGTGCATTCAACTCACAGAGTTGAACGTTCCCTTAGACAGAGCAGATTTGAAAAACTCTATTTGTGCAATTTGCAAGTGTAGATTTCAAGCGCTTTAAGGTCAACGGCAGAAAAGGAAATATCTTCGTTTCAAAACTAGACAGAATGATTCTCAGAAACTCCTTTGTGATGTGTGCGTTCAACTCACAGAGTTTAACTTTTCTTTTCATAGACCAGTTAGGAAACACTCTGTTTGTAAAGTCTGCAAGTGGATATTCAGACCTCTTTGAGGCCTTCGTTGGAAACGGGATTTCTTCATATTATGCTAGACAGAATAATTCTCAGTAACTTCCTTGTGTTGTGTGTATTCAACTGACAGAGTTGAACGATCCTTTACACAGAGCAGACTTGAAACACTCTTTTTGTGGAATTTGCAAGTGGAGATTTCAGCCGCTTTGAGGTCAATAGTAGAAAAGGAAATATCTTCGTAGAAAAACTAGACAGAATGATTCTCAGAAACTCCTTTGTGATGTGTGCGTTCAACTCACAGAGTTTAACCTTTCTTTTCATAGAGCAGTTAGGAAACACTCTGTTTGTAAAGTCTGCAAGTGGATATTCAGACTTCCTTGAGGCCTTCGTTGGAAACAGGATTTCTTCATATTTCTGCTAGACAGAAGAATTCCCAGTAACTTCCCTTGTGTTGTGTGTGTTCAACTCACAGAGTTGAACTTTCATTTACACAGAGCAGATTTCAAACACTCTTTTTGTGGAATTTGCAAGTGGAGATTTCAAGCGCTTTGAGGCCAAAGGCAGAAAAGGAAATATCTTCGTATAAAAACTAGACAGAATCATTCTCAGAAACTGCTCTGTGATGTGTGCGTTCAACTCTCAGAGTTTAACTTTTCTTTTCATTCAGCAGTTTGGAAACACTCTGTTTGTAAAGTCTGCACGTGGATAATTTGACCACTTAGAGGCCTTCATTGGAAAAGGGTTTTTTTCATGTAAGGCTAGACAGAAGAATTCTCAGTAACTTCCTTGTGTTGTGTGTATTCAACTCACAGAGTTGAACGTTCCCTTAGACAGAGCAGATTTGAAACACTCTATTTGTGCAATTTGCAAGTGTAGTTTTCAAGCTCTTTAAGGTCAACGGCAGAAAAGGAAATATCTTCGTTTCAAAACTAGACAGAATCATTCCCACAAACTGCGTTGTGATGTGTTCGTTCAACTCACAGAGTTTAACCTTTCTGTTCACAGAGCAGTTAGGAAACACTCTGTTTGTAAAGTCTGTAAGTGGATATTCTGACATCTTGTGGCCTTCGTTGGAAACGGGATTTCTTCATATTCTGCTAGACAGAAGAATTCTCAGAAACTTCGTTGTGTTGTGTGTTTTCAACTCACAGAGTTCAACGATCCTTTACACAGAGTATACTTGAAACACTCTTTTTGTGGAATTGGCAGGGTGGAGATTTCAGCCGCTTTGAGGTCAATGGTAGAAAAGGAAATATCTTCGTATAAAAACTAGACAGAGTGATTCTCAGAAACTCCTTTGTGATGTCTGCGTTCAACTCACAGAGTTTAAACTTTCTTTTCATAGAGCAGTTAGGAAACACTCTGTTTGTAAAGTCTGCAAGTGGATATTCAGACCTCCTTGAGGCCTTCGTTGGAAACGGGATTTCTTCATATTCTGCTATACAGAAGAATTCCCAGTAACTTCCTTGTGTTGTGTGTGTTCAACTCACAGAGTTGAACTTTCATTTAGACAGAGCAGATTTGAAGCACTCTTTTTGTGGAATTTGCAAGTAGAGATTTCAAGCGCTTTGAGGCCAAAGGCAGAAAAGGTAATATCTTCGTTTCAAAACTAGCCAGAATCATTCTCAGAAACTGCTCTGCGATGTGTGCGTTCAACTCTCAGAGTTTGACTTTTCTTTTCATTCAGCAGTTTGGAAACACTCTGTTTGTAAAGTCTGCACGTGGATAATTTGACCACTTAGAGGCCTTCATTGGAAACGGGTTTTTTTCATGTAAGGCTAGACAGAAGAATTCCCAGTAACTTACCTTGTGTTGTGTACATTCAACTCACAGAGTTGAACGTTCCCTTAGACAGAGCAGATTTGAAACACTCTTTTTGTGCAATTGGCAAGTGGAGATTTCAAGCGCTTTAAGGTCAATGGCAGAAAAGGAAATATCTTCGTTTCAAAACTAGACAGAATCATTCCCACAAACTGCGTTGTGATGTGTTCGTTCAACTCACAGAGTTTAACCTTTCTTTTCCTAGAGCAGTTAGGAAACAGTCTGTTTGTCAATTCTGTAAGTGGATATTCTGACATCTTGTGGCCTTCGTTGGAAACGGGATTTCTTCATATTCTGCTAGACAGAAGAATTCTCAGTAACTTCATAGTGTTGTGTGTATTCAACTCACAGATTTCAACGATCCTTTACAAAGAGCAGACTTGAAACACTCTTTTTGTGGAATTTGCAAGTGGAGATTTCAGCCGCTTTGAGGTCAATGGTAGAATAGGAAATATCTTCCTATAGAAACTAGACAGAATGATTCTCAGAAACTTCTTTGTGATGTGTGCGTTCAACTCACAGAGTTTAACCTTTCTTTTCATAGAGCAGTTGGGAAACACTCTGTTTTTAAAGTCTGCAAGTGGATATTCAGACCTCTTTGAGGCCTTCGTTGGAAACGGGTTTTTTTCATGTAAGGCTAGACAGAAGAATTCTCAGTAACTTCCTTGTGTTGTGTGTATTCAACTGACAGAGTTGAACTTTCATTTAGAGAGAGCAGATTTGAAACACTGTTTTTGTGGAATTTGCAAGTGGAGATTTCAAGCGCTTTGGGGCCAAGGGCAGAAAAGGAAATATCTTCGTATAAAAACTAGACAGAATCATTCTCAGAAACTGCTGCGTGATGTGTGCGTTCAACTCTCAGAGTTTAACTTTTCTTTTCATTCAGCGGTTTCGAAACACTCTGTTTGTAAAGTCTGCACGTGGATATTTTGACCACTTAGAGGCCTTCGTTGGAAACGGGTTTTTTTCATGTAAGGCTAGACAGAAGAATTCTCAGTAACTTCCTTGTGTTGTGTGTATTCAACTCACAGAGTTGAACGATCCTTTACACAGAGCAGACTTGAAACATTCTTTTTGTGGAATTTGCAAGTGGAGATTTCAACCGCTTTGAGGTCAATGGTAGAATAGGAAATATCTTCCTATAGAAACTAGACAGAACGATTCTCAGAAACTCCTTTCTGATGTGTGCGTTCAACTCACAGAGTTTAACCTTTCTTTTCATAGAGCAGTTAGGAAACACTCTGTTTGTAAAGTCTGCAAGTGGATATTCAGACCTCTTTGAGGCCTTCGTTGGAAACGGGATTTCTTCATATTCTGCTAGACAGAAGAATTCTCAGTAACTTCCTTGTGTTGTGTGTATTCAACTCACAGAGTTGCACGACCCTTTACACAGAGCAGACTTGAAACACTCTTTTTGTGGAATTTGCAAGTGGAGATTTCAGCCGCTTTGAGGTCAATAGTAGAAAAGGAAATATCTTCGTAGAAAAACTACACAGAATGATTCTCAGAAAATCTTTTGTGATGTGTGCGTTCAACACACAGAGTTTAACTTTTCTTCTCATAGAGCAGTTAGGAAACACTCTGTTTGTAAAGTCTGCAAGTGGATATTCAGACCTCTTTGAGGCCTTCGTTGGAAACGGGATTTCTTCATATTATGCTAGACAGAAGAATTCTCAGGAACTTCCTTGTGTTGTGTGTATTCAACTGACAGAGTTGAACTTTCATTTAGAGAGAGCAGATTTGAAACACTGTTTTTGTGGAATTTGCAAGTGGAGATTCCAAGCGCTTTGGGGCCAAAGCCAGAAAAGGAAATATCTTCGTAGAAAAACTAGACAGAATCATTCTCAGAAACTGCTCTGCGATGTGTGCGTCCAACTCTCAGAGTTTAACTTTTCTTTTCATTCAGCAGTTTGCAAACACTCTGTTTGTAAAGTCTGCACGTGGATATTTTGACCACTTAGAGGCCTTCGTTGGAAACGGGATTTCTTCATACTATGCTAGACAGAAGAATTCTCAGTAACTTCCTTGTGTTGTGTGTATTCAACTCACAGAGTTGAACGATCCTTTACAAAGAGCAGACTTGTAACACTCTTTTTGTGGAATTTGCAAGTGGAGATTTCAGCCGCTTTGAAGTCAAAGATAGAAAAGGAAATATCTTCCTATAAAAACTAGACAGAATGATTCTCAGAAACTCCTTTGTGATGTGTGCGTTCAACTCACAGAGTTTAACCTTCCTTTTCATAGAGCAGTTAGGAAACACTCTGTTTGTAAAGTCTGCAAGTGGATATTCAGACCTCCTTGAGGCCTTCGTTGGAAACGGGATTTCTTCATATTATGCTAGACAGAAGAATTCTCAGTAACTTCCTTGTGTTGTGTGTATTCAACTCACAGAGTTGAACGATCCTTTACACAGAGCGGACTTGAAACACTCGTTTTGTGGAATTTGCAAGTGGAGATTTCAGCCGTGTTGAGGTAAATGGTAGAAAAGGAAATATCTTCGTATAAAAACTAGACAGAATGATTCTCAGAAACTCCTTTGTGATGTGTTCGTTCAACTCACAGAGTTCAACCTTTCTTTTCATAGAGCAGTTGGGAAACACTCTGTTTGTAAAGTCTGCAAGTGGATATTCAGACTTCTTTGAGGCCTTCGTTGGAAGCGGGATTTCTTCATATTCTGCTAGACAGAAGAATTCCCAGTAACTTCCTTGTGTTGTGTGTGTTCAACTCACAGAGTTGAACTTTCATTTACACAGAGCAGATTTGAAACACTCTTTTTGTGGAATTTGCAAATGGAGATTTCAAGCGCTTTGAGGCCAAATGCAGAAAAGGAAATATCTTCGTATAAAAACTAGACAGAATCATTCTCAGAAACTGCTCTGCGATGTGTGCGTTCAACCCTCAGAGTTTAACTTTTCTTTTCATTCAGCAGTTTGGAAACACTCTGTTTGTAAAGTCTGCACGTGGATATTTTGACCACTTAGAGGCCTTCGTTGGAAACGGGTTTTTTTCCTGTAAGGCTAGACAGAAGAATTCCCAGTAACTTCCTTGTGTTGTGTACATTCAACTCACAGAGTTGAACGTTCCCTTAGACAGAGCAGATTTGAAACACTCTTTTTGTGCAATTAGCAAGTGGAGATTTCAAGCGCTTTAAGGTCAATGGCAGAAAAGGAAATATCTTACTTTCAAAACTAGACAGAATCATTCCGACAAACTGCGTTGTGATGTGTTCGTTCAACTCACAGAGTTTAACCTTTCTGTTCATAGAGCAGTTAGGAAACACTCTGTTTGTAAAGTCTGTAAGTGGATATTCTGACATCTTGTGGCCTTCGTTGGAAACGGGATTTCTTCATATTCTGCTGGACAGAAGAATTCTCACTAACTTCCTTGTGTTGTGTGTATTCAACTCACAGAGTTGAACGATCCTTTACACAGAGCAGACTTGAAACACTCTTTTTGTGGAATTTGCAAGTGGAGATTTCAGTCGCTTTGGGGTCAATAGTAGAAAAGGAAATATCTTCGTAGAAAAACTAGACAGAATGATTCTCAGAAACTCCTTTGTGATGTGTGCGTTCAACTCACAGAGTTTAACCTTTCTTTTCATAGAGCAGTTAGGAAACACTCTGTTTGTAAAGTCTGCAAGTGGATATTCAGACCTCCTTGAGGCCTTCGTTGGAAACGGGATTTCTTCATATGATGCTAGACAGAAGAATTCCCAGTAACTTCCTTGTGTTGTGTGTGTTCAACTCACAGAGTAGAACTTTCATTTACACAGAGCAGATTTGAAACACTCTTTTTGTGGAATTTGCAAGTGGAGATTTCAAGCGCTTTGAGGCCAAAGGCAGAAAAGGAAATATCTTCGTATAAAAACTAGACAGAATCATTCTCAGAAACTGCTCTGCGATGTGTGCGTTCAACTCTCAGAGTTTAACTTTTCTTTTCATTCAGCAGTTTGGAAACACTCTGTTTGTAAAGTCTGCACGTGGATATTTTGACCATTTAGAGGCCTTCGTTGGAAACGGGTTTTTTTCTTGTAAGGCTAGACAGAAGATTTCCCAGTAACTTCCTTGTGTTGTGTACATTCAACTCACAGAGTTGAACGTTCCCTTAGACAGAGCAGATTTGAAACACTCTTTTTGTGCAATTGGCAAGTGGAGATTTCAAGCGCTTTAAGGTCAATGGCAGAAAAGGAAATATCTTCGTTTCAAAACTAGACAGAATCATTCCCACAAACTGCGTTGTGATGTGTTCGTTCAACTCACAGAGTTTAACCTTTCTGTTCATAGAGCAGTTAGGAAACACTGTGTTTGTAAAGTCTGTAAGTGGATATTCAGACCTCCTTGAGGCCTTCGTTGGAAACGGGATTTCTTCATATTCTGCTAGACAGAAGAATTCTCACTAACTTCCTTGTGTTGTGTGTATTCAACTCACAGAGTTGAACGATCCTTTACACAGAGCAGACTTGAAACACTCTTTTTGTAGAATTGGCAAGTGGAGATTTCAGCCGCTTTGAGGTCAATGGTAGAAAAGGAAATATCTTCGTATAAAGACTAGACAGAATGATTCTCAGAAACTCCTTTGTGATGTGTGCGTTCAACTCACAGAGTTTAACTTTTCTTTTCATAGAGCAGTTAGGAAACACTCTGTTTGTAAAGTCTGCAAGTGGATATTCAGACCTCTTTGTGGCCTTTGTTGGAAACGGGATTTCTTCATATTATGCTAGACAGAAGAATTCTCAGTAACTTCCTTGTGTTGTGTGTATTCAACTGACAGAGTTGAACTTTCATTTAGAGAGAGCAGATTTGAAACACTGTTTTTGTGGAATTTGCAAATGGAGATTTCAAGCGCTTTGGGGCCAAAGGCAGAAAAGGAAATATCTTCGTATAAAAACTAGAAAGAATCATTCTCAGAAACTGCTCTGCGATGTGTGCGTTCAACTCTCAGAGTTTAACTTTTCTTTTCATTCAGCAGTTTGGAAACACTCTGTTTGTAAAGTCTGCACGTGGATATTTTGACCACTTAGAGGCCTTCGTTGGAAACGAGATTTTTTCCTGTAAGGCTAGACAGAAGAATTCCCAGTAACTTCCTTGTGTTGTGTGCATTCAACTCACAGAGTTGAACCTTCCCTTAGACAGAGCAGATTTGAAACACTCTATTTGTGCAATTTGCAAGTGTAGATTTCAAGCGCTTTAAGGTCAATGGCAGAAAAGGAAATATCTTCGTTTCAAAACTAGACAGAATCATTCCCACAAACTGCGTTGTGATGTGCTCGTTCAACTCACAGAGTTTAACCTTTCTGCTCATAGAGCAGTTAGGAAACACTCTGTTTGTAAAGTCTGTAAGTGGATATTCTGACATCTTGTGGCCTTCGTTGGAAACGGGATTTCGTCATATTCTGCTAGACAGAAGAATTCTCAGTAACTTCCTTGTGTTGTGTGTATTCAACTCACAGAGTTGAACGATCGTTTACACAGAGCAGACTTGTAACACTCTTTTTGTGGAATTTGCAAGTGGAGATTTCAGCCGCTTTGAAGTCAAAGGTAGAAAAGGAAATATCTTCCTATAAAAACTAGACAGAATGATTCTCATGAACTCCTTTGTGATGTGTGCGTTCAACTCACAGAGTTTAACCTTTCTTTTCATAGAGCAGTTAGGAAACACTCTGTTTGTAAAGTCTGCAGGTGGATATTCAGACCTCCTTGAGGCCTTCGTTGGAAACGGGATTTCTTCATATTCTGCTAGACAGAAGAATTCCCAGTAACTTCCCTTGTGTTGTGTGTGTTCAACTCACAGAGTTGAACTTTGATTTACACAGAGCAGATTTGAAACACTCTTTTTGTGGAATTTGCAAGTGGAAATTTCAAGCGCTTTGAGGCCAAAGGCAGAAAAGGAAATATCTTCGTATAAAAACTAGACAGAATCATTCTCAGAAACTGCTCTGCGATGTGTGCGTTCAACTCTCAGAGTTTAACTTTTCTTTTCATTCAGCAGTTTGGAAACACTCTGTTTGTAAAGTCTGCACGTGGATATTTTGACCACTTAGAGGCCTTCGTTGGAAACGGGTTTTTTTCCTGTAAGGCTAGACAGTAGAATTCCCAGTAACTTCCTTGTGTTGTGTACATTCAACTCACAGAGTTGAACGTTCCCTTAGACAGAGCAGATTTGAAACACTCTTTTTGTGCAATTGGCAAATGGAGATTTCAAGGGCTTTAAGGTCAATGGCAGGAAAGGAAATATCTTCGTTTCAAAACTAGACAGAATCATTCCCACAAACTGCGTTGTGACGTGTTCGTTCAACTCACAGAGTTTAACCTTTCTGTTCATAGAGCAGTTAGGAAACACTCTGTTTGTAAAGTCTGCAAGTGGATATTCAGACCTCCTTGAGGCCTTCGTTGGAAACGGGATTTCTTCATATTATGCTAGACAGAGGAATTCTCAGTAACTTCCTTGTGTTCTGTGTATTCAACTGACAGAGTTGAACGATCCTTTACACAGAGCAGACTTGAAACACTCTTTTTGTGGAATTTGCAAGTGGAGATTTCAGCCGCTTTGAGGTCAATGGTAGAAAAGGAAACTATCTTCGTATACAGACTAGACAGAATGTTTCTCAGAAACTGCTTTGTGATGTGTGCGTTCAACTCACAGAGTTCAACCTTTCTTTTCATAGAGCAGTTGGGAAACACTCTGTTTGTAAAGTCTGCAAGTGGATATTCAGACTTCTTTGAGGCCTTCGTTGGAAGCGGGATTTCTTCATATTCTGCTAGACAGAAGAATTCCCAGTAACTTACCTTGTGTTGTGTGTGTTCAACTCACAGAGATGAACTCTCATTTACACAGAGCAGATTTGAAACACTCTTTTTGTGGAATTTGCAAGTGGAGATTTCAAGCGCTTTGAGGCCAAAGGCAGAAAAGGAAATATCTTCGTATAAAAACTAGACAAAATCATTCTCAGAAACTGCTGCGTGATGTGTGCGTTCAACTCTCAGAGTTTAACTTTTCTTTTCATTCAGCGGTTTGGAAACACTCTGTTTGTAAAGTCGGCACGTGGATATTTTGACCACTTAGAGGCCTTCGTTGGAAACGGGTTTTTTTCATGTAAGGCTAGACAGAAGAATTCCCAGTAACTTCCTTGTGTTGTGTGCATTCAACTCACAGAGTTGAACGTTCCCTTAGACAGAGCAGATTTGAAACACTCTATTTGTGCAATTTGCAAGTGTAGATTTCAAGCGATTTAAGGTCAATGGCAGAAAAGGAAATATCTTCGTTTCAAAACTAGACAGATAATCATTCCCACAAACTGCGTTGTGATGTGTTCGTTCAACTCACAGAGTTTAACCTTTCCGTTCATAGAGCAGTTAGGAAACACACTGTTTGTAAAGTCTGTAAGTGGATATTCTGACATCTTGTGGCCTTCGTTGGAAACGGGATTTCTTCATATTCTGCTAGACAGAAAGAATTCTCAGTAACTTCCTTGTGTTGTGTGTATTCAACTCACAGCAGTTGAACGATCCTTTACAGAGAGCAGACTTGAAACACTCTTTTTGTGGAATTTGCAAGTGGAGATTTCAGCCGCTTTGAGGTCAATGGTAGAATAGGAAATATCTTCCTATAGAAACTAGACAGAATGATTCTCAGAAACTCCTTTGTGATGTGTGCGTTCAACTCACAGAGTTCAACCTTTCTTTTCATAGAGCAGTTGGGAAACACTCTATTTGTAAAGTCTGCAAGTGGATATTCAGACTTCTTTGAGGCCTTCGTTGGAAGCGGGATTTCTTCATATTCTGCTTGACAGAAGAATTCCCAGTAACTTCCCTTGTGTTGTGTGTGTTCAACTCACAGAGTTGAACTTTCATTTACACAGAGCAGATTTGAAATACTCTTTTTGTGGAATTTGCAGGTGGAGATTTCAAGCGCTTTGAGGCCAAAGGCAGAAAAGGAAATATCTTCGTATAAAAACTAGACAGAATCATTCTCAGAAACTGCTCTGTGATGTGTGCGTTCAACTCTCAGAGTTTAACTTTTCTTTTCATTCAGCAGTTTGTAAACACTCAGTTTGTAAAGTCTGCACGTGGATATTTTGACCACTCAGAGGCCTTCGTTGGAAACGGGTTTTTTTCATGTAAGGCTAGACAGAAGAATTCCGAGTAACTTCCTTGTCTTGTGTGCATTCAACTCACAGAGTTGAACGTTCCCTTAGACAGAGCAGATTTGAAACACTCTTTTTGTGCAATTTGCAAGTGGAGATTTCAAGCGATTTAGGGTCAATGGCAGAAAAGGAAATATCTTCGTATAAAAACTAGACAGAATCATTCCCACAAACTGCGTTGTGATGTGTTCGTTCAACTCACAGAGTTTAACGTTTCTGTTCATAGAGCAGTTAGGAAACACTCTGTTTGTAAAGTCTGCAAGTGGATATTCAGACCTCCTTGAGGCCTTCGTTGGAAACGGGATTTCTTCATATTCTGCTAGACAGAAGAATTCTCAGTAACTTCTTTGTGTTGTGTGTATTCAACTCACAGAGTTGAACGATCCTTTACACAGAGCAGTCTTGAAACACTCTTTTTGTGGAATTTGCAAGTGGAGATTTCTGCCGCTTTGAGGTCAATGGTAGAATAGGAAATATCTTCCTATAGAAACTAGACAGAATGATTCTCAGAAACTCCTTTGTGATGTGTGCGTTCAACTCACAGAGTTCAACCTTTCTTTTCATAGAGCAGTTGGGAAACACTCTGTTTGTAAAGTCTGCAAGTGGATATTCAGACTTCTTTGAGGCCTTCGTTGGAAGCGGAATTTCTTCATGTTCTGCTAGACAGAAGAATTCTCAGTAACTTCCTTGTGTTGTGTGTATTCAACTCACAGAGTTGAACGATCCTTTACACAGAGCAGACTTGGAACACTCTTTTTGTGGAATTTGCAAGTGGAGATTTCAGCCGCGTTGAGGTCAATGGTAGAAAAGGAAATATCTTCCTATAAAAACTAGACAGAATGATTCTCAGAAACTCCTTTGTGATGTTTGCTTTCAAATCACAGAGTTTAACCTTTCTTTTCATAGAGCAGTTAGGAAACACTCTGGTTGTAAAGTCTGCAAGTGGATATTCAGACCTCTTTGAGGCCTTCGTTGGAAACGGGATTTCTTCATATTCTGCTAGACAGAAGAATTCCCAGTAACTTCCTTGTGTTGTGTGTGTTCAACTCACAGATTTGAACTTTCATTTACACAGAGCAGATTTGAAACACTCTTTTTGTGGAATTTGCAAATGGAGATTTCAAGCGCTTTGAGGCCAAAGGCAGAAAAGGAAATATCTTCGTATAAAAACTAGACAGAATCATTCTCAGAAACTGCTCTGCGATGTGTGCCTTCAACTCACAGAGTTTAACTTTTCTTTTCATTCAGCAGTTTGGAAACACTCTGTTTGTAAAGTCTGCACGTGGATATTTTGACCACTTAGAGGCCTTCGTTGCAAACGGGTTTTTTTCCTGTAAGGCTAGACAGAAGAATTCCCAGTAACTTCCTTGCGTTGTGTACATTCAACTCACGGAGTTGAACGTTCCCTTAGACAGAGCAGATTTGAAACACTCTTTTTGTGCAATTGGCAAGTGGAGATTTCAAGCGCTTTGAGGTCAATGGTAGAAAAGGAAATATCTTCGTTTCAAAACTAGACAGAATCATTCCCACAAACTGCGTTGTGATGTGTTCGTTCAACACACAGACTTTAACCTTTCTTTTCATAGAGCAGTTAGGAAACAGTCTGTTTGTAAATTCTGTAAGTGGATATTCTGACATCTTGTGGCCTTCGTTGGAAACGGGATTTCTTCATATTCTGCTAGACAGAAGAATTCTCAGTAACTTCCTTGTGTTGTGTGTATTCAACTCACAGAGTTGAACGATCCTTTACACAGAGCAGACTTGAAACACTCTTTCTGTGGAATTTGCAAGTGGAGATTTCAACCGCTTTGAGGTCAATAGTAGAAAAGGAAATATCTTCGTAGAAAAACTAGACAGAATGATTCTCAGAAACTCCTTTGTGATGTGTGTGTTCAACTCACAGAGTTTAACCTTTCTTTTCATAGAGCAGTTAGTAAACACTCTGTTTATAAAGTCTGCAAGTGGATATTCCAACCCCTTTGAGGCCTTCGTTGGAAACGGGATTTCTTCATATTATGCTAGACAGAAGAATTCCCAGTAACTTCCTTGTGTTGTGTGTGTTCAACTCACAGAGTTGAACTTTCATTTACACAGAGCAGATTTGAAACACTCTTTTTGTGGAATTTGCTAATGGAGATTTCAAGCGCTTTGAGGCCAAAGGCAGAAAAGGAAATATCTTCGTATAAAAACTAGACAGAATCATTCTCAGAAACTGCTGCGTGATGTGTGTGTTCAACTCTCAGAGTTTAACTTTCCTTTTCATTCAGCGGTTTGGAAACACTCTGTTTGTAAAGTCTGCACGTGGATATTTTGACCACTTAGAGGCCTTCGTTGGAAACGGGTTTTTTTGTATGTAAGGCTAGACAGAAGAATTCCCAGTAACTTCCTTGTGTTGTGCGCATTCAACTCACAGAGTTGAACGTTCCCTTAGACAGAGCAGATTTGAAACACTCTATTTGTGCAATTTGCAAGTGTAGATTTCAAGCGCTTTAAGGTCAAGGGCAGAAAAGGAAATATCTTCGTTTCAAAACTAGACAGAATGATTCTCAGAAACTCCTTTGTGATGTGTGCGTTCAACTCACAGAGTTTAACCTTTCTGTTCATAGAGCAGTTAGGAAACACTCTGTTTGTAAAGTCTGCAAGTGGATATTCAGACCTCCTTGAGGCCTTCGTTGGAAACGGGATTTCTTCATATTCTGCTTGACAGAAGAATTCTCAGTAACTTCCTTGTGTTGTGTTTATTCAACTCACAGAGTTGAATGATCCTTTACACAGAGCAGACTTGAAACACTCTTTTTGTGGAATTTGCAAGTGGAGATTTCAGCCGCTTTGAGGTTAATGGTAGAAAAGTAAATATCTTCGTATAAAGACTAGACAGAATGATTCTCAGAAACTTCTTTGTGATGCGTGCGTTCAACTCACAGAGTTTAACCTTTCTTTTCATAGAGCAGTTAGGAAACACTCTGTTTGTAAACTCTGCAAGTGGATATTCAGACCTCTTTGAGGCCTTCGTTGGAAACGGGATTTCTTCATACTATGCTAGACAGAAGAATTCTCAGTAACTTCTTTGTGTTGTGTGTATTCAACTGACAGAGTTGAACTTTCATTTAGAGAGAGCAGATTTGGAACACTGTTTTTGTGGAATTTGCAAGTGGAGATTTCAAGCGCTTTGGGGCCAAAGGCAGAAAAGGAAATATCTTCGTATAAAAACTAGACAGAATCATTCTCAGAAACCGCTCTGTGATGTGTGCGTTCAACTCGCAGAGTTTAACTTTTCTTTTCATTCAGCAGTTTGGAAACACTCTGTTTGTAAAGTCTGCACGTGGATATTTTGACCACTTAGAGGCCTTCGTTGGAAACGGGTTTTTTTTCATGTAAGGCTAGACGGTAGCATTCCCAGTAACTTCCTTGTGTTGTGTGCATTCAACTCACAGAGATGAATGTTCCCTTAGACAGAGCAGATTTGAAACACTCTATTTGTGCAATTTGCAAGTGTAGATTTCAAGCGCTTTAAGGTCAATGGCAGAAAAGGAAATATCTTCGTTTCAAAACTAGACAGAATCATTCCCACAAACTGCGTTGTGATGTGTTCGTTCAACTCACAGAGTTTAACCTTTCTGTTCATAGAGCAGTTAGGAAACACTCTGTTTGTAAAGTCTGCAAGTGGATATTCAGACCTCCTTGAGGCCTTCGTTGGAAACCGGATTTCTTCATATTCTGCTAGACAGAAGAATTCTCAGTAACTTCCTTGTGTTGTGTGTATTCAACTCACAGAGTTGAACGATGCTTTACACAGAGCAGACTTGAAACACTCTTTTTGTGGAATTTGCAAGTGGAGATTTCAGCCGCTTTGAGGTCAATGGTAGAAAAGGAAATATCTTCGTATAAAGACTAGACAGAATGATTCTCAGAAACTCCTTTGTGATGTGTGTGTTCAACTCACAGAGTTTAACCTTTCTTTTCATAGAGCATTTAGTAAACACTCTGTTTATAAAGTCTGCAAGTGGATATTCAGACCCCTTTGAGGCCTTCGTTGGAAACGGGATTTCTTCATATTATGCTAGACAGAAGAATTCCCAGTAACTTCCTTGTGTTGTGTGTGTTCAACTCACAGAGTTGAACTTTCATTTACACAGAGCAGATTTGAAACACTCTTTTCGTGGAATTTGCAAATGGAGATTTCAAGCGCTTTGAGGCCAAAGGCAGAAAAGGAAATATCTTCGTATAAAAACTAGACAGAATCATTCTCAGAAACTGCTCTGCGATGTGTGCGTTCAACTCTCAGAGTTTAACTTTGCTTTTCATTCAGCAGTTTGGAAACACTCTGTTTGTAAAGTCTGCACGTGGATAATTTGACCACTTAGAGGCCTTCGTTGGAAACGGGTTTTTTTCATGTAAGGCTAGACAGAAGAATTCCCAGTAACTTCCTTGTGTTGTGTGCATTCAACTCACAGAGTTGAACGTTCCCTTAGACAGAGCAGATTTGAAACACTCTGTGCAATTTGCAAGTGTAGATTTCAAGCGCTTTACGGTCAATGGCAGAAAAGGAAATATCTTCGTTTCAAAACTAGACAGAATCATTCCCACAAACTGCGTTGTGATGTGTTCGTTCAACTCACAGAGTTTAACCTTTCTTTTCATAGAGCAGTTAGGAAACAATCTGTTTGTAAATTCTGTAAGTGGATATTCTGACATCTTGTGGCCTTCGTTGGAAACGGGATTTCTTCATATTCTGCTAGACAGAAGAATTCTCAGTAACTTCCTTGTGTTGTGTGTATTCAACTCACAGAGTTGAACGATCCTTTACACAGAGCAGACTTGTAACACTCTTTTTGTGGAATTTGCAAGTGGAGATTTCACCCGCTTTGAAGTCAAAGGTAGAAAAGGAAATATCTTCCTATAAAAACTAGACAGAATGATTCTCAGAAACTCCTTTGTGATGTGTGCGTTCAACTCACAGTGTTTAACCTTTCTTTTCATAGAGCAGTTAGGAAACACTCTGTTTGTAAAGTCTGCAAGTGGATATTCAGACCTCCTTGAGGCCTTCGTTGGAAACGGGATTTTTTCATATAAGGCTAGACAGAAGAATTCCCAGTAACTTCCTTGTGTTGTGTGTGTTCAACTCACAGAGTTGAACTTTCATTTACGCAGAGCAGATTTGAAACACTCTTTTTGTGGAATTTGCAAGTGGAGATTTCAAGCGCTTTGAGGCCAAAGGCAGAAAAGGAAATATCTTCGTTTCAAAACTAGACAGAATGATTCTCAGAAACTCCTTTGTGATGTGTGCGTTCAACTCACAGAGTTTAACTTTTCTTTTCATTCAGCGGTTTGGAAACACTCTGTTTGTAAA
This sequence comes from Homo sapiens, assembly GCF_000001405.40. NCBI lineage: Eukaryota > Metazoa > Chordata > Mammalia > Primates > Hominidae > Homo > Homo sapiens. The sequence goes on from NC_000019.10 coordinate 25,580,037, forward strand.
GTCTGCACGTGGATATTCAGACCTCTTTGAGGCCTTCGTTGGAAACGGGTTTTTTTCATGTAAGGCTAGACAGAAGAATTCCCAGTAACTTCCTTGTGTTGTGTACATTCAACTCACAGAGTTGAACGTTCCCTTAGACAGAGCAGATTTGAAACACTCTTTTTGTGCAATTGGCAAGTGGTGATTTCAGCCGCTTTGAGGTCAATGGTAGAAAAGGAAATATCTTCGTATAAAAACTAGACAGAATCATTCCCACAAACTGCGTTGTGATGTGTTCGTTCAACTCACAGCAGTTTAACCTTTCTGTTCATAGAGCAGTTAGGAAACACTCTGTTTGTAAAGTCTGTAAGTGGATATTCTGACATCTTGTGGCCTTCGTTGGAAACGGGATTTCTTCATATTCTGCTAGACAGAATACTTCTCAGTAACTTCCTTGTGTTGTGTGTATTCAACTCACAGAGTTGAACGATCCTTTACAGAGAGCAGACTTGAAACACTCTTTTTGTGGAATTTGCAAGTGGAGATTTCAGCCGCTTTGAGCTCAATGGTAGAATAGGAAATATCTTCCTATAGAAACTAGACAGAATGATTCTCAGAAACTCCTTTGTGATGTGTGCGTTCAACTCACAGAGTTTAACCTTTCTTTTCATAGAGCAGTTAGGAAACACTCTGTTTGTAAAGTCTGCAAGTGGATATTCAGACATCTTTGAGGCGTTCGTTGGAAACGGGATTTCTTCATGTTCTGCTAGACAGAAGAATTCCCAGTAACTTCCTTGTGTTGTGTGTGTTCAACTCACAGAGTTGAACTTTCATTTACCCAGAGCAGATTTGAAACACTCTTTTTGTGGAATTTGCAAGTGGAGATTTCAAGCGATTTGAGGCCAAAGGCAGAAAAGGAAATATCTTCGTTTCAAAACTAGACAGAATCATTCTCCGAAGCTGCTGCGTGATGTGTGCGTTCAACTCTCAGAGTTTAACTTTTCTTTTCATTCAGCGGTTTGGAAACACTCTGTTTGTGAAGTCTGCACGTGGATATTTTGACCACTTAGAGGCCTTCGTTGGAAACGGGTTTTTTGCATGTAAGGCTAGACAGAAGAATTCCCAGTAACTTCCTTGTGTTGTGTACATTCAACTCACAGAGTTGAACGTTCCCTTAGACAGAGCAGATTTGAAACACTCTTTGTGCAATTGGCAAGTGGAGATTTCAAGCGCTTTAAGGTCAATGGCAGAAAAGGAAATATCTTCGTTTCAAAACTAGACAGAATGATTCTCAGAAACTCTTTTGTGATGTGTGCGTTCAACTCACAGAGTTTAACCTTTCTTTTCATAGAGCAGTTAGGAAACACTCTGTTTGTAAAGTCTGCAAGTGGATATTCAGACATCCTTGAGGCTTTCGTTGGAAACGGGATTTCTTCATATTATGCTAGACAGAAGAATTCTCAGTAACTTCCTTGTGTTGTGTGTATTCAACTCACAGAGTTGAACGATCCTTTACACAGAGCAGACTTGAAACACTCCTTTTGTGGAATTTGCAAGTGGAGATTTCAGCCGCTTTGAGGTCAATGGTAGAATAGGAAATATCTTCCTATAGAAACTAGACAGAATGATTCTCATAAACTCCTTTGTGATGTGTGAGTTCAAATCACAGAGTTTAACTTTTCTTTTCATAGAGCAGTTAGGAAACACTCTGTTTCTAAAGTCTGCAAGTGGATATTCAGATCTCTTTGAGGCCTTCGTTGGAAACGGGATTTCTTCATATTATGCTAGACAGAAGAATTCTCAGGAACTTCCTTGTGTTGTGTGTATTCAACTCACAGAGTTGAACTTTCATTTACACAGAGCAGATTTGAAACACTCTTTTTGTGGAATTTGCAAATGGAGATTTCAAGCGCTTTGAGGCCAAAGGCAGAAAAGGAAATATCTTCGTATAAAAACTAGACAGAATCATTCTCAGAAACTGCTGCGTGATGTGTGCGTTCAACTCTCAGAGTTTAACTTTTCTTTTCATTCAGCGGTTTGGAAACACTCTGTTTGTAAAGTCTGCACGTGGATATTTTGACCAGTTAGAGGCCTTCGTTGGAAACGGGTTTTTTTCATGTAAGGCTAGACAGAAGAATTCTCAGTAACTTCCTTGTGTTGTGTGTATTCAACTCACAGAGTTGAACGATCCTTTACACAGAGCAGACTTGAAACAATCTTTTTGTGGAATTTGCAAGTGGAGATTTCAGCCGATTTGAGGTCAATGGTAGAAAAGGAAATATCTTCGTATAAAAACTAGACAGAATGATTCTCAGAAACTCCTTTGTGATGTGTGCGTTCAACTCACAGAGTTTAACCTTTCTTTTCATAGAGCAGTTAGGAAACACTCTGTTTGTAAAGTCTGCAAGTGGATATTCAGACCTCCTTGAGGCCTTCGTTGGAAACGGGATTTCTTCATTTTATGCTAGACAGAAGAATTCTCAGTAACTTCCTTGTGTTGTGTGTATTCAACTCACAGAGTTGAACGATCCTTTACACAGAGCATACTTGAAACACTCTTGTTGTGGAATTTGCAAGTGGAGATTTCAGCCGCTTTGAGGTCAATGGTAGAATAGGAAATATCTTCCTATAGAAACTAGACAGAATGATTCTCAGAAACTCCTTTGTGATGTGTGCGTTCAAGTCACAGAGTTTAACCTTTCTTTTCATAGAGTAGTTAGGAAACACTCTGTTTGTAAAGTCTGCAAGTGGATATTCAGACCTCTTTGAGGCCTTCGTTGGAAACGGGTTTTTTTCATATAAGGCTAGACAGAAGAATTCCCAGTAACTTCCTTGTGTTGTGTGTGTTCAACTCACAGAGTTGAACTTTCATTTACCCAGAGCAGATTTGAAACACTCTTTTTGTGGAATTTGCAAATGGAGATTTCAAGCGCTTTGAGGCCAAAGGCAGAAAAGGAAATATCTTCGTTTCAAAACTAGACAGAATGATTCTCAGAAACTCCTTTGTGATGTGTGCGTTCAACTCACAGAGTTTAACCTTTGTTTTCATTCAGCGGTTTGGAAACACTCTGTTTGTAAAGTCTGCACGTGGATATTCAGACCTCTTTGAGGCCTTCGTTGGAAACGGGTTTTTTTCATGTAAGGCTAGACAGAAGAATTCCCAGTAACTTCCTTGTGTTGTGTGCATTCAACTCACAGAGTTGAACGTTCCCTTAGACAGAGCAGATTTGAAACACTCTATTTGTGCAATTTCCAAGTGTAGATTTCAAGCGCTTTAAGGTCAACGGCAGAAAAGGAAATATCTTCGTTTCAAAACTAGACAGAATCATTCCCACAAACTGCGTTGTGATGTGCTCGTTCAACTCACAGAGTTTAACCTTTCTTTTCATAGAGCAGTTAGGAAACAGTCTGTTTGTAAATTCTGTAAGTGGATATTCTGACATCTTGTGGCCTTCGTTGGAAACGGGATTTCTTCATATTCTGCTAGACAGAAGAATTCTCAGAATCTTCCTTGTGTTGTGTGTATTCAACTCACAGAGTTGAACGATCCTTTACACAGAGCAGACTTGAAACACTCTTTTTGTGGAATTTGCAATTGGAGATTTCAGCCGCTTTGAGGTCCATGGTAGAAAAGGAAATATCTTCGTATAAAAACTAGACAGAATGATTCTCAGAAACTCCTTTGTGATGTGTGCGTTCAACTCACAGAGTTTAACCTCTCTTTTCATAGAGCAGTTGGGAAACACTCTGTTTGTAAAGTCTGCAAGTGGATATTCAGACATCCTTGAGGCTTTCGTTGGAAACGGGATTTCTTCATATTCTGCTAGAAAGAAGAATTCTCAGTAACTTCCTTGTGTTGTGTGTATTCAACTGACAGAGTTGAACTTTCATTTAGAGAGAGCAGATTTATAACACTGTTTTTGTGGAATTTGCAAGTGGAGATTTCAGCCGCTTTGGGGCCAAAGGCCGAAAAGGAAATATCTTCGTATAAAAACTAGACAGAATCATTCTCAGAAAATGCTCTGTGATGTGTGCGTTCAACTCTCAGAGTTTAACTTTTCTTTTCATTCAGCACTTTGGAAACACTCTGTTTGTAAAGTCTGCACGTGGATATTTTGACCACTTAGAGGTCTTTGTTGGAAACGGGTTTTTTTCACGTAAGGCTAGACAGAAGAATTCCCAGTAACTTCCTTGTGTTGTGTGCATTCAACTCACAGAGTTGAACGTTCCCTTAGACAGAGCAGATTTGAAACACTCTATTTGTGCAATTTGCAAGTATAGATTTCAAGCGCTTTAAGGTCAACGGCAGAAAAGGAAATATCTTCGTTTCAAAACTAGACAGAATCATTCCCACAAACTGCGTTGTGATGTGTTCGTTCAACTCACAGAGGTTAACCTTTCTGTTCATAGAGCAGTTAGGAAACACTCTGTTTGTAAAGTCTGCAAGTGGATATTCAGACCTCCTTGAGGCCTTCGTTGGAAACGGGATTTCTTCATATTCTGCTAGACAGAAGAATTCTCAGTAACTTCCTTGTGTTGTGTGTATTCAACTCACAGTGTTGAACGATCCTTTACACAGAGCAGACTAGAAACACTCTTTTTGTGGAATTTGCAAGTGGAGATTTCAGCCGCTTTGAGGTCAATGGTAGAAAAGGAAATATCTTCCCTCCTATAAAAACTAGACAGAATGATTCTCAGAAACTCCTTTGTGATGTGTGCGTTCTACTCACAGAGTTTAACCTTTCTTTTCATAGAGCAGTTAGGAAACACTCTGTTTGTAAAGTCTGCAAGAGAATATTCAGACATCTTTGAGACTTTCGTTGGAAACGGGATTTCATCATATTCTGCTAGACAGAAGAATTCCCAGTAACTTCCTTGTGTTGTGTGTGTTCAACTCACAGAGTTGAACTTTCATTTACCCAGAGCAGATTTGAAACACTCTTTTAGTGGAATTTGCAAGTGGAGATTTCAAGCGCTTTGAGGCCAAAGGCAGAAAAGGAAATATCTTCGTTTCAAAACTAGACAGAATCATTCTCAGAAACTGCTGCATGATGTGTGCGTTCAACTCTCAGAGTTTAACTTTTCTTTTCATTCAGCGGTTTGGAAACACTCTGTTTGTAAAGACTGCACGTGGATATTTTGACCACTTAGAGGCCTTCGTTGGAAACGGGTTTTTTTTCATGTAAGGCTAGACAGAAGAATTCCCAGTAACTTCCTTGTGTTGTGTACATTCAACTCACAGAGTTGAACGTTCCCTTAGACAGAGCAGATTTGAAATACTCTTTTTGTGCAATTGGCAAGTGGAGATTTCAAGAGCTTTAAGGTCAATGGCAGAAAAGGAAATATCTTCGTTTCAAAACTAGACAGAATCATTCCCACAAACTGCGTTGTGATGTGTTCGTTCAACTCACAGAGTTTAAACTTTCTGTTCATAGAGCAGTTAGGAAACACTCTGTTTGTAAAGTCTGTAAGTGGATATTCTGACATCTTGTGGCCTTCGTTGGAAACGGGATTTCTTCATATTCTGCTTGACAGAAGAATTCTCAGTAACTTCCTTGTGTTGTGTGTATTCAACTCACAGAGTTGAACGATCTTTTACACAGAGCAGACTTGAAACACTCTTTTTGTGGAATTTGCAAGTGGAGATTTCAGCCGCTTTCAGGTCAATAGTAGAAAAGGAAATATCTTCGTAGAAAAACTAGACAGAACGATTGTCAGAAACTCCTTTATGATGTGTGCGTTCAACTCACAGAGTTTAACCTTTCTTTTCATAGAGCAGTTAGGAAACACTCTGTTTGTAAATTCTGCAAGTGGATAATCAGACCTCTTTGAGGCCATCGTTGGAAACGGGATTTCCTCATATTCTGCTAGACAGAAGAATTCCCAATAACTTCCTTGTGTTGTGTGTGTTCAACTCACAGAGTTGAACTTTCATTTACACAGAGCAGATTTGAAACACTCTTTTTGTGGAATTTGCAAGTGGAGATTTCAAGCGCTTTGAGGCCAAAGGCAGAAAAGGAAATATCTTCGTTTCAAAACTAGACAGAATCATTCTCAGAAACTGCTCTGCGATGTGTGCGTTCAACTCTCAGAGTTTAACTTTTCTTTTCATTCAGCAGTTTGGAAACACTCTGTTTGTAAAGTCTGCACGTGGATAATTTGACCACTTAGAGGTCTTCGTTGGAAACGGGTTTTTTTCATGTAAGGCTAGACTGAAGAATTCCCAGTAACTTCCTTGTGTTGTGTACATTCAACTCACAGAGTTGAACGTTCCCTTAGACAGAGCAGATTTGAAACACTCTTTTTGTGCAATTGGCAAATGGAGATTTCAAGCGCTTTAAGGTCAATGGCAGAAAAGGAAATATCTTCGTTTCAAAATTAGACAGAGAATCATTCCCACAAACTGCGTTGTGATGTGTTCGTTCAACTCACAGCAGTTTAACCTTTCTTTTCATAGAGCAGTTAGGAAACAGTCTGTTTGTAAATTCTGTAAGTGGATATTCTGACATCTTGTGGCCTTCGTTGGAAACGGGATTTCTTCATATTGTGCTAGACAGAAGAATTCTCAGAATCTTCCTTGTGTTGTGTGTATTCAACTCACAGAGTTGAACGATGGTTTACACAGAGCAGATTTGAAACACTCTTTTTGTGGAATTTGCAAGTGGACATTTCAGCCGCTTTGAGGTCAATGGTAGAAAAGGAAATATCTTCGTATAAAAACTAGACAGAATGATTCTCAGAAACTCCTTTGTGATGTGTGCGTTCTACTCACAGAGTTTAACCTTTCTTTTCATAGAGCAGTTAGGAAACACTCTGTTTGTAAAGTCTGCAAGTGGATATTCAGACATCTTTGAGACTTTCGTTGGAAACGGGATTTCATCATATTCTGCTAGACAGAAGAATTCTCAGTAACTTCCTTGTGTTGTGTGTATTCAACTGACAGAGTTGAACTTTCATTTAGAGAGATCAGATTTGAAACACTGTTTTTGTGGAATTTGCAAGTGGAGATTTCAAGCGCTTTGGGGCCAAAGGCAGAAAAGGAAATATCTTCGTATAAAAAGTAGACAGAATCATTCTCAGAAACTGCTGCGTGATGTGTGCGTTCAACTCTCAGAGTTTAACTTTTCTTTTCATTCAGCGGTTTGGAAACACTCTGTTTGTAAAGTCTGCACGTGGAAATTTTGACCACTTAGAGGCCTTCGTTGGAAACGGGTTTTTTTCATGTAAGGCTAGATAGAAGAATTCCCAGTAACTTCCTTGTGTTGTGTACATTCAACTCACAGATTTGAACGTTCCCTTAGACAGAGCAGATTTGAAACACTCTTTTTGTGCAATTGGCAAATGGAGATTTCAAGCGCTTTAAGGTCAATGGCAGAAAAGGAAATATCTTCGTTTCAAAACTAGACAGAATCATTCCCACAAACTGCGTTCTGATGTGTTCGTTCAACTCACAGTAGTTTAACCTTTCTGTTCATAGAGCAGTTAGGAAACACTCTGTTTGTAAAGTCTGTAAGTGGATATTCTGACATCTTGTGGCCTTCGTTGGAAACGGGATTTCTTCATATTCTGCTAGACAGAAGAATTCTCAGTAACTTCCTTGTGTTGCGTGTATTCAACTCACAGAGGTTGAACGATCCTTTACACAGAGCAGACTTGAAACACTCTTTTTGTGGAATTTGCAAGTGGAGATTTCAGCCGCTTTGAGGTCAATATGTAGAAAAGGAAATATCTTCGTAGAAAAACTAGACAGAAATGATTCTCAGAAACTCCTTTGTGATGTGTGTGTTCAACTCACAGAGTTTAACCTTTCTTTTCATACAGCAGTTAGGAAACACTCTGTTTGTAAATTCTGCAAGTGGATATTTTGACCGCTTTGAGGCCTTCGTTGGAAACGGGTTTTTTTCATGTAAGGCTAGACAGAAGAATTCTCAGCAACTTCCTTGTGTTGTGTGTATTCAACTGACAGAGTTGAACTTTCATTTAGAGAGAGCAGATTTGAAACACTGTTTTTGTGGAATTTGCAAGTGGAGATTTCAAGCGCTTTGGGGCCAAAGGCAGAAAAGGAAATATCTTCGTATAAAAACTAGACAGAATCATTCTCAGAAACTGCTCTGTCATGTGTGCGTTCAACTCTCAGAGTTTAACTTTTCTTTTCATTCAGCAGTTTGGAAACACTCTGTTTGTAAAGTCTGCACGTGGATATTTTTACCACTTAGAGGTCTTCGTTGGAAACGGGTTTTTTTCATGTAAGGCTAGACAGAAGAATTCCCAGTAACTTCCTTGTGTTGTGTGCATTCAACTCACAGAGTTGAACGTTCCCTTAGACAGAGCAGATTTGAAACACTCTATTTGTGCAATTTGCAAGTGTAGATTTCAAGCGCTTTAAGGTCAACGGCAGAAAAAGGAAATATCTTCGTTTCAAAACTAGACAGAATGATTCTCAGAAACTTCTTTGTGATGTGTGCGTTCAACTCACAGAGTTTAACCTTTCTTTTCATAGAGCAGTTAGGAAACACTCTGTTTGTAAAGTCTGCAAGTGGATATACAGACCTCTTTGAGGCCTTCGTTGGAAACGGGATTTCTTCATACTATGCTAGACAGAAGAATTCTCAGTAACTTCCTTGTGTTGTGTGTATTCAACTCACAGAGTTGAACTATCCTTTACACAGAGCAGACTTGAAACACTCGTTTTGAGGAATTTGCAAGTGGAGATTTCAGCCGCTTTGAGGTCAATGGTAGAAAAGGAAATCTCTTCGTATAAAAACTAGACAGAATGATTCTCAGAAACTCCTTTGTGATGTGTGCGTTCAACTCACAGAGTTTAACTTTTCTTTTCATAGAGCAGTTAGGAAAAACTCTGTTTGTAAAGTCTGCAAGTGGATATTCAGACCTCTTTGAGGCCTTCGTTGGAAACGGGATTTCTTCATATTCTGCTAGACAGAAGAATTCCCAGTAACTTCCTTGTGTTGTGTGTGTTCAACTCACAGAGTTGAACTTTCATTTACACAGAGCAGATTTGAAACACTCTTTTTGTGGAATTTGCAAGTGGAGATGTCAAGCGCTTTGAGGCCAAAGGCAGAAAAGGAAATATCTTCGTTTCAAAACTAGACAGAATCATTCTCAGAAACTGCTGTGTGATGTGTGCGTTCAACTCTCAGAGTTTAACTTTTCTTTTCATTCAGCGGTTTGGAAACACTCTGTTTGTAAAGTCTGCACGTGGAAATTTTGACCACTTAGAGGCCTTCGTTGGAAACGGGTTTTTTTCATGTAAGGCTCGACAGAAGAATTCCCAGTAACTTCCTTGTGTTGTGTGCATTCAACTCACAGAGTTGAACGTTCCCTTAGACAGAGCAGATTTGAAACACTCTCTTTGTGCAATTTGCAAGTGTAGATTTCAAGCGCTTTAAGGTCAATGGCAGAAAAGAAAATATCTTCGTTTCAAAACAAGACAGAATGATTCTCAGAAACTCCTTTGTTATGTGTGCATTCAACTCACAGAGTTTACCCTTTCTTTTCATAGAGCAGTTAGGAAACACTCTGTTTGTAAAGTCTGCCAGTGGATATTCAGACATCCTTGAGGCTTTCGTTGGAAACGGGATTTCTTCATATTCTGCCAGAAAGAAGAATTCTCAGTAACTTCCTTGTGTTGTGTTTATTCAACTCACAGAGTTGAATGATCCTTTACAGAGAGCAGACTTGAAACACTCTTTTTGTGGAATTTGCAAGTGGAGATTTCAGCCGCTTTGAGGTCAATGGTAGAAAGGTAAATATCTTCGTATAAAGACTAGACAGAAATGATTCTCAGAAACTTCTTTGTGATGTGTGCGTTCAACTCACAGAGTTTAACCTTTCTTTTCATAGAGCAGTTAGGAAACACTCTGTTTGTAAACTCTGCAAGTGGATATTCAGACCTGTTTGAGGCCTTCGTTGGAAACGGGATTTCTTCATACTATGCTAGACAGAAGAATTCTCAGTAACTTCCTTGTGTTGTGTGTATTCAACTGACGGAGTTGAACTATCATTTAGAGAGAGCAGATTTGAAACACTGTTTTTGTGGAATTTGCAAGTGGAGATTTCAAGCGCTTTGGGGCCAAAGGCAGAAAAGGAAATATCTTCGTATAACAACTAGACAGAATCATTCTCAGAAACTGCTGCGTGATGTGTGCGTTCAACTCTCAGAGTTTAACTTTTCTTTTTATTCAGCGGTTTGGAAACACTCTGTTTGTAAAGTCTGCACGTGGATATTTTGACCACTTAGAGGCCTTCGTTGGAAACGGGTTTTTTTCATGTAAGGCTAGACAGAAGAATTCCCAGTAACTTCCTTGTGTTGTGTGCATTCAACTCACAGAGTTGAACGTTCCCTTAGACAGAGCAGATTTGAAACACTCTGTTTGTGCAATTTGCAAGTGTAGATTTCAAGCGCTTTAAGGTCAATGGCAGAAAAGGAAATATCTTCGTTTCAAAACTAGACAGAATCATTCCCACAAACTGCGTTGTGATGTGTTCGTTCAACTCACAGAGTTTAACCTTTCTGTTCATAGAGCAGTTAGGAAACACTCTGTTTGTAAAGTGTGTAAGTGGATATTCTGACATCTTGTGGCCTTCGTTGGAAACGGGATTTCTTCATATTCTGCTAGACAGAAGAATTCTCAGTAACTTCCTTGTGTTGTGTGTATTCAACTCACAGAGTTGAACGATCCTTTACAGAGAGCAGACTTGAAACACTCTTTTTGTGGAATTTGCAATTGGAGATTTCAGCCGCTTTGAGGTCAATAGTAGAAAAGGTAATATCTTCGTAGAAAAACTAGACAGAATGATTCTCAGAAACTTCTTTGTGATGTGTGCGTTGAACTCACAGAGTTTAACCTTTTTTTTCATAGAGCAGTTAGGAAACACTCTGTTTGTAAACTCTGCAAGTGGATAATCAGACCTCTTTGAGGCCTTCGTTGGAAACGGGATTTCTTCATACTATGCTAGACAGAAGAATTCTCAGTAACTTCCTTGTGTTGTGTGTTTTCAACTCACAGAGTTCAACGATGCTTTACACAGAGTAGACTTGAAACACTCTTTTTGTGTAATTTGCAAGTGGAGATTTCAGCCGCTTTGAGGTCAATGGTAGAAAAGGAAATATCTTCGTATAAAAACTAGACAGAGTGATTCTCAGAAACTCCTTTGTGATGTCTGCGTTTAACTCACAGAGTATAACCTTTCTTTTCATAGAGCAGTTAGGAAACACTCTGTTTGTAAAGTCTGCAAGTGGATATTCAGACCTCCTTGAGGCCTTCGTTGGAAACGGGATTTCTTCATATTATGCTAGACAGAAGAATTCTCAGTAACTTCCTTGTGTTGTGTGTATTCAACTCACAGAGTTGAAGGATCCTTTACACAGAGCAGACTAGAAACATTCTTTTTGTGGAATTTGGAAGTGGAGATTTCAGCCGCTTTGAGGTCAATGGTAGAATAGGAAATATCTTCCTATAGAAACTAGACAGAATGATTCTCAGAAACTCCTTTGTGATGTGTGCGTTCAACTCACAGAGTTTAACCTTTCTTTTCATAGAGCAGTTAGGAAACACTCTGATTGTAAAGTCTGCAAGTGGATATTCAGACCTCCTTGAGGCCTTCGTTGGAAACGGGATTTCTTCATATTATGCTAGACAGAAGAATTCCCAGTAACTTCCTTGTGTTGTGTGTGTTCAACTCACAGAGTTGAACTTTCCTTTACACAGAGCAGATTTGAAACACTCTTTTTGTGGAATTTGCAAGTGGAGATTTCAAGCGCTTTGAGGCCAAAGGCAGAAAAGGAAATATCTTCGTTTCAAAACTAGACAGAATCATTCTCAGAAACTGCTCTGTGATGTGTGCGTTCAACTCTCAGAGTTTAACTTTTCTTTTCATTCAGCAGTTTGGAAACACTCTGTTTGTAAAGTCTGCACGTGGATATTTTGACCACTTAGAGGCCTTCGTTGGAAACGGTTTTTTTCATGTAAGGCTAGACAGAAGAATTCTCAGTAACTTCCTTGTGTTGTGTGTATTCAACTCACAGAGTTGAACGATCCTTTACACAGAGCAGACTTGTAACACTCTCTTTGTGGAATTTGCAAGTGGAGATTTCAGCCGCTTTGAAGTCAAAGGTAGAAAAGGAAATATCTTCCTATAAAAACTAGACAGAATCATTCCCACAAACTGCGTTGTGATGTGTTCGTTCAACTCACAGAGTTTAACCTTTCTGTTCATAGAGCAGTTAGGAAACACTCTGTTTGTAAAGTCTGTAAGTGGATATTCTGACATTTTTTGGCCTTCGTTGGAAATGGGATTTCTTCATATTCTCCTAGACAGAATTCTCAGTAACTTCCTTGTGTTGTGTGTATTCAACTCACAGAGTTGAACGATCCTTTGCACAGAGCAGACTTGGAACACTCTTTTTGTGGAATTTGCAAGTGGAGATTTCAGCCGCTTTGAAGTCAAAGGTAGAAAAGGAAATATCTTCCTATAAAAACTAGACAGAATGATTCTCAGAAACTTCTTTGTGATGTGTGCGTTCAACTCACAGAGTTTAACCTTTCTTTTCATAGAGCAGTTAGGAAACACTCTGTTTGTAAACTCTGCAAGTGGATATTCAGACCTCCTTGAGGCCTTCGTTGGAAACGGGATTTCTTCATACTGTGCTAGACCAGAAGAATTCTCAGTAACTTTCCTTGTGTTGTGTGTATTCAACTGACAGAGTTGAACTTTCATTTGGAGAGAGCAGATTTGAAACACTGTTTTTGTGGAATTTGCAAGTGGAGATTTCAAGCGCTTTGGGGCCAAAGGCAGAAAAGGAAATATCTTCGTATAAAAACTAGACAGAAATCATTCTCAGAAACTGCTCTGCGATGTGTGCATTCAACTCTCAGTAGTTTAATTTTTCTTTTCATTCAGCAGTTTGGAAACACTCTCTTTGTAAAGTCTGCACGTGGATATTTTGACCACTTAGAGGCCTTCGTTGGAAACGGGTTTTATTCTTGTAAGGCTAGACAGAAGAATTCCCAGGAACTTCCTTGTGTTGTGTACATTCAACTCACAGAGTTGAACGTTCCCTTAGACAGAGCAGATTTGAAACACTCTTTTTGTGCAATTGGCAAGTGGTGATTTCAGCCGCTTTGTGGTCAATGGTAGAAAAGGAAATATCTTCGTATAAAAACTAGACAGAATCATTCCCACAAACTGCGTTGTGATGTGTTCGTTCAACTCACAGAGTTTAACCTTTCTTTTCATAGAGCAGTTAGGAAACAGTCTGTTTGTCAATTCTGTAAGTGGATATTCTGACATCTTGTGGCCTTCGTTGGAAACGGGATTTCTTCATATTTGGCTAGACAGAAGAATTCTCAGTATCTTCCTTGTGTTGTGTGTATTCAACTCACAGAGTTGAACGCTCCTTTACACAGAGCAGACTTGAAACACTCTTTTTGTGGAATTTGCAAGTGGAGATTTAAGCCGCTTTGAGGTCAATGGTAGAAAAGGGAATATCTTCGTATAGAAACTAGACAGAATGATTCTCAGAAACTCCTTTGTGATGTGTGCGTTCAACTCACACAGTTTAACCTTTCTTTTCATAGAGCAGTTAGGAAACACTCTGTTTGTAAAGTCTGCAAGTGGATATTCAGACCTCCTTGAGGCCTTCGTTGGAAACGGGATTTATTCATATTATGCTAGACAGAAGAATTCCCAGTAACTTCCTTGTGTTGTGTGTGTTCAACTCACAGAGTTGAACTTTCATTTACACAGAGCAGATTTGAAACACTCTTTTTGTGGAATTTGCAAGTGGAGATTTCAAGCGCTTTGAGGCCAGAGGCAGAAAAGGAAATATCTTCGTTTCAAAACTAGACAGAATGATTCTCAGAAACTGCTGCGTGATGTGTGCGTTCAACTCTCAGAGTTTAACTTTTCTTTTCATTCAGCGGTTTGGAAACACTCTGTTTGTAAAGTCTGCACGTGGATATTTTGACCACTTAGAGGCCTTCGTTGGAAACGGGTTTTTTTCATGTAAGGCTAGACAGAAGAATTCCCAGTAACTTCCTTGTGTTGTGTACATTCTACTCACAGAGTTGAACGTTCCCTTAGACAGAGCAGATTTGAAACACTCTTTTTGTGCAATTGGCAAGTGGTGATTTCAACCGCTTTGAGGTCAATGGTAGAAAAGGAAATATCTTCGTATAAAAACTAGACAGAATGATTCTCAGAAACTCCTTTGTGATGTGTGCGTTCAAATCACAGAGTTTAACTTTTCTTTTCATAGAGCAGTTAGGAAACACTCTGTTTGTAAAGTCTGCAAGTGGATATTCAGACCTCTTTGAGGCCTTCGTTGGAAACGGAATTTCTTCATATTATGCTAGACAGAAGAATTCTCAGTAACTTCCTTGTGTTGTGTGTATTCAACTCACAGAGTTGAACGATCGTTTACACAGAGCAGACTTGAAACATTCTTTTTGTGGAATTTGCAAGTGGAGATTTCAGCCGCTTTGAGGTCAATGGTAGAATAGGAAATATCTTCCTATAGAAACTAGACAGAATGATTCTCAGAAACTCCTTTGTGATGTGTGTGTTCAACTCACAGCAGTTTAACCTTTCTTTTCATAGAGCAGTTAGGAAACGCTCTGTTTGTAAAGTCTGCAAGTGGATATTCAGACCTCGTTGAGACCTTCGTTGGAAACGGGATTTCTTCATATTCTGCTAGACAGAAGAATTCTCAGAATCTCCCTTGTGTTGTGTGTATTCAACTCACAGAGTTGAACGATCCTTTACACAGAGCAGACTTGAAACACTCTTTTTGTGGAATTTGCAAGTGGAGATTTCAGCCGCTTTGAGGTCCATGGTAGAAAAGGAAATATCTTCGTATAAAAACAAGACAGAATGGTTCTCAGAAACTCCTTTGTGATGTGTGCGTTCAACTCACAGAGTTTAACTTTTCTTTTCATAGAGCAGTTAGGAAACACTCTGTTTGTAAAGTCTGCAAGTGGATATTCAGACCTCTTTGAGGCCTTCGTTGGAAACGGGATTTCTTCATATTCTGCTAGACAGAAGAATTCCCAGTAACTTCCTTGTGTTGTGTGTGTTCAACTCACAGAGTTGAACTTTCATTTACACAGAGCAGATTTGCAACACTCTTTTTGTGGAATTTGCAAATGGAGATTTCAAGCGCTTTGAGGCCAAAGGCAGAAAAGGAAATATCTTCGTTTCAAAACTAGACAGAATCATTCTCAGAAACTTCTCTGCGATGTGTGCGTTCAACTCTCAGAGTTTAACTTTTCTTTTCATTCAGCAGTTTGGAAACACTCTCTTTGTAATGTCTGCACGTGGATATTTTGACCACTTAGAGGCCTTCGTTGGAAACGGGTTTTTTTCCTGTAAGGCTAGATAGAAGAATTCCCAGTAACTTCCTTGTGTTGTGTACATTCAACTCACAGAGTTGAACGTTCCCTTAGACAGAGCAGATTTGAAACACTCTTTTTGTGCAATTGGCAAGTGGAGATTTCAAGCGCTTTGAGGTCAATGGCAGAAAAGGAAATATCTTCGTTTCAAAACTAGACAGAATGATTCTCAGAAACTCCTTTGTGATGTGTGCGTTCAACTCACAGAGTTTAACTTTCCTTTTCATAGAGCAGTTAGGAAACACTCTGTTTGTAAAGTCTGCAAGTGGATATTCAGACCTCTTTGAGGCCTTCGTTGGAAACGGGATTTCTTCATATTCTGCTTGACAGAAGAATTCTCAGTAACTTCCTTGTGTTGTGTGTATTCAAGTCACAGAGTTGAACGATCCTTTACACAGAGCAGACTTGAAACACTCTTTTTGTGGAATTTGCAAGTGGAGATTTCAGCCGCTTTGAGGTCAATAGTAGAAAAGGAAATATCTTCGTAGAAAAACTAGACAGAATGATTCTCAGAAATTCCTTTGTGATGTGTGTGTTCAACTCACAGAGTTTAACCTTTCTTTTCATAGAGCAGTTAGGAAACACTCTGTTTGTAAAGTCTGCAAGTGGATATTCAGACCTCTTTGAGGCCTTCGTTGGAAAAGGGATTTCTTCATGCTCTGCTAGACAGAAGAATTCTCAGTAACTTCCTTGTGTTGTGTGTATTCAACTGACAGAGTTGAACTTTCATTTGGAGAGAGCAGATTTGAAACACTGTTTTTGTGGAATTTGAAAGTGGAGATTTCAAGCGCTTTGGGGCCAAAGGCAGAAAAGGAAATATCTTCGTAGAAAAACTAGACAGAATCATTCTCAGAAACTGCTCTGTGATGTGTGCGTTCAACTCTCAGAGTTTAACTTTTCTTTTCATTCAGCAGTTTGGAAACACTCTGTTTGTAAAGTCTGCACGTGGATATTTTGACCACTTAGAGGCCTTCGTTGGAAACGGGTTTTTTTTCATGTAAGGCTAGACAGAAGAATTCCCAGTAACTTCCTTGTGTTGTGTGCATTCAACTCACAGAGTTGAACGTTCCTTAGACAGAGCAGATTTGAAACACTCTATTTGTGCAATTTGCAAGTGTAGGTTTCAAGCGCTTTAAGGTCAATGGCAGAAAAGGAAATATCTTCGTTTCAAAACTAGACAGAATCATTCCCACAAACTGCGTTGTGATGTGTTCGTTCAACTCACAGAGTTTAACCTTTCTTTTCATAGAGCAGTTAGGAAACAGTCTGTTTGTAAATTCTGTAAGTGGATATTCTGACATCTTGTGGCCTTCGTTGGAAACGGGATTTCTTCATATTCTGCTAGACGGAAGAATTCTCAGTAACTTCCTTGTGTTGTGTGTATTCAACTCACAGACTTGAATGATCCTTTACACAGAACAGTCTTGAAAGACTCTTTTTGTGGAATTTGCAAGTGGAGATTTCAGCCGCTTTGAGGTCAATGGTAGAATAGGAAATATCTTCCTATAGAAACTAGACAGAATGATTCTCAGAAACTCCTTTGTGATGTGTGCGTTCAACTCACAGAGTTTAACTTTTCTTTTCATAGAGCAGTTAGGAAACACTCTGTTTGTAAAGTCTGCAAGTGGATATTCAGACCTCTTTGTGGCCTTCGTTTGAAACGGGATTTCTTCATATTCTGCTAGACAGAAGAATTCCCAGTAACTTCCTTGTGTTGTGTGTGTTCAACTCACAGAGTTGAACTTTCATTTACACAGAGCAGATTTGAAACACTCTTTTTGTGGAATTTGCAAGTGGAGATTTCAAGCGCTTTGAGGCCAAAGGCAGAAAAGGAAATATCTTCGTAGAAAAACTAGACAGAATCATTCTCAGAAACTGCTCTGCGATGTGTGCGTTCAACTCTCAGAGTTTAACTTTTGTTTTCATTCAGCAGTTTGGAAACACTCTGTTTGTGAAGTCTGCACGTGGATAACTTGACCACTTAGAGGCCTTCGTTGGAAACGGGTTTTTTTCATGTAAGGCTAGACAGAAGAATTCCCAGTAACTTCTTTGTGTTGTGTGCATTCAACTCACAGAGTTGAACGTTCCCTTAGAGAGAGCAGATTTGAAACACTCTATTTGTGCAATTTGCAAGTGTAGATTTCAAGCGCTTTAAGGTCAATGGCAGAAAAGGAAATATCTTCGTTTCAAAACTAGACAGAATCATTCCCACAAACTGCGTTGTGATGTGTTCGTTCAACTCACAGAGTTTAACCTTTCTGTTCATAGAGCAGTTAGGAAACACTCTGTTTGTAAAGTCTGTAATTGGATATTCTGACATCTTGAGGCCTTCGTTGGAAACGGGATTTCTTCATATTCTGCTAGACAGAAGAATTCTCAGTAACTTCCTTGTGTTGTGTGTATTCAACTCACAGAGTTGAACGATCCTTTACACAGAGCGGACTTGAAACACTCTTTTTGTAGAATTTGCAAGTGGAGATTTCAGCCGCGTTGAGGTCAATGGTAGAAAAGGAAATATCTTCGTATAAAAACTAGACAGAATGATTCTCAGAAACTCCTTTGTGATGTGTGTGTTCAACTCACAGAGTTTAACCTTTCTTTTCATAGAGCAGTTAGGAAACACTGTGTTTGTAAAGTCTGCAAGTGGATATTCAGACCTCTTTGAGGCCTTCGTTGGAAACGGGTTTTTTTCATATAAGGCTAGACAGAAGAATTCTCAGTAACTTCCTTGTGTTGTGTGTTTTCAACTGACAGAGTTGAACTTTCATTTAGAGAGAGCAGATTTGTAACACTGTTTTTGTGGAATTTGCAAGTGGAGATTTCAAGCGCTTTGGGGCCAAAGGCAGAAAAGGAAATATCTTCGTATAAAAACTAGACAGAATCATTCTCAGAAACTGCTCTGCGATGTGTGCGTTCAACTCTCAGAGTTTAACTTTTCTTTTCATTCAGCAGTTTGGAAACACTCTGTTTGTAAAGACTGCACGTGGATAATTTCACCACTTAGAGGTCTTCGTTGGAAACGGGTTTTTTTCATGTAAGGATAGACAGAAGAATTCCCAGTAACTTCCTTGTGTTGTGTACATTCAACTCACAGAGTTGAACGTTCCCTTAGACAGAGCAGATTTGAAACACTCTTTTTGTGCAATTGGCAAGTGGAGATTTCAAGCGCTTTATGGTCAATGGCAGAAAAGGAAATATCTTCGTTTCAAAACTAGACAGAATCATTCCCACAAACTGCGTTGTGATGTGTTCTTTCATCTCACAGAGTTTAACCTTTCTTTTCATAGAGCAGTTAGGAAACACTATGTTTGTAAATTCTGTAAGTGGATATTCTGACATCTTGTGGCCTTCGTTGGAAACGGGATTTCTTCATATTCTGCTAGACAGAAGAATTCTCAGTAACTTCCTTGTGTTGTGTGTATTCAACTCACAGAGTTGAACGATCCTTTACACAGAGCAGACTTGAAACACTCTTTTTGTGGAATTTGCAAGTGGAGATTTCATCCACTTTGAGGTCAATAGTAGAAAAGGAAATATCTTCGTAGAAAAACTAGACAGAATGATTCTCAGAAACTCCTTTGTGATGTGTGCGTTCAACTCACAGAGTTTAACCTTTCTTTTCATAGAGCAGTTAGGAAACACTCTGTTTGTAAAGTCTGCAAGTGGATATTCAGACCTCTTTGAAGCCTTCGTTGGAAACGGGATTTCTTCATATTATGCTAGACAGAATAATTCTCAGTAACTTCCTTGTGTTGTGTGTATTCAACTCACAGAGTTGAACTATCCTTTACAGAGAGCAGACTTGAAACACTCTTTTTGTGGAATTTGGAAGTGGAGATTTCAGCCGCTTTGAGGTCAAAGGTAGAATAGGAAATATCTTCCTACAGAAAATAGACAGAATCATTCTCAGAAACTGCTCTGCGATGTGTGCGTTCAACTCTCAGAGTTTAACTTTTCTTTTCATTCAGCAGTGTGGAAACACTGTGTTTGTAAAGTCTGCACGGGGATATTTTGACCACTTACAGGCCTTCGTTGGAAACGGGTTTTTTTCCTGTAAGGCTAGACAGAAGAATTCCCAGTAACTTCCTTGTGTTGTGCGCATTCAACTCACAGAGTTGAACGTTCCCTTAGACAGAGCAGATTTGAAAGAGCCTATTTGTGCAATTTGCAAGTGTACATTTCAAGCGCTTTAAGGTCAACGGCAGAAAAGGAAATATCTTCCTTTCAAAACTAGACAGAATGATTCTCAGAAACTCCTTTGTGATGTGTGCGTTCAACTCACAG
Source organism: Homo sapiens (assembly GCF_000001405.40). Lineage (NCBI taxonomy): Eukaryota > Metazoa > Chordata > Mammalia > Primates > Hominidae > Homo > Homo sapiens. The sequence continues at coordinate 25,599,710 of NC_000019.10, forward strand.
AGTTTAACCTTTCTTTTCATAGAGCAGTTAGGAAACACTCTGTTTGTAAAGTCTGCAAGTAGATATTCAGACATCCTTGAGGCTTTCGTTGGAAACGGGATTTCTTCATATTCTGCTAGAAAGAAGAATTCTCAGTAACTTCTTTGTGTTGTGTGTATTCAACTCACAGAGTTGAACGATCCTTTACACAGAGCAGACTTGAAACACTCCTTTTGTGGAATTTGCAAGTGGAGATTTCAGCCGCTTTGAGGTCAATGGTAGAATAGGAAATATCTTCCTATAGAAACTAGACAGAATGATTCTCAGAAACTCCTTTGTGATGTGTGTGTTCACCTCACAGAGTTTAACCTTTCTTTTCATAGAGCAGTTAGTAAACACTCTGTTTATAAAGTCTGCAAGTGGATATTCCGACCCCTTTGAGGCCTTCGTTGGAAACGGGATTTCTTCATATTATGCTAGACAGAAGAATTCTCAGTAACTTCCTTGTGTTGTGTGTATTCAACTGACAGAGTTGAACTTTCATTTAGAGAGAGCAGATTAGAAACACTGTTTTTGTGGAATTTGCAAGTGCAGATTTCAAGCGCTTTGTGGCCAAAGGCAGAAAAGGAAATATCTTCGTATGAAAACTAGCCAGAATCATTCTCAGCAAACTGCTCTGCGATGTGTGCGTTCAACTCTCAGAGTTTAACTTTTCTTTTCATTCAGCAGTTTGGAAACACTCTGTTTGTAAAGTCTGCACGTGGATATTTTGACCACTTAGAGGCCTTCGTTGGAAACGGGTTTTTTTCCTGTAAGGCTAGACAGAAGAATTCCCAGTAACTTCCTTGTGTTGTGTACATTCAACTCACAGAGTTGAACGTTCCCTTAGACAGAGCAGATGTGAAACACTCTTTTTGTGCAATTGGCAAGTGGAGATTTCAAGCGCTTTAAGGTCAATGGCAGAAAAGGAAATATCTTTGTTTCAAAACTAGACAGAATCATTCCCACAAACTGCGTTGTGATGTGTTCGTTCAACTCACACAGTTTAACCTTTCTTTTCATAGAGCAGTTAGGAAACAGTCTGTTTGTAAATTCTGTAAGTGGATATTCTGACATCTTGTGGCCTTCGTTGGAAACGGGATTTCTTCATATTCTGCTAGACAGAAGAATTCTCAGTAACTTCCTTGTGTTGTGTGTATTCAACTCACAGAGTTGAACGATCGTTTACACAGAGCAGACTTGAAACACTCTTTTTGTGGAATTTGCAAGTGGAGATTTCAGCCGCTTTGAGGTCAATGGTAGAAAAGGAAACTATCTTCATATAAAGACTAGACAGAATGATTCTCAGAAACTCCTTTGTGATGTGTGCGTTCAACTCACAGAGTTTAACCTTTCTTTTCATAGAGCAGTTAGGAAACACTCTGTTTGTAAAGTCTGCAAGTGGATATTCAGACCTCTTTGAGGCCTTCGTTGGAAACGGGTTTTTTTCATATCAGGCTAGACAGAAGAATTCCCAGTAACTTCCTTGTGTTGTGTGTGTTCAACTCACAGAGTTGAACTTTCATTTACACAGAGCAGATTTGAAACACTCTTTTTGTGGAATGTGCAAGTGGAGATTTCAAGCGCTTTGAGGCCAAAGGCAGAAAAGGAAATATCTTCGTATAAAAACTAGACAGAATCATTCTCAGAAACTGCTGCGTGATGTGTGCGTTCAACTCTCAGAGTTTAACTTTTCTTTTCATTCAGCGGTTTGGAAACACTCTGTTTGTAAAGTCTGCACGTAGAAATTTTGACCACTTAGAGGCCTTCGTTGGAAACGGGTTTTTTTCATGTAAGGCTAGACAGAAGAATTCCCAGTAACTTCCTTGTGTTGTGTGCATTCAACTCACAGAGTTGAACGTTCCCTTAGACAGAGCAGATTTGAAACACTCTATTTGTGCAATTTGCAATTGTAGATTTCAAGCGCTTTAAGGTCAACGGCAGAAAAGGAAATATCTTCGTTTCAAAACTAGACAGAATGATTGTCATAAACTCCTTTGTGATGTGTGCGTTCAACACACAGAGTTTAACCTTTCTGTTCATAGAGCAGTTAGGAAACATTCTGTTTGTAAAGTCTGTAAGTGGATATTCTGACATCTTGTGGCCTTCGTTGGAAACGGGATTTCTTCATATTCTGCTAGACAGAAGAATTCTCAGTAACTTCCGCGTGTTGTGTGTATTCAACTCACAGAGTTGAACGATCCTTTACACAGAGCAGACTTGTAACACTCTTTTTGTGGAATTTGCAAGTGGAGATTTCAGCCGCTTTGAAGTCAAAGGTAGAAAAGGAAATATCTTCCTATAAAAACTAGACAGAATGATTCTCAGAAACTCCTTTGTTATGTGTGCGTTCAACTCACAGAGTTTAACCTTTCTTTTCATAGAGCAGTTAGGAAACACTCTGTATGTAAAGTCTGCAAGTGGATATTGAGACCTCTTTGAGGCCTTCGTTGGAAACGGGAATTCTTCATATTATGCTAGACAGAAGAATTCCCAGTAACTTCCTTGTGTTGTGTGTGTTCAACTCACAGAGTTGAACATTCATTTACCCAGAGCAGATTTGAAACACTCTTTTTGTGGAATTTGCAAGTGGAGATTTCAAGCGCTTTGAGGCCAAAGGCAGAAAAGGAAATATCTTCGTTTCAAAACTAGACAGAATCATTATCAGAAACTGCTGCGTGATGTGTGCGTTCAACTCTCAGAATTTAAGTTTTCTTTTCATTCAGCGGTTTGGAAACACTCTGTTTGTAAAGTCTGCACGTGGATATATTGACCACTTAGAGGCCTTCGTTGGAAACGGGTTTTTTTCATGTAAGGCTAGACAGAAGAATTCCCAGTAACTTCCTTGTGTTGTGTGCATTCAACTCACAGAGTTGAACGTTCCCTTAGACAGAGCAGATTTGAAACACTCTATTTGTGCAATTTGCAAGTGTAGATTTCAAGCGCTTTAAGGTCAACGGCAGAAAAGGAAATATCTTCGTTTCAAAACTAGGCAGAATCATTCCCACAAACTGCGTTGTGATGTGGTCGTTCAACTCACAGAGTTTAACTTTTCTTTTCATAGAGCAGTTAGGAAACACCTCTGTTTGTAAAGTCTGTAAGTGGATATTCTGACATCTTGTGGCCTTCGTTGGAAACGGGATTTCTTCATATTCTGCTAGACAGAAGAATTCTTAGAATCTTCCTTGTGTTGTGTGTATTCAACTCACACAGTTGAACGATGGTTTACACAGAGCAGATTTGAAACACTCTTTTTGTGGAATTTGCAAGTGGAGATTTCAGCCGCTTTGAGGTCAATGGTAGAAAAGGAAATATCTTCGTATAAAAACTAGACAGAATGATTCTCAGAAACTCCTTTGTGATGTGTGCGTTCAACTCACAGAGTTTAACCTTTCTTTTCATAGAGCAGTTAGGAAACACTCTGTTTGTAAACTCTGCAAGTGGATATTCAGACCTCTTTGAGGCCTTCGTTGGAAACGGGATATCTTCATACTGTGCTAGACAGAAGAATTCCCAGTAACTTCCTTGCGTTGTGTGTGTTCAACTCACAGAGTTCAACTTTCATTTACACAGAGCAGATTTGAAACACTGTTTTTGTGGAATTTGCAAGTGGAGATTTCAAGCGCTTTGAGGCCAAAGGCAGAAAAGGAAATATCTTCGTTTCAAAACCAGACAGAATGATTCTCAGAAACTCCTTTGTGATGTGTGCGTTCAACTCACAGAGTTTAACCTTTCTTTTCATAGAGCACTTAGGAAACACTCTGTTTGTAAAGTCTGCAAGTGGATATTCAGACCTCTTTGAGGCCTTCGTTGGAAACGGGTTTTTTTCATATAAGGCTAGACAGAAGAATTCCCAGTAACTTCCTTGTGTTGTGTACATTCAACTCACAGAGTTGAAAGTTCCCTTAGACAGAGCAGATTTGAAACACTCTTTTTGTGCAATTGGCAAGTGGAGATTACAAGCACTTTAAGGTCAATGGCAGAAAAGGAAATATCTTCGTTTCAAAACTAGACAGAATCATTCCCACAAACTGCGTTGTGATGTGTTCGTTCAACTCACAGTAGTTTAACCTTTCCGTTCATAGAGCAGTTAGGAAACACACTGTTTGTAAAGTCTGTAAGTGGATATTCTGACATCTTGTGGCCTTCGTTGGAAACGGGATTTCTTCATATTCTGCTAGACAGAAGAATTCTCAGTAACTTCCGCGTGTTGTGTGTATTCAACTCACAGAGTTGAACGATCCTTTACACAGAGCAGACTTGAAACACTCTTTTTGTGGAATTTGCAAGTGGAGATTTCAGCCTCTTTGAAGTCAATGGTAGAAAAGGAAATATCTTCCTATAAAAACTAGACAGAATGATTCTCAGAAACTCCTTTGTGATGTGTGCGTTCAACTCACAGAGTTCAACTTTTCTTTTCATAGAGCAGTTAGGAAACACTCTGTTTGTAAAGTCTGCAAGTGGATATTCAGACCTCTTTGAGGCCTTCGTTGGAAACGGGATTTCTTCATATTCTGCTAGACAGAAGAATTCCTAGTAACTTCCTTGTTTTGTGTGTGTTCAACTCACAGAGTTGAACTTTGATTTACACAGAGCAGATTTGAATCACTCTTTTTGTGGAATTTGCAAGTGGAGATTTCAAGCGCTTTGAGGCCAAAGGCAGAAAAGGAAATATCTTCGTATAAAAACTAGACAGAGTAATCATTCTCAGAAACTGCTGCGTGATGTGTGCGTTCAACTCTCACAGTTTAACTTTTCTTTTCATTCAGCGGTTTGGAAACACTCTGTTTGTAAAGTCTGCACGTGGATATTTTGACCACTTAGAGGCCTTCGTTAGAAACTGGTTTTTTTCATGTAAGGCTAGACAGAAGAATTCCCAGTAACTTCCCTTGTGTTGTGTGCATTCAACTCACAGAGTTGAACGTTCCCTTAGACAGAGCAGATTTGAAACACTCTATTTGTGCAATTTGCAAGTGTAGATTTCAAGCGCTTTAAGGTCAACGGCAGAAAAGGAAATATCTTCGTTTCAAAACTAGACAGAATCATTCCCACAAACTGCGTTGTGATGTGTTCGTTCAACTCACAGAGTTTAACCTTTCTGTTCATATAGCAGTTAGGAAACACTCTCAAAAGTCTGTAAGTGGATATTCTGACATCTTGTGGCCTTCGTTGGAAACGGGATTTCTTCATATTCTGCTAGACAGAAGAATTCTCAGTAACTTCCTTGTGTTGGGTGTATTCAACTCACAGAGTTGAAGGATCCTTTACAGAGAGCAGGCTTGAAACACTCTTTTTGTCGAATTTGCAAGTGGAGATTTCAGCCGCTTTGAGGTCAATGGTAGAATAGGAAATATCTTCTTATAGAAACTAGACAGAATGATTCTCAGAAACTCCTTTGTGATGTGTGCGTTCAACTCACAGAGTTTAACCTTTCTTTTCATAGAGCAGTTAGGAAACACTCTGTTTGTAAAGTCTGCAAGTGGATATTCAGACCTCCTTGAGGCCTTCGTTGGAAACAGGTTTTTTTCATATAAGGCTAGACAGAAGAATTCTCAGTAACTTCCTTGTGTTGTGTGTATTCAACTGACAGAGTTGAACTTTCATTTAGAGAGAGCAGATTTGAAACACTGTTTTTGTGGAATTTGCAAGTGGAGATTTCAAGCGCTTTAGGGCCAAAGGCAGAAAAGGAAATATCTTCGTATAAAAACTAGACAGAAATGATTCTCAGAAACTCCTTTGTGATGTGTGAGTTCAACTCACAGAGTTTATCCTTTCTTTTCATAGAGCAGTTAGGAAACACTCTGTTTGTAAAGTCTGCAAGTGGATATTCAGACCTCTTTGAGGCCTTCGTTGGAAACGGGATTTCTTCATATTCTGCTAGACAGAAGAATTCCCAGTAACTTCCTTGTGTTGTGTGCATTCAACTCACAGAGTTGAACATTCCCTTGACAGAGCAGATTTGAAACACTCTATTTGTGCAATTTGCAAGTGTAGATTTCAAGCGCTTTAAGGTCAATGGCAGAAAAGGGAATATCTTCGTTTCAAAACTAGACAGAATGATTCTGAGAAACTCCTTTGTGATGTGTGCGTTCAACTGACAGAGTTTAACCTTTCTTTTCATAGAGCAGTTAGGAAACACTCTGTTTGTAAAGTCTGCAAGTGGATATTCAGACATCCTTGAGGCTTTCGTTGGAAACGGGATTTCTTCATATTCTGCTAGAAAGAAGAATTCTCAGTAACTTCCTTGTGTTGTGTGTATTCAACTCACAGAGTTGAATGATCCTTTACACAGAACAGTCTTGAAACACTCTTTTTGTGGAATTTGCAAGTGGAGATTTCAGCCGCTTTGAGGTCAATGGTAGAATAGGAAATATCTTCATATAGAAACTAGACAGAATGATTCTCAGTAACTCCTTTGTGATGTGTGCGTTCAACTCACAGAGTTTAACCTTTCTTTTCATAGAGCAGTTAGGAAACACTCTGTTTGTAAAGTCTCCAAGTGGATATTCAGACCTCTTTGAGGCCTTCGTTGGAAACGGGTTTTTTTCATATAAGGCTAGACAGAAGAATTCCCAGTAACTTCCTTGTGTTGTGTGTGTTCAGCTCACAGAGTTGAACTTTCATTTACACAGAGCAGATTTGAAACACTCTTTTTGTGGAATTTGCAGGTGGAGATTTCAAGCGCTTTGAGGCCAAAGGCAGAAAAGGAAATATCTTCGTATAAAAACTAGACAGAAGCATTCTCAGAAACTGCTCTGCGATGTGTGCGTTCAACTCTCAGAGTTTAACTTTTCTTTTCATTCAGCAGTTTGGAAACACTCTGTTTGTAAAGTCTGCACGTGGATAACTTGACCACTTAGAGGCCTTCGTTGGAAACGGGTTTTTTTCATGTAAGGCTAGACAGAAGAATTCCCAGTAACTTCCTTGTGTTGTGTACATTCCACTCACAGAGTTGAACGTTCCCTTAGACAGAGCAGATGTGAAACACTCTTTTTGTGCAATTGGCAAGTGGAGATTTCAAGCGCTTTAAGGTCAAAGGCAGAAAAGGAAATATCTTCGTTTCAAAACTAGACAGAATCATTCCCACAAACTGCGTTGTGATGTGTTCGTTCAACTCACAGGGATTAACCTTTCTTTTCATAGAGCAGTTAGGAAACAGTCTGTTTGTCAATTCTGTAAGTGGATATTCTGACATCTTGTGGCCTTCGTTGGAAACGGGATTTCTTCATATTCTGCTAGACAGAAGAGTTCTCAGAAACTTCCTTGTGTTGTGTGTATTCAACTCACAGAGTTGAACTATCGTTTACACAGAACAGACTTGAGACACTCTTTTTGTGGAATTTGTAAGTGGAGATTTCAGCCGCTTTGAGGTCAATGGTAGAAAAGGAAATATCTTCATATAAAAACTAGACAGAATGATTCTCAGAAACTCCTTTGTGATGTGTGCGTTCAACTCACAGAGTTTAACCTTTCTTTTCATAGAGCAGTTAGGAAACACTCTGTTTGTAAAGTCTGCAAGTGGATATTCAGACATCTTTGAGGCTTTCGTTGGAAACAGGATTTCTTCATATTCTGCTAGACAGAAGAATTCCAGTAACTTCCTTGTGTTGTGTGTGTTCAACTCACAGATTTGAACTTTCATTTACACAGAGCAGATTTGAAACACTCTTTTTGTGGAATTTGCAAATGGAGATTTCAAGCGCTTTGAGGCCAAAGGCAGAAAAGGAAATATCTTCGTATAAAAACTAGACAGAATCATTCTCAGAAACTGCTCTGCGATGTGTGCGTTCAACTCTCAGAGTTTAACTTTGCTTTTCATTCAGCAGTTTGGAAACACTCTGTTTGTAAAGTCTACACGTGGATATTTTGACCACTTAGAGGCCTTCGTTGGAAACGGGTTTCTTTCCTATAAGGCTAGACAGAAGAGTTCTCAGTAACTTCCTTGTGTTGTGTGTATTCAACTCACACAGTTGAACGATCCTTTATAGAGAGCAGACTTGTAACACTCTTTTTGTGGAATTTGCAAGTGGAGATTTCAGCCGCTTTGAAGTCAAAGTAGAAAAGGAAATATCTTCCTATAAAAACTAGACAGAATCATTCCCACAAACTGCGTTGTGATGTGTTCGTTCATCTCACAGAGTTTAACCTTTCTTTTCATAGAGCAGTTAGGAAACACTCTGTTTGTAAATTCTGTAAGTGGATATTCTGACATCATGTGGCCTTCGTTGGAAACGGGATTTCTTCATATTCTGCTAGACAGAAGAATTCTCAGTAACTTCCTTGTGTTGTGTGTATTCAACCCACAGAGTTGAACGATCCTTTACACAGAGCAGACTTGAAACACTCTTTTTGTGGAATTTGCAAGTGGAGATTTCAGCCGCTTTGAGGTCAATGGTAGAAAAGGAAATATCTTCGTATAAAGACTAGACAGAATGATTCTCAGAAACTCCTTTGTGATGTGTGCGTTCAACTCACAGAGTTTAACCTTTCTTTTCATAGAGCAGTTAGGAAACACTCTGTGTGTAAAGTCTGCAAGTGGATATTCAGACCTCCTTGAGGCCTTCGTTGGAAACGAGATTTCTTCATAATATGCTAGACAGAAGAATTCTCAGTAACTTCCTTGTGTTGTGTGTATTCAACTCACAGAGTTGAACCATCCTTTACAGAGAGCAGACTTGAAACACTCTTTTTGTGGAATTTGCAAGTGGAGATTTCAGCCGCTTTGAGGTCAATGGTAGAATAGGAAATATCTTCCTATAGAAACTAGACAGAATGATTCTCAGAAACTCCTTTGTGATGTGTGCATTCAACTCACAGAGTTTAACTTTTCTTTTCATAGAGCCGTTAGGAAACACTCTGTTTGTAAAGTCTGCAAGTGGATATTCAGACCTCTTTGAGGCCTTCGTTGGAAACGGGATTTCTTCATATTATGCTAGACAGAAGAATTCCCGGTAACTTCCTTGTGTTGTGTGTGTTCAACTCACAGAGTTGAACTTTGATTTACACAGAGCAGATTTGAAACACTCTTTTTGTGGAATTTGCAAGTGGAGATTTCAAGCGCTTTGAGGCCAAAGGCAGAAAAGGAAATATCTTCGTATAAAAACTAGACAGAATCATTCTCAGAAACTGCTCTGCGATGTGTGCGTTCAACTCTCAGAGTTTAACTTTTCTTTTCATTCAGCAGTTTGGAAACACTCTGTTTGTAAAGTCTGCACGTGGATATTTTGACCACTTAGAGGCCTTCGTTGGAAACGGGTTTTTTTCCTGTAAGGCTAGACAGAAGAATTCCCAGTAACTTCCTTGTGTTGTGTGCATTCAACTCACAGAGTTGAACGTTCCCTTAGACAGAGCAGATTTGAAACACTCTATTTGTGCAATTTGCAAGTGTAGTTTTCAAGCTCTTTAAGGTCAACGACAGAAAAGGAAATATCTTGGTTTCAAAACTAGACAGAATCATTCCCACAAACTGCGTTGTGATGTGTTCGTTCAACTCACAGAGTTTAACCTTTCTGTTCATAGAGCAGTTAGGAAACACTCTGTTTGTAAAGTCTGTAAGTGGATATTCTGACATCTTGTGGCCTTCGTTGGAAACGGGATTTCTTCCTATTCTGCTAGACAGAAGAATTCTCAGTAACTTCCTTGTGTTGTGTGTATTCAACTAACAGAGTTGAACGATCCTTTACACAGAGCAGACTTGAAACACTCTTTTTGTGGAATTTGCAAGTGGAGATTTCAGCCGCTTTGAGGTCAATGGTAGAAAAGGAAACTATCTTCATATAAAGACTAGACAGAATGATTCTCAGAAACTCCTTTGAGATGTGTGTGTTCAACTCACAGAGTTTAACCTTTCTTTTCATAGAGCAGTTAGGAATCACTCTGTTTGTAAAGTCTGCAAGTGGATATTCAGACCTCTTTGAGGCCATCGCTGGAAACGGGTTTTTTTCATATAAGGCTAGACAGAAGAATTCCCAATAACTTCCTTGTGTTGTGTGTGTTCAACTCACAGAGTTGAACTTTCATTTACACAGAGCAGATTTGAAACACTCTTTTTGTGGAATTTGCAAGTGGAGATTTCAAGCGCTTTGAGGCCAAAGGCAGAAAAGGAAATACCTTCGTATAAAAACTAGACAGAATGATTCTCAGAAACTCCTTTGTGATGTGTGCGTTCAACTCACAGAGTTTAACCTTTCTTTTCATTCGGCGGTTTGGAAACACTCTGTTTGTAAAGTCTGCACGTGGATATTCAGACCTCTTTGAGGCCTTCGTTGGAAACGGGTTTTTTTCATGTAAGGCTAGACAGAAGAATTCCCAGTAACTTCCTTGTGTTGTGTGCATTCAACTCACAGAGTTGAACGTTCCCTTAGACAGAGCAGATTTGAAACACTCTATTTGTGCAATTTGCAAATGTAGATTTCAAGCGCTTTAAGGTCAACGGCAGAAAAGGAAATATCTTCGTTTCAAAACTAGACAGAATCATTCCCACAAACTGCGTTGTGATGTGTTCGTTCAACTCACAGAGTTTAACCTTTCTTTTCATAGAGCAGTTAGGAAACAGTCTGTTTGTCAATTCTGTAAGTGGATATTCTGACATCTTGTGGCCTTCGTTGGAAACGGGATTTCTTCATATTCTCCTAGACAGAAGAATTCTCAGTAACTTCCTTGTGTTGTGTGTATTCAACTCACAGAGTTGAACGATCCTTTACACAGAGCAGACTTGAAACACTCGTTTTGTGGAATTTGCAAGTGGAGATTTCAGCCGCTTTGAAGTCAATGGTAGAAAAGGAAATATCTTCGTATAAAAACTAGACAGAAAGATTCTCATAAACTCCTTTGTGATGTGTGCGTTCAACTCACAGAGTTTAACCTTTCTTTTCATAGAGCAGTTAGGAAACACTCTGTTTGTAAAGTCTGCAAGTGGATATTCAGACCTCTTTGAGGCCTTCGTTGGAAACGGGATTTCTTCATATTATGCTAGACGGGAAGAATTCTCAGTAACTTCCTTGTGTTGTGTGTATTCAACTGACAGAGTTGAACTTTCATTTAGAGAGAGCAGATTTGAAACACTGTTTTTGTGGAATTTGCAAGTGGAGATTTCAAGCGCTTTGGGGCCAAAGGCAGTAAAGGAAATATCTTCGTATAAAAACTAGACAGAATCATTCTCAGAAACTGCTCTGCGATGTGTGCGTTCAACTCTCAGAGTTTAACTTTTCTTTTCATTCAGCAGTTTGGAAACACTCTGTTTGTAAAGTCTGCACGTGGATATTTTGACCACTTAGAGGCCTTCGTTGGAAACGTGTTTTTTTCCTGTAAGGCTAGACAGAAGAATTCCCAGTAACTTCCTTGTGTTGTGTACATTCAACTCACAGAGTTGAACGTTCCCTTAGACAGAGCAGATTTGAAACACTCTTTTTGTGCAATTGGCAAGTGGAAATTTCAAGCGCTTTGAGGTCAATGGCAGAAAAGGAAATATCTTCGTTTCAAAACTAGACAGAAATCATTCCCACAAACTGCGTTGTGATGTGTTCGTTCAACTCACAGAAGTTTAACCTTTCTTTTCATAGAGCAGTTAGGAAACACTCTGTTGGTAAAATCTGTAAGTGGATATTCTGACATCTTGTGGCCTTCGTTGGAAACGGGATTTCTTCATATTCTGCTAGACAGAAGAATTCTCAGTAACTTCCTTGTGTTGTGTGTATTGAACTCGCAGAGTTGAACGATCCTTTACACAGAGCAGACTTGAAACACTCTTTTTGTGGAATTTGCAAGTGGAGATTTCAGCCGCTTTGAGGTCAATAGTAGAAAAGGTAATATCTTCGTAGAAAAACTAGACAGAATGATTCTCAGAAACTCCTTTGTGATGTGTGCGTTCAACTCACAGAGTTTGACCTTTCTTTTCACAGAGCAGTTAGGAAACACTCTGTTTGTAAAGTCTGCAAGTGGATATTCAGACCTCTTTGAGGCCATAGTTGGAAACGGGATTTCTTCATATTCTGCTAGACAGAAGAATTCTCAGTAACTTCCTTGTGTTGTGTGTATTCAACTGACAGAGTTGAACTTTCATTTAGAGAGAGCAGATTTGAAACACTGTTTTTGTGGAATTTGCAAGTGGAGATTTCAAGCACTTTGGGGCCAAAGGCAGAAAAGGAAATATCTTCGTATAAAAACTAGACAGAATCATTCTCAGAAACTGCTCTGCGATGTGTGCGTTCAACTCTCAGAGTTTAACTTTTCTTTTCATTCAGCAGTTTGCAAACACTCTGTTTGTAAAGTCTGCACGTGGATATTTTGACCACTTAGAGGCCTTCGTTGGAAACGGGTTTTTTTCCTGTAAGGCTAGACAGTAGAATTCCCAGTAACTTCCTTGCGTTGTGTACATTCAACTCACAGAGTTGAACGTTCCCTTAGACAGAGCAGATTTGAAACACTCTTTTTGTGCAATTGGCAAGTGGAGATTTCAAGCGCTTTAAGGTCAATGGCAGAAAAGGAAATATCTTCGTTTCAAAACTAGACAGAATCATTCCCACAAACTGCGTTGTGATGTGTTCGTTCAACTCACAGTAGTTTAACCTTTCTGTTCATAGAGCTGTTAGGAAACACTCTGTTTGTAAAGTCTGTAAGTGGATATTCTGACATCTTGTGGCCTTCGTTGGAAACGGGATTTCTTCATATTCTGCTAGACAGAAGAATTCTCAGTAACTTCCTTGTGTTGTGTGTATTCAACTCACAGAGTTGAACGATCCTTTACACAGAGCATACTTGAAACACTCTTTTTGTGGAATTTGCAAGTGGAGATTTCAGCCGCTTTGATGTCAATGGTAGAAAAGGAAATAACTTCGTATAAAGACTAGACAGAATGATTCTCAGAAACTCCTTTGTGATGTGTGCGTTCAACTCACAGAGTTTAACCTTTCTTTTCATAGAGCAGTTAGGAAACACTGTGTTTGTAAAGTCTGCAAGTGGATATTCAGACCTCTTTGAGGCCTTCGTTGGAAACGGGTTTTTTTCATATAAGGCTAGACAGAAGAATTCTCAGTAACTTGCTTTTGTTGTGTGTATTCAACTGACAGAGTTGAACTTTCATTTAGACAGAGCAGATTTGAAACTCTCTTTTTCTGGAATTTGCAAGTGGAGATTTCAAGCGCTTTGAGGCCAAAGGCAGAAAAGGATATATCTTCGTATAAAAACTAGACAGAATCATTCTCAGAAACTGCTCTGCGATGTGTGCCTTCAACTCTCAGAGTTTAACTTTTCTTTTCATTCAGCAGTTTGGAAACACTCTGTTTGTAAAGTCTGCACGTGGATAATTTGACCACTTAGAGGCCTTCGTTGGAAACGGGTTTTTTTCATGTAAGGCTAGACAGAAGAATTCCCAATAACTTCCTTGTGTTGTGTGCATTCAACTCACAGAGTTGAACGTTCCCTTAGACAGAGCAGATTTGAAACACTCTATTTGTGCAATTTGCAAGTGTAGATTTCAAGCGCTTTAAGGTCAATGGCAGAAAAGGAAATATCTTCGTTTCAAAACTAGACAGAATGATTCTCAGAAACTCCTCTGTGATGTGTGCGTTCAACTCACAGAGTTTAACTTTTCTTTTCATAGAGCAGTTAGGAAACACTCTATTTGTAAAGTCTGCAAGGGGATATTCAGACCTCTTTGAGGCCTTCGTTGGAAACGGGATTTCTTCATATTCTGCTAGACAGAAGAATTCTCAGTAACTTCCTTGTGTTGTGTGTATTCAACTCACAGAGTTGAACGATCCTTTACACAGAGCAGACTTGAAACACTCTTTTTGTGGAATTTGCAAGTGGAGATTTCAGCCGCTTTGAGGTCAATGGTAGAAAAGGAAATATCTTCGTATAGAAACAAGACAGAATGATTCTCAGAAACTCCTTTGAGATGTGTGCGCTCAACTCACAGAGTTTAACCTTTCTTTTCATAGAGCAGTTAGGAAACACTCTGTTTGTAAAGTCTGCAAGTGGATATTCAGACCTCTTTGAGGCCTTCGTTGGAAACGGGTTTTTTTCAAATAAGGCTAGACAGAAGAATTCTCAGTAACTTCCCTGTGTTGTGTGTATTCAACTGACAGAGTCGAACTTTCATTTAGAGAGAGCAGATTTGTAACATTGTTTTTGTGGAATTTGCAAGTGGAGATTTCAAGCGCTTTGGGGCCAAAGGCAGAAAATGAAATATCTTCGTATAAAAACTAGACAGAATCATTCTCAGAAACTGCTCTGCGATGTGTGCGTTCAACTCTCAGAGTTTAACTTTTCTTTTCATTCAGCAGTTTGGAAACACTCTGTTTGTAAAGTCTGCACGTGGATATTTTGACCACTTAGAGGCCTTCGTTGGAAACGGGTTTTTTTGCCTGTAAGGCTAGACAGAAAGAATTCCCAGTAACTTCCTTGTGTTGTGTACATTCAACTCACGGAGTTGAACGTTCCCTTAGACAGAGCAGATTTGAAACACTCTTTTTGTGCAATTGGCAAATGGAGATTTCAAGCGCTTTAAGGTCAATGGCAGAAAAGGAAATATCTTCGTTTCAAAACTAGACAGAATGATTCTCAGAAACTCCTTTGTGATGTGTGCGTTCAACTCACAGAGTTTAACCTTTCTTTTCATAGAGCAGTTGGGAAACACTCTGTTTGTAAAGTCTGCAAGTGGATATTCAGACATCCTTGAGGCTTTCGTTGGAAAAGGGATTTCTTCATATTCTGCTAGACAGAAGAATTCTCAGTAACTTCCTTGTGTTGTGTGTATTCAACTCACACAGTTGAACGATCCTTTACACAGAGCAGACTTGAAACACTCTTTTTGTGGAATTTGCAAGTGGAGATTTCAGCCGCTTTGAGGTCAATGGTAGAATAGGAAATATCTTCCTATAGAAACTAGACAGAAAGATTCTCAGAAACTCCTTTGTGATGTGTGCGTTCAACTCACAGAGTTTAACCTTTCTTTTCATAGAGCAGTTAGGAAACACTCTGTTTGTAAAGTCTGCAAGTGGATATTCAGACCTCTTTGAGGCCTTCGTTGGAAACGGGTTTTTTTCATATAAGGCTAGACAGAAGAATTCTCAGTAACTTCCTTGTGTTGTGTGTATTCAACTGACAGAGTTGAACTTTCATTTAGAGAGAGCAGATTTGAAACACTGTTTTTGTGGAATTTGCAAGTGGAGATTTCAAGCGCTTTGGGACCAAAGGCAGAAAAGGAAATATCTTCGTATATAAACTAGACAGAATCATTCTCAGAAACTGTTCTGCGATGTGTGCGTTCAACTCTCAGAGTTTAACTTTTCTTTTCATTCAGCAGTTTGGAAACACTCTGTTTGTAAAGTCTGCACGTGGATATTTTGACCACTTAGAGGCCTTCGTTGGAAACGGGTTTTTTTCCTGTAAGGCTAGACAGAAGAATTCCCAGTAACTTCCTTGTGTTGTGTACATTCAACTCACAGAGTTGAACGTTCCCTTAGACAGAGCAGATTTGAAACACTCTTTTTGTGCAATTGGCAAGTGGTGATTTCAGCCGCTTTGAGGTCAATGGTAGAAAAGGAAATATCTTCGTATAAAAACTAGACAGAATCATTCCCACAAACTGCGTTGTGATGTGTTCGTTCAACTCACAGAGTTTAACCTTTCTTTTCCTAGAGCAGTTAGGAAACAGTCTGTTTGTAAATTCTGTAAGTGGATATTCTGACATCTTGTGGCCTTCGTTGGAAACGGGATTTCTTCATATTCTGCTAGACAGAAGAATTCTCAGTAACTTTCCTTGTGTTGTGTGTATTCAACTCACAGATTTGAACGATCCTTTACACAGAGCAGACTTGTAACACTCTTTTTGTGGAATTCGCAAGTGGAGATTTCAGCAGCTTTGAAGTCAAAGGTAGAAAAGGAAATATCTTCCTATAAAAACTAGACAGAATGATTCTCAGAAACTCCTTTGTGATGTGTGTGTTCAACTCACAGAGTTTAACTTTTCTTTTCCTAGAGCAGTTAGTAAACACTCTGTTTAAAAAGTCTGCAAGTGGATATTCAGACCCCTTTGAGGCCTTCGTTGGAAACGGGATTTCTTCATATTATGGTAGACAGAAGAATTCTCAGTAACTTCCTTGTGTTGTGTGTATTCAACTCACAGAGTTGAACGATCCTTTTCACAGAGCAGACTTGAAACACTCTTTTTGTGGAATTTGCAAGTGGAGATTTCAGCCGCTTTGAGGTCAATGGTAGAAAAGGGAATATCTTCGTATAGAAACTAGACAGAATCATTCTCAGAAACTGCTCTGCGATGTGTACGTTGAACTCTCAGAGTTTAACTTTTCTTTTCATTCAGCAGTTTGGAAACACTCTGTTTGTAATGTCTGCACGTGGATAATTTGACCACTTAGAGGCCTTCGTTGGAAACGGGTTTTTTTCATGTAAGGCTAGACAGAAGAATTCTCAGAAACTTCCTTGTGTTGTGTGTACTCAACTCACAGAGTTGAACGATCCTTTACACAGAGCAGACTTGAAACACTCTTTTTGTGGAATTTGCAAGTGTAGATTTCAAGCGCTTTAAGGTCAATGGCAGAAAAGGAAATATCTTCGTTTCAAAACTAGACAGAATCATTCCCACAAACTGCGTTGTGATGTGTTCGTTCAACTCACAGAATTTAACCTTTCTGTTCATAGAGCAGTTAGGAAACACTCTGTTTGTAAAGTCTGTAAGTGGATATTCTGACGTCTTGTGGCCTTCGTTGGAAACGGGATTTCTTCATATTCTGCTGGACAGAAGAATTCTCAGTAACTTCCTTGTGTTGTGTGTATTCAACTCACAGAGTTGAACGATCCTTTACAGAGAGCAGACTTGAAACACTCTTTTTGTGGAATTTGCAAGTGGAGATTTCAGCCTCTTTGAGGTCAATGGTAGAATAGGAAATATCTTCCTATAGAAACCAGACAGAATGATTCTCAGAAACTCCTTTGTGATGTGTGCGTTCAACTCACAGAGTTTAACCTTTCTTTTCATAGGGCAGTTAGGAAACACTCTGTTTGTAAAGTCTGCAAGTGGATATTCAGACATCCTTGAGGCTTTCGTTGGAAACGGGATTTCTTCATATTCTGCTAGAAAGAAGAATTCCCAGTAACTTCCTTGTGTTGTCTGTGTTCAACTCACAGAGTTGAACTTTCATTTACACAGAGCAGATTTGAAACACTCTTTTTGTGGAATTTGCAAATGGAGATTTCAAGCGCTTTGAGGCCAAAGGCAGAAAAGGAAATATCTTTGTATAAAAACTAGACAGAATCATTCTCAGAAACTGCTCTGTGATGTGTGCGTTCAACTCTCAGAGTTTAACTTTTCTTTTCATTCAGCAGTTTGGAAACACTCTGTTTGTAAAGTCTGCACGTGGATAATTTGACCACTTAGAGGCCTTCGTTGGAAACGGGTTTTTTTCATGTAAGGCTAGACAGAAGAATTCTCAGTAACTTCCCTTGTGTTGTGTGTATTCAACTCACAGAGTTGAACGATCCTTTACACAGAGCAGACTTGTAACACTCTTTTTGTGGAATTTGCAAGTGGAGATTTCAGCCGCTTTGAAGTCAAAGGTAGAAAAGGAAATATCTTCCTATTAAAACTAGACAGAATGATTCTCAGAAAATCATTTGTGATGTGTGCGTTCAACTCACAGAGTTTAACTTTTCTTCTCATAGAGCAGTTAGGAAACACTCTGTTTGTAAAGTCTGCAAGTGGATATTCAGACCTCTTTGAGGCCTTCGTTGGAAACGGGATTTCTTCATATTCTGCTAGACAGAATAATTCCCAGTAACTTCCTTGTGTTGTGTGTATTCAACTCACAGAGTTGAATGATCCTTTACACAGAGCAGACTTGAAACACTCTTTTTGTGGAATTTGCAAGTGGAGATTTCAGCCGCTTTGAGGTCAATGGTAGAAAAGTAAATATCTTCGTATAAAGACTAGACAGAATGATTCTCAGAAACTCCTTTGTGATGTGTGCGTTCAACTCACAGAGTTTAACATTTCTTGTCATAGAGCAGTTAGGAAACACTCTGTTTGTAAAGTCTGCAAGTGGATATTCAGACCTCCTTGAGGCCTTCGTTGGAAACGAGATTTCTTCATATTATGCTAGACAGAAGAATTCTCAGTAACTTCCCTTGTGTTGTGTGTATTCAACTGACAGATTTGAACTTTCATTTAGAGAGAGCAGATTTGAAACACTGTTTTTGTGGAATTTGCAAGTGGAGATTTCAAGCGCTTTGGGGCCAAAGGCAGAAAAGGAAATATCTTCGTATAAAAACTAGACAGAATCATTCTCAGAAACTGCTGCGTGATGTGTGCGTTCAACTCTCAGAGTTTAACTTTTCTTTTCATTCAGCGGTTTGGAAACACTCTGTTCGTAAAGTCTGCACGTGGATATTTTGACCACTTAGGGGCCTTCGTTGGAAACGGGTTTTTTTCATGTTAGGCTAGACAGAAGAATTCCCAGTAACTTCCTTGTGTTGTGTACATTCAACTCACAGAGTTGAACGTTCCCTTAGACAGAGCAGATTTGAAACACTCTTTTTGTGCAATTGGCAAATGGTGATTTCAAGCGCTTTAAGGTCAATGGCAGAAAAGGAAATATCTTCGTTTCAAAACTAGACAGAATCATTCCCACAAACTGCGTTGTGATGTGTTCGTTCAACTCACAGAGTTTAACCTTTCTGTTCATAGAGCAGTTAGGAAACACTCTGTTTGTAAAGTCCGTAAGTGGATATTCTGACATCTTGTGGCCATCTTTGGAAACGGGATTTCTTCATAGTCTGCTAGACAGAAGAGTTCTCAGTAACTTCCTTGTGTTGTGTGTATTCAACTCACACAGTTGAACGATCCTTTACAGAGAGCAGACTTGTAACACTCTTTTTGTGGAATTTGCAAGTGGAGATTTCAGCCGCTTTGAAGTCAAAGTAGAAAAGGAAATATCTTCCTATAAAAACAAGACAGAATGATTCTCAGAAACTCCTTTGTGATGTGTGAGTTCAACTCACAGAGTTTAACCTTTCTTTTCATAGAGCAGTTAGGAAACACTCTGTTTGTAAAGTCTGCAAGTGGATATTCAGACCTCTTTGAGGCCTTCGTTGGAAACGGGTTTTTTTCATATAAGGCTAGACAGAAGAATTCCCAGTAACTTCCTTGTGTTGTGTGTGTTCAACTCACAAAGTTGAACTTTCATTTACACAGAGCAGATTTGAAACACTCTTTTTGTGGAATTTGCAAATGGAGATTTCAAGCGCTTTGAGGCCAAAGGCAGAAAAGGAAATATCTTCGTATAAAAACTAGACAGAATCATTCTCAGAAACTGCTCTGCGATGTGTGCGTTCAACTCTCAGAGTTTAACTTTTCTTTTCATTCAGCAGTTTGGAAACACTCTGTTTGTAAAGTCTGCACGTGGATAATTTGACCACTTGGAGGCCTTCGTTGGAAACGGATTTTTTTCATGTAAGGCTAGACAGAAGAATTCCCAGTAACTTCCTTGTGTTGTGTGTGTTCAACTCACAGAGTTGAACTTTCATTTACACAGAGCAGATTTGAAACACTCTTTTTGTGGAATTTGCAAGTGGAGATTTCAAGCGCTTTAAGGTCAATGGCAGAAAAGGAAATATCTTCGTTTCAAAACTAGACAGAATCATTCCCACAAACTGCGTTGTGATGTGTTCGTTCAACTAACAGAGTTTAACCTTTCTGTTCATAGAGCAGTTAGGAAACACTCTGTTTGTAAAGTCTGTAAGTGGATATTCTGACATCTTGTGGCCTTCGTTGGAAACGGGATTTCTTCATATTCTGCTAGACAGAAGAATTCTCAGAAACTTCCTTGTGTTGTGTGTATTCAACTCACAGAGTTGAACGATCGTTTACACAGAGCAGACTTGAGACACTCTTTTTGTAGAATTTGTAAGTGGAGATTTCAGCCGCTTTGAGGTCAATGGTAGAAAAGGAAATATCTTCATATAAAAACTAGACAGAATGATTCTCAGAAACTCCTTTGTGATGTGTGTGTTCAACTCACAGAGTTTAACCTTTCTTTTCATAGAGCAGTTAGTAAACACTCTGTTTATAAAGTCTGCAAGTGGATATTCAGACCCCTTGGAGGCCTTCGTTGGAAACGGGATTTCTTCATATTATGCTACACAGAAGAATTCCCGGTAACTTCTTTGTGTTGTGTGTGTTCAACTCACACAGTTGAACTTTCATTTACACAGAGCAGATTTGAAACACTCTTTTTGTGGAATTTGCAAGTGGAGATTTCAAGCGCTTTGAGGCCAAAGGCAGAAAAGGAAATATCTTCGTTTCAAAACTAGACAGAATCATTCTCAGAAACTGCTGCGTGATGTGTGCGTTCAACTCTCAGAGTTTAACTTTTCTTTTCATTCAGCGGTTTGGAAACACTCTGTTTGTAAAGTCTGTGCGTGGATATTTTGACCACTTAGAGGCCTTCGTTGGAAACGGGTTTTTTTCATGTAAGGCTAGACAGAAGAATTCCCACTAACTTCCTTGTGTTGTGTGCATTCAACTCACAGACTTGAACGTTCCCTTAGACAGAGCAGATTTGAAACACTCTATTTGTGCAATTTGCAAGTGTAGATTTCAAGCGCTTTAAGGTCAATGGCAGAAAAGGAAATATCTTCGTTTCAAAACTAGACAGAATGATTCTCAGAAACTTCTTTGTGATGTGTGCGTTCAACTCACAGAGTTTAACCTTTCTTTTCATAGAGCAGTTAGGAAACACTCTGTTTGTAAACTCTGCAAGTGGATGTTCAGACCTGTTTGAGGCCTTCGTTGGAAACGGGATTTCTTCATACTATTCTAGACAGAAGAATTCTCAGTAACTTCCTTGTGTTGTGTGTATTCAACTCATAGAGTTGAACGATCCTTTACACAGAGCAGACTTGTGACACTCTTTTTGTGGAATTTGCAAGTGGAGATTTCACCCGCTTTGACGTCAAAGGTAGAAAAGGAAATATCTTCCTATAAAAACTAGACAGAATGATTCTCAGAAACTTCTTTGTGATGTGTGCGTTCAACTCACAGAGTTTAACCTTTCTTTTCATAGAGCAGTTAGGAAACACTCTGTTTGTAAACTCTGCAAGTGGATATTCAGACCTCTTTGAGGCCTTAGTTGGAAACGGGATTTCTTCATACTGTGCTAGACAGAAGAATTCTCAGTAACTTCCGAGTGTTGTGTGTATTCAACTCACAGAGCTGAACGATCCTTTACACAGAGCAGACTTGAAACACTCTTTTTGTGGAATTTGCAAGTGGAGATTTCAGCCGCTTTGAGGTCAATGGTAGAAAAGGAAATATCTTCGTATAAAAACTAGACAGAAGCATTCTCAAAAACTGCTCTGTGATGTGTGCGTTCAACTCTCAGAGTTTAATTTTCTTTTCATTCAGCAGTTTGTAAACACTCTGTTTGTAAAGTCTGCACGTGGATATTTTGACCACTTAGAGGCCTTCGTTGGAAACGAGTTTTTTTCATGTAAGGCTAGACAGAAGAATTCCCAGTAACTTCCTTGTGTTGTGTGTATTCAACTCACAGAGTTGAACGTTCCCTTAGACAGAGCAGATTTGAAACACTCTATTTGTGCAATTTGCAAGTGTAGATTTCAAGCGCTTTAAGTTCAATGGCAGAAAAGGAAATATCTTCGTTTCAAAACTAGACAGAATCATTCTCAGAAACTGCTGTGCGATGTGTGTGTTCAACTCTCAGAGTTTAACTTTGCTTTTCATTCAGCAGTTTGGAAACACTCTGTTTGTAAAGTCTGCACGTGGATAATTTGACCACTTAGAGGCCTTCGTTGGAAACGGGTTTTTTTCATGTAAGGCTGGACAGAAGAATTCTCAGTAACTTCCTTGTGTGGTGTGTATTCAACTCACAGAGTTGAACGATC
The DNA here is from genome assembly GCF_000001405.40 of Homo sapiens. Lineage (NCBI taxonomy): Eukaryota > Metazoa > Chordata > Mammalia > Primates > Hominidae > Homo > Homo sapiens. The sequence continues at coordinate 25,621,646 of NC_000019.10, forward strand.
CTTTACACAGAGCAGACTTGTAACACTCTTTTTGTGGAATTTGCAAGTGGAGATTTCAGCCGCTTTGAAGTCAAAGGTAGAAAAGGAAATATCTTCCTATAAAAACTACACAGAATGATTCTCAGAAAATCTTTTGTGATGTGTGCGTTCAACTCACAGAGTTTAACTTTTCTTCTCATAGAGCAGTTAGGAAACACTCTGTTTGTAAAGTCTGCAAGTGGATATTCAGACCACTTTGAGGCCTTCGTTGGAAACGGGATTTCTTCATATTATGCTAGACAGAAGAATTCCCAGTAACTTCCTTGTGTTGTGTGTGTTCAACTCATAGAGTTGAACTTTGATTTACACAGAGCAGATTTGAAACACTCTTTTTGTGGAATTTGCAAGTGGAGATTTCAAGCGCTTTGAGGCCAAAGGCAGAAAAGGAAATATCTTCGTATAAAAACTAGACAGAATCATTCTCAGAAACTGCTCTGCAATGTGTGCGTTCAACTCTCAGAGTTTAACTTTTCTTTTCATTCAGCAGTTTGGAAACACTCTGTTTGTAAAGTCTGCACGTGGATATTTTGACCACTTAGAGGCCTTCGTTGGAAACGGGTTTTTTTCCTGTAAGGCTAGACAGAAGAATTCCCAGTAACTTCCTTGTGTTGTGTACATTCAACTCACAGAGTTGAACGTTCCCTTAGACAGAGCAGATTTGAAACACTCTTTTTGTGCAATTGGCAAATGGAGATTTCAAGCGCTTTAAGTTCAATGGCAGAAAAGGAAATATCTTCGTTTCAAAACTAGACAGAATCATTCCCACAAACTGCGTTGTGATGTGTTCGTTCAACTCACAGAGTTTAACCTTTCTTTTCATAGAGCAGTTAGGAAACAGTCTGTCAATTCTGTAAGTGGATATTCTGACATCTTGTGGCATTCGTTGGAAACGGGATTTCTTCATATTCTGCTAGACAGAAGAATTCTCAGAATCTTCCTTGTGTTGTGTGTATTCAACTCACAGAGTTGAACGATCCTTTACACAGAGCAGACTTGAAACACTCTTTTTGTGGAATTTGCAAGTGGAGATTTCAGCTGCTTTGAGGTCCATGGTAGAAAAGGAAATATCTTCGTATAAAAACTAGACAGAATGATTCTCAGAAACTCCTTTGTGATGTGTGTGTTCAACTCACAGAGTTTAAACTTTCTGTTCATAGAGCAGTTAGGAAACACTCTGTTTGTAAAGTCTGCAAGTGGATATTCAGACCTCCTTGAGGCCTTCGTTGGAAACGGGATTTCTTCATATTCTGCTAGACAGAAGAATTCTCAGTAACTTCCTTGTGTTGTGTGTATTCAACTGACAGAGTTGAACTTTCATTTACACAGAGCAGATTTGAAACACTCTTTTTGTGGAATTTGCAAATGGAGATTTCAAGCGATTTGAGGCCAAAGGCAGAAAAGGAAATATCTTCGTATAAAAACTAGACAGAATCATTCTCAGAAACTGCTGCGTGATGTGTGCGTTCAACTCTCAGAGTTTAACTTTTCTTTTCATTCAGCGGTTTGGAAACACTCTGTTTGTAAAAACTGCACGTGGATATTTTGACCACTTAGAGGCCTTCGTTGGAAACGGGTTTTTTTCATGTAAGGCTAGACAGAAGAATTCCCAGTAACTTCCTTGTGTTGTGTGCATTCAACTCACAGAGTTGAACGTTCCCTTAGACAGAGCAGATTTGAAACACTCTATTTGTGCAATTTGCAAGTGTAGTTTTCAAGCTCTTTAAGGTCAACGGCAGAAAAGGAAATATCTTCGTTTCAAAACTAGACAGAATGATTCTCATAAACTCCTTTGTGATGTGTGCGTTCAACTCACAGAGTTTAACCTTTCTTTTCATAGAGCAGTTAGGAAACACTCTGTTTGTAAAGCCTGCAAGTGGATATTCAGACCTCCTTGAGGCCTTCTTTGGAAACGGGATTTCTTCATATTCTGATAGACAGAAGAATTCTCAGTAACTTCCTTGTGTTGTGTGTATTCAACTCACAGAGTTGAACGATCCTTTACCCAGAGCAGACTTGAAACACCCTTTTTGTGGAATTTGCAAGTGGAGATTTCAGCCGCTTTGAGGTCAATGGTAGAAAAGGAAATATCTTCGTATAAAGACTAGACAGAATGATTCTCAGAAACTCCTTTGTGATGTGTGTGTTCAACTCACAGAGTTTAACCTTTCTTTTCATAGAGCAGTTCGTAAACACTCTGTTTATAAAGTCTGCAAGTGGATATTCAGACCCCTTTGAGGCCTTCTTTGGAAACGGGATTTCTTCATATTATGCTAGACGGAAGAATTCCCCGTAACTTCCTTGTGTTGTGTGTGTTCAACTCACAGAGTTGAACTTTCATTTACATAGAGCAGATTTGAAACACTCTTTTTATGGAATTTGCAAGTGGAGATTTCAAGCGCTTTGAGGCCAAAGGCAGAAAAGGAAATATCTTCGTATAAAAACTAGACAGAATCATTCTCAGAAACTGCTCTGCGATGTGTGCGTTCAACTCTCAGAGTTTAACTTTTCTTTTCATTCAGCAGTTTGGAAACACTCTGTTTGTAAAGTCTGCACGTGGATAATTTGACCACTTAGAGGCCTTCTTTGGAAACGGGTTTTTTTCATATAAGGCTAGACAGAAGAATTCCCAGTAACTTCCTTGTGTTGTGTACATTCAACTCACAGATTTGAACGCTCCCTTAGACAGAGCAGATTTGAAACACTCTTTTTGTGCAATTGGCAATTGGAGATTTCAAGCGCTTTAAGGTCAATGGCAGAAAAGGAAATATCTTCGTTTCAAAACTAGACAGAATGATTCTCAGAAACTTCTTTGTGATGTGTGCGTTCAACTCACAGAGTTTAACCTTTCTTTTCATAGAGCAGTTAGGAAACACTCTGTTTGTAAACTCTGCAAGTGGATATTTAGACCTCTTTGAGGCCTTCGTTGGAAACGGGATTTTTTCATACTGTACTAGACAGAAGAATTCTCAGTAACTTCCTTGTGTTGTGTGTATTCAACTCACAGAGTTGAAAGATCCTTTACACAGAGCAGACTTGAAACACTCTTTTTGTGGAATTTGCAAGTGGAGATTTCAACCGCTTTGAGGTCAATAGTACAAAAGGAAATATCTTCGTAGAAAAACTAGACAGAATGATTCTCAGAAACTCCTTTGTGATGTGTGCGTTCAACTCACAGAGTTCAACCTTTCTTTTCATAGAGCAGTTGGGAAACACTCTGTTTGTAAAGTCTGCAAGTGGATATTCAGACCTCCTTGAGGCCTTCGTTGGAAGCGGGATTTCTTCATCTTCTGCTAGACAGAAGAATTCTCAGTAACTTCCTTGTGTTTTGTGTATTCAACTGACAGAGTTGAACTTTCATTTAGAGAGAGCAGATTTGAAACACTGTTTTTGTGGAATTTGCAAGTGGAGATTTCAAGCGCTTTGGGGCCAAAGGCAGAAAAGGAAATATCTTCGTATAAAAACTAGACAGAATGATTCTCAGAAACTTCTTTGTGATTTATGCGTTCAACTCACAGAGTTAAAACTTTCTTTTCATAGAGCAGTTAGGAAACACTCTGTTTGTAAAGACTGCACGTGGATATTCAGACCTCTTTGAGGCCTTCGTTGGAAACGGGTTTTTTTCCTGTAAGGCTAGACAGAAGAATTCCCAGTAACTTCCTTGTGTTGTGTGCATTCAACTCACAGAGTTGAACGTTCCCTTAGACAGAGCAGATTTGAAACACTCTATTTGTGCAACTTACAAGTGTAGTTTTCAAGCTCTTTAAGGTCAACGGCAGAAAAGGAAATATCTTCGTTTCAAAACTAGACAGAATCATTACCACAAACTGCGTTGTGATGTGTTCGTTCAACCCACAGAGTTTAAGCTTTCTCTTCATAGAGCAGTTAGGAAACACTCTGTTTGTGAAGTCTGTAAGTGGATATTCTGACATCTTGTGGCCTTCGTTGGAAACGGGATTTCTTCATATTCTGCTAGACAGAAGAATTCTCAGTAACTTCCTTGTGTTGTGTGTATTCAACTCACAGAGTTGAACGATCCTTTACACAGAGCAGAGTTGAAACATTCTTTTTGTGGAATTTGCAAGTGGAGATTTCAGCCGCTTTGAGGTCAATGGTAGAATAGCAAATATCTTCCTATAGAAACTAGACAGAATGATTCTTAGAAACTCCTTTGTGATGTGTGTGTTCAACTCACAGAGTTTAACCTTTCTTTTCATAGAGCAGTTAGTAAACACTCTGTTTATAAAGTCTGCAAGTGGATATTCAGACCCCTTTGAGGCCTTCGTTGGAAACGGGATTTCTTCATATTATGCTAGACAGAAGAATTCTCAGTAACTTCCTTGTGTTGTGTGTATTCAACTCACAGAGTTGAACGATCCTTTACACAGAGCAGACTTGAAACACTCTTTTTGTGGAATTTGCAAGTGGAGATATCAAGCGCTTTGGGGCCAAAACTAGACAGAATCATGCTCAGAAACTGCTCTGCGATGTGTGCGTTCAACTCTCAGAGTTTAACTTTTCTTTTCATTCAGCAGTTTGGAAACACTCTGTTTGTAAAGTCTGCACTTGCATAATTTGACCGCTTAGAGGCCTTCGTTGGAAACGGGTTTTTTTCATGTAAGGCTAGACAGAAGAATTCCCAGTAACTTCCTTGTGTTGTGTGCATTCAACTCACAGAGTTGAACGTTCCCTTAGACAGAGCAGATTTGAAACACTCTATTTGTGCAATTTGCAATTGTAGTTTTCAAGCTCTTTAAGGTCAACGGCAGAAAAGGAAATATCTTCGTTTCAAAACTAGACAGAATCATTCCCACAAACTGCGTTGTGATGTGTTCGTTCAACTCACAGAGTTTAACCTTTCTGTTCATAGAGCAGTTAGGAAACACTCTTTTTGTAAAGTCTGTAAGTGGATATTCTGACATCTTGTGGCCTTCGTTAGAAACGGGATTTTTTCATATTCTGCTAGACAGAAGAATTCTCAGTAACTTCCTTGTGTTGTGTGTATTCAACTCACAGAGTTGAACGATCCTTTACACAGAGCAGACTTGTAACACTCTTTTTGTGTAATTTGCAAGTGGAGATTTCAGCCGCTTTGAAGTCACAGGTAGAAAAGGAAATATCTTCCTATAAAAACTAGACAGAATGATTCTCAGAAACTCCTTTGTGATGTGTGCGTTCAGCTCACAGAGTTTAACCTTTCTTTTCATAGAGCAGTTCGGAAACACTCTGTTTGTAAAGTCTGCAAGTGGATATTCAGACCTCTTTGAGGCCTTCGTTGGAAACGGGATTTCTTCATATTCTGCTAGACAGAAGATTCCCAGTAACTTCCTTGTGTTGTGTGTGTTCAACTCACAGAGTTGAACTTTGATTTACACAGAGCAGATTTGAAACACTCTTTTTGTGGAATTTGCAAGTGGAGATTTCAAGCGCTTTGAGGCCAAAGGCAGAAAAGGAAATATCTTCGTATAAAAACTAGACAGAATCATTCTCAGAAACTGCTCTGCGATGTGTGCGTTCAACTCTCAGAGTTTAACTTTTCTTTTCATTCAGCAGTTTGGAAACACTCTGTTTGTAAAGTCTGCAGGTGGATACTTTGACCACTTAGAGACCTTCGTTGGAAACGGGTTTTTTTCCTGTAAGGCTAGACAGAAGAATTCCCAGTAACTTCCTTGTGTTGTGTGCATTCAACTCACAGAGATGAACGTTCCCTTAGACAGAGCAGATTTGAAACACTCTATTTGTGCAATTTGCAAGTGTAGATTTCAAGCGCTTTAAGGTCAATGGCAGAAAAGGAAATATCTTCGTTTCAAAACTAGACAGTATCATTCCCACAAACTGCGTTGTGATGTGTTCGTTCAACTCACAGAGTTTAACCTTTCTTTTCATAGAGCAGTTAGGAAACAGTCTGTTTGTAAATTCTGTAAGTGGATATTCTGACATCTTGTGGCCTTCGTTGGAAACGCGATTTCTTCATATTCTGCTAGACAGAAGAATTCTCAGAATCTTCCTTGTGTTGTGTGTATTCAACTCAAAGAGTTGAACGATCCTTTACACAGAGCAGACTTGAAACTCTCTTTTTGTGGAATTTGCAAGTGGAGATTTCAGCCGCTTTGAGGTCCATGGTAGAAAAGGAAATATCTTCGTATAAAAACTAGACAGAATGATTCTGAGAAACTCCTTTGTGATGTGTGCGTTCAACTCACAGAGTTTAACCTTTCTTTTCATAGAGCAGTTAGGAAACACTCTGTTTTTAAAGTCTGCAAGTGGATATTCAGACCTCCTTGAGGCCTTCGTTGGAAACGGGATTTCTTCATATTATGCTAGACAGAAGAATTCCAGTAACTTCCTTGTGTTTTGTGTGTTGAACTCACAGAGTTGAACTTTCATTTACACAGAGCAGATTTGAAACACTCTTTTTGTGGAATTTGCAAGTGGAGATTTCAAGGGCTTTGAGGCCAAAGGCAGAAAAGGAAATATCTTCGTTTCAAAACTAGACAGAATCATTCTCAGAAACTGCTGCGTGATGTGTGCGTTCAACTCTCAGAGTTTAAGTTTTCTTTTCATTCAGCGGTTTGGAAACACTCTGTTTGTAAAGTCTGCACGTGGAAATTTTGACCACTTAGAGGCCTTCGTTGGAAACGGGTTTTTTTCATGTAAGGCTAGACAGAAGAATTCCCAGTAACTTCCTTGTGTTGTGTGCATTCAACTCACAGAGTTGAACGTTCCCTTAGACAGAGCAGATTTGAAACACTCTATTTGTGCAATTTGCAAGTGTAGTTTTCAAGCTCTTTAAGGTCAATGGCAGAAAAGGAAATATCTTCGTTTCAAAACTAGACAGAATGATTCTCAGAAACTCCTCTGTGATGTGTGCGTTCAACTCACAGAGTTTAACTTTTCTTTTCATAGAGCAGTTAGGAAACACTCTGTTTGTAAAGTCTACAAGTGGATATTCAGACCTCTGTGAGGCCCTCGTTGGAAACGGGATTTCTTCATATTATGCTAGACAGAAGAATTCTCAGTAACTTCCTTGTGTTGTGTGTATTCAACTCACAGAGTTGAACGATCCTTTACACAGAGCAGACTTGAAACACTCTTTTTGTGGAATTTGCAAGTGGAGATTTCAGCCACTTTGAGGTCAATAGTAGAAAAGGAAATATCTTCGTAGAAAAACTAGACATAATGATTCTCAGAAACCCATTTGTGATGTGTGCGTTCCACTCACAGAGTTTAACCTTTCTTTTCATAGAGCAGTTAGGAAACACTCTGTTTGTAAAGTCTGCAAGGGGATATTTAGACCTCTTTGAGGCCTTCGTTGGAAACGGGATTTCTTCATATTCTGCTAGACAGAAGAATTCTCAGTAACTTCCTTGTGTTGTGTGTATTCAACTCACAGAGTTGAACTTTCATTTAGAGAGAGCAGATTTGAAACACTGTTTTTGTGGAATTTGCAAGTGGAGATTTCAAGCGCTTTGTGGCCAAAGGCAGAAAAGGAAATATCTTCGTATAAAAACTAGACAGAATCATTCTCAGAAACTGCTCTGCGATGTGTGCGTTCAACTCTCAGAGTTTAACTTTTCTTTTCATTCACCAGTTTGGAAACACTCTGTTTGTAAAGTCTGCACGTGGATATTTTGACCACTTAGAGGCCTTCGTTGGAAACGGGTTTTTTTCCTGTAAGGCTAGACAGAAGAATTCCCAGGAACTTCCTTGTTTTGCGTACATTCAACTCACACATTTGAACGTTCCCTTAGACAGAGTAGATTTGAAACACTCTTTTTGTGCAATTGGCAAGTGGTGATTTCAGCCGCTTTGAGGTCAATGGTAGAAAAGGAAATATCTTCGTATAAAAACTAGACAGAATGATTCTGAGAAACTCCTTTGTGATGTGTGCGTTCAACTCACACAGTTTAACCTTTCTTTTCATAGAGCAGTTAGGAAACACTCTGTTTGTAAAGTCTGCAAGTGGATATTCAGACGTCCTTGAGGCCTTCGTTGGAAACGGGATTTCTTCATATTCTGCTAGACAGAAGAATTCTCAGTAAATTCCTTGTGTTGTGTGTATTCAACTCACAGAGTTGAACGATCCTTTACACAGAGCAGACTTGAAACTCTCTTTTTGTGGAATTTGCAAGTGGAGATTTCAGCCGCTTTGAGGTCAATGGTAGAAAAGGAAATATCTTCGTATAGAAACAAGACAGAATGATTCTCAGAAACTTCTTTGTGATGTGTGCGTTCAACTCACAGAGTTTAACCTTTCTTTTCATGGAGCAGTTAGGAAACACTCTGTTTGTAAACTCTGCAAGTGGATATTCAGACCTATTTGAGGCCTTCGTTGGAAACGGGATTTCTTCATACTGTGCTAGACAGAAGAATTCTCAGTAACTTCCTTGTGTTGTGTGTTTTTAACTGACAGAGTTGAACTTTCATTTAGAGAGAGCAGATTTGAAACACTGTTTTTGTGGAATTTGCAAGTGGAGATTTCAAGCGCTGTGGGGCCAAAGGCAGAAAAGGAAATATCTTCGTATAAAAACTAGACAGAATCATTCTCAGAAACTGCTCTGCGATGTGTGCGTTCAACTCTCAGAGTTTAACTTTTCTTTTCATTCAGCTGTTTGGAAACACTCTGTTTGTAAAATCTGCACGTGGACAATTTGACCACTTAGAGGCCTTCGTTGGAAACGGGTTTTTTTCATGTAAGGCTAGACAGAAGAATTCTCAGTAACTTCCTTGTGTCGTGTGTATTCAACTCACAGAGTTGAACGATCCTTTACACAGAGCAGACTTGTAACACTCTTTTTGTGGAATTTGCAAGTGGAGATTTCAGCCGCTTTGATGTCAAAGGTAGAAAAGGAAATATCTTCCTATAAAAACTAGACAGAATCATTCCCACAAACTGCGTTGTGATGTGTTCGTTCAACTCACAGAGTTTAACCTTTCTGTTCATAGAGCAGTTAGGAAACACTCTGTTTGTAAAGTCTGTAAGTGGATATTCTGACATCTTGAGGCCTTCGTTGGAAACGGGATTTCTTCATATTCTGCTAGACAGAAGAATTCCCAGTAACTTCCTTGTGTTGTGTGCATTCAACTCACAGAGTTGAACGATCCTTCACACAGAGCAGATTAGAAACACTCTTTTTATTGGAATTTGCAAGTGGAGATTTCAGCCGCTTTGAGGTCAATGGTAGAAAAGGAAATATCTTCGTATAAAAACTAGACAGAATGATTCTCAGAAACTCCTTTGTGATGTGTGCGTTCAACTCACAGAGTTCAACCTTTCTTTTCATAGAGCAGTTGGGAAACACTCTGTTTGTAAAGTCTGCAAGTGGATATTCAGACTTCTTTGAGGCCTTCGTTGGAAGTGGGATTTCTTCATGTTCTGCTAGACAGAAGAATTCTCAGTAACTTCCTTGTGTTGTGTGTATTCAACTCACAGAGTTGAACGATGCTTTACACAGAGCAGACTTGAAACACTCTTTTTGTGGAATTTGCAAGTGGAGATTTCAGCCGCTTTGTGGTCAATAGTAGAATAGGAAATATCTTCCTATAGAAACTAGACAGAATGATTCTCAGAAACTCCTTTGTGATGTGTGCGTTCAACTCACAGAGTTTACCCTTTCTTTTCATAGAGCAGTTAGGAAACACTCTGTTTGTAAAGTCTGCAAGTGGATATTCAGACATCCTTGAGGCTTTCGTTGGAAACGGGATTTCTTCATATTCTGCCAGAAAGAAGAATTCTCAGTAACTTCCTTGTGTTGTGTGTATTCAACTCACAGAGTTGAACGATCCTTTACACAGTAGCAGACTTGAAACACTCTTTTTGTGGAATTTGCAAGTGGAGATTTCAGCCGCTTTGAGGTCAATGGTAGAATAGGAAATATCTTCCTATAGAAACTAGACAGAATCATTCTCAGAAACTGCTGCGTGATGTGTGCGTTCAACTCTCAGAGTTTAACTTTTCTTTTCATTCAGCGGTTTGGAAACACTCTGTTTATAAAGTCTGCACGTGGATATTTTGACCACTTAGAGGCCTTCGTTGGAAACGGGTTTTTTTTCATGTAAGGCTACACAGAAGAATTTCCAGTAACTTCCTTGTGTTGTGTGCATTCAACTCACAGAGTTGAACGTTCCCTTAGACAGAGCAGATTTGAAACACTCTATTTGTGCAATTTGCAAGTGTAGATTTCAAGCGCTTTAAGGTCAAAGGCAGAAAAGGAAATATCTTCGTTTCTAAACTAGACAGAATCATTCCCACAAACTGCGTTGTGATGTGTTCGTTCAACTCACAGAGTTTAACCTTTCTGTTCATAGAGCAGTTAGGAAACACTCTGTTTGTAAAGTCTGTAAGTGGATATTCTGACATCTTGCGGCCTTCGTTGGAAACGGGATTTCTTCATATTATGCTAGACAGAATAATTCTCAGTAACTTCCTTGTGTTTTGTGTATTCAACTCACAGAGTTGAACGATCCTTTACAGAGAGCAGAGTTGAAACACTCTTTTTGTGGAATTTGCAAGTGGAGATTTCAGCCGCTTTGAGGTCAATGGTAGAAAAGGAAATATCTTCGTATAAAGACTAGACAGAATGATTCTCAGAAACTCCTTTGTGATGTGTGAGTTCAACTCACAGAGTTTAACCTTTCTTTTCATAGAGCAGTTAGGAAACACTCTGTTTGTAAAGTCTGCAAGTGGATATTCAGACCTCTTTGAGGCCTTCGTTGGAAACGGGATTTCTTCATATTCTGCTAGACAGAAGAATTCTCAGTAACTTCCTTGTATTGTGTGTATTCAACTGACAGAGTTGAACTTTCATTTAGAGAGAGCAGATTTGAAATACTGTTTTTGTGGAATTTGCAAGTGGAGATTTCAAACGCTTTGGGGCCAAAGGCAGAAAAGGAAATATCTTCGTATGAAAACTAGACAGAATCATTCTCAGAAACTGCTCTGCGATGTGTGCGTTCGAACTCTCAGAGTTTAACTTTTCTTTTCATTCAGCAGTTTGGAAACACTCTGTTTGTAAAGTCTGCACGTGGATATTTTGACCACTTAGAGGCCTTCGTTGGAAACGGGTTTTTTTCCTGTCAGGCTAGACAGAAGAATTCCCAGTAACTTCCGTGTGTTGTGTACATTCAACTCACAGAGTTGAACGTTCCCTTAGACAGAGCAGACTTGTCACACTCTTTTTGTGGAATTTGCAAGTGGAGATTTCAGCCGCTTTGAAGTCAAAGGTAGAAAAGGAAATATCTTCCTATAAAAACTAGACAGAATGATTCTCAGAAACTCGTTTGTGATGTGTGTGTTCAACTCACAGAGTTTAACCTTTCTTTTCATAGAGCAGTTAGGAAACACTCTGTTTGTAAAGTCTGCAAGTGGATATTCAGACCTCTTTGAGGCCTTCGTTGGAAACGGGGTTTTTTCATATAAGGCTAGACAGAAGAATTCTCAGAAACTTCCTTGTGTTGTGTAATTTCAACTCACAGAGTTGAACGATGCTTTACACAGAGTAGACTTGAAACACTCTTTTTGTGGAATTTGCAAGTGGAGATTTCAGCCGCTTTGAGGTCAATTGTTGAAAAGGAAATATCTTCGTATAAAAACTAGACAGAATGATTCTCAGAAACTCCTTTGTGATGTGTGCGTTCAACTCACAGAGTTTAACCTTTCTTTTCATAGAGGAGTTAGGAAACACTCTGTTTGTAAAGTCTGCAAGTGGATATTCAGACCTCTTTGAGGCCTTCGTTGGAAACGGGTTTTTTTCATATAAGGCTAGACAGAAGAATTCTCAGTAACTTCCTTGTGTTGTGTGTATTCAACTGACAGAGTTGAACTTTCATTTAGAGAGAGCAGATTTTAAACACTGTTTTTGTGGAATTTGCAAGTGGAGATTTCAAGCGCTTTGGGGCCAAAGGCAGAAAAGGAAATATCTTCGTATAAAAACTAGACAGAATCATTCTCAGAAACTGCTCTGCGATGTGTGCGTTCAACTCTCAGAGCTTAACTTTTCTTTTCATTCAGCAATTTGGAAACACTCTGTTTGTAAAGTCTGCACGTGGATAACTTGACCACTTAGAGGCCTTCGTTGGAAACGGGTTTTTTTCATGTAAGGCTAGACAGAAGAATTCTCAGTAACTTCCTTGTGTTGTGTGTATTCAACTCACAGAGTTGAACGATCCTTTACACAGAGCAGACTTGTAACACCCTTTTTGTGGAATTTGCCAGTGGAGATTTCAGCCGCTTTGAAGTCAAAGGTAGAAAAGGAAATATCTTCCTATAAAAACTAGACAGAATCATTCCCACAAACTGCGTTGTGATGTGTTCGTTCAACTCACGGAGTTTAACCTTTCTTTTCATAGAGCAGTTAGGAAACAGTCTGTTTGAAAATTCTGTAAGTGGATATTCTGACAGCTTGTGGCCTTCGTTGGAAACGGGATTTCTTCATATTCTGCTAGACAGAAGAATTCTCAGTAACTTCCTTTTGTTGTGTGTATTCAACTCACGGAGTTGAACGATCCTTTACACAGAGCAGAGTTGAAACACTCTTTTTGTGGAATTTGCAAGTGGAGATTTCAGCCGCTTTGAGGTCAATAGTAGAAAAGGAAATATCTTCGTAGAAAAACTAGACAGAATGATTTTCAGAAACTCCTTTGTGATGTGTGCGTTCAACTCACAGAGTTTAACCTTTCTTTTCATAGAGCAGTTAGGAAACACTCTGTTTGTAAAGTCTGCAAGTGGATATTCAGATATCCTTGAGGTTTTCGTTGGAAACGGGATTTCTTCATATTCTGCTAGAAAGAAGAATTCCCAGTAACTTCCTTGTGTTGTGTGTGTTCAACTCACAGAGTTCAACTTTCATTTACCCAGAGCAGATTTGAAACACTCTTTTTGTGGAATTTGCAAGTGGAGATTTCAAGCGCTTTGAGGCCAAAGGCAGAAAAGGAAATATCTTCGTTTCAAAACTAGACAGAATCATTCTCAGAAACTGCTCTGCGATGTGTGCGTTCAACTCTCAGAGTTTAACTTTGCTTTTCATTCAGCAGTTTGGAAACACTCTGTTTGTAAAGTCTGCACGTGGATAATTTGACCACTTAGAGGCCTTCGTTGGAAACGGGTTTTTTTCATGTAAGCCTAGACAGAAGAATTCCCCGTAACTTCCTTGTGTTGTGTACATTCAACTCACAGAGTTGAACGTTCCCTTAGACAGAGCAGATTTGAAACACTCTTTTTGTGCAATTGGCAAATGGAGATTTCAAGCGCTTTAAGGTCAATGGCAGAAAAGGAAATATCTTCGTTTCAAAACTAGACAGAATCATTCCCACAAACTGCGTTGTGATGGGTTCGTTCAACTCACAGAGTTTAACCTTTCCGTTCATAGAGCAGTTAGGAAACACACTGTTTGTAAAGTCTGTAAGTGGATATTCTGACATCCTTGTGGCCCTCGTTGGAAACGGGATTTCTTCATATTCTGCTAGACAGAAGAATTCTCAGTAACTTCCTTGTGTTGTGTGTATTCAACTCACAGAGTTGAACGATCCTTTACACACAGCAGACTTGAAACACTCTTTTTGTGGAATTTGCAAGTGGAGATTTCAGCCGCTTTGAGGTCAATGGTAGAATAGGAAATATCTTCCTATAGAAACTAGACAGAATGATTCTCAGAAACTCCTTTGTGATGTGTGCGCTCAACTCACAGAGTTTAACCTTTCTTTTCATAGAGCAGTTAGGAAACACTCTGTTTGTAAAGTCTGCAAGTGGATATTCAGACCTCTTTGAGGCCTTCGTAGGAAACGGGATTTCTTCATATTATGCTAGAGAGAAGAATACTCAGTAACTTCCTTGTGTTGTGTGTATTCAACTGACAGAGTTGAACTTTCATTTAGAGAGAGCAGATTTGAAATACTGTTTTTGTGGAATTTGCAAGTGGAGATTTCAAACGCTTTGGGGCCAAAGGCAGAAAAGGAAATATCTTCGTATAAAAACTAGACAGAATCATTCTCAGAAACTGCTCTGCGATGTGTGCGTTCAACTCTCAGAGTTTAACTTTTCTTTTCATTCAGAAGTTTGGAAACACTCTGTTTGTAAAGTCTGCACGTGGATAACTTGACCACTTAGAGGCCTTCGTTGGAAACGGGTTTTTTTCATGTAAGGCTAGACAGAAGAATTCCCAGTAACTTCCTTGTGTTGTGTACATTCAACTCACAGAGTTGAACGTTCCCTTAGAGCAGATTTGAAACACTCTTTTTGTGCAATTGGCAAATGGAGATTTCAAGCGCTTTAAGGTCAATGGCAGAAAAGGAAATATCTTCGTTTCAAAACTAGACAGAATCATTCCCACAAACAGCGTTGTGATGTGTTCGTTCAACTCACAGAGTTTAACCTTTCTTTTCATAGAGCAGTTAGGAAACAGTCTGTTTGAAAATTCTGTAAGTGGATATTCTGACATCTTGTGGCCTTCGTTGGAAACGGGATTTCTTCATATTCTGCTAGACAGAAGAATTCTCAGTAACTTCCGCGTGTTGTGTGTATTCAACTCACAGAGTTGAACGATCCTTTACACAGAGCAGACTTGAAACACTCTTTTTGTGGAATTTGCAAGTGGAGATTTCAGCCGCTTTGAGGTCAATGGTAGAAAAGGAAATATCTTCGTATAAAAACTAGACAGAATGATTCTCAGAAACTCCTTTGTGATGTGTGCGTTCAACTCACAGAGTTTAACCTTTCTTTTCATAGAGCAGTTAGGAAACACTCTGTTTGTAAAGTCTGCAAGTGGATATTCAGACATCTTTGAGGCTTTCGTTGGAAACGGGATTTCTTCATATTCTGCTAGAAAGAAGAATTCCCAGTAACTTCCTTGTGTTGTGTGTGTTCAACTCACAGAGTTGAACTTTCACTTACACAGAGCAGATTTGAAACACTCTTTTTGTGGAATTTGCAAGTGGAGATTTCAAGCGCTTTGAGGCCAAAGGCAGAAAAGGAAATATCTTCGTTTCAAAACTAGACAGAGTCATTCTCAGAAACTGCTGCGTGATGTGTGCGTTCAACTCTCAGAGTTTAACTTTTCTTTTCATTCAGCGGTTTGGAAACACTCTGTTTGTAAAGTCTGCATGTGGAAATTTTGACCACTTAGAGGCCTTCGTTGGAAACGGGTTTTTTTCATGTAAGGCTAGACAGAAGTATTCCCAGTAACTTCCTTCTGTTGTGTGCATTCAACTCACAGAGTTGAACGTTCCCTTAGACAGAGCAGATTTGAAACACTCTATTTGTGCAATTTGCAAGTGTAGATTTCAAGCGCTTTAAGGTCAACGGCAGAAAAGGAAATATCTTCGTTTCAAAACTAGACAGAATCATTCCCACAAACTGCGTTGTGATGTGTTCGTTCAACTCACAGAGTTTAACCTTTCTTTTCATAGAGCAGTTAGGAAACAGTCTGTTTGAAAACTCTGTAAGTGGATATTCTGACATCTTGTGGCCTTCGTTGGAAACGGGATTTCTTCATATTCTGCTAGACAGAAGAATTCTCAGTAACTTCCCTTGTGTTGTGTGTATTCAACTCACAGAGTTGAACGATCCTTTACACAGAGCAGACTTGAAACACACTTTTTGTGGAATTTGCAAGTGGAGATTTCAGCCGTTTTGAGGTCAATGGTAGAAAAGGAAATATCTTCGTATAAAGACTAGACAGAAATGATTCTCAGAAACTCCTTTGTGATGTGTGCGTTCAACTCACAGAGTTTAACCTTTCTTTTCATAGAGCAGTTAGGAAACACTCTGCTTGTAAAGTCTGCAAGTGGATATTCAGCCCTCTTTGAGGCCTTCGTTGGAAATGGGTTTTTTTCATATAAGGCTAGACAGAAGAATTCTCAGTAACTTCCTTGTGTTGTGTGTATTCAACTGACAGAGTTGAACTTTCATTTAGACAGAGCAGATTTGAGACACTCTTTTTGTGGAATTTGCAAAGGTAGATTTCATGCGCTTTGAGGCCAAAGGCAGAAAAGGAAATATCTTCGTATAAAAACTAGACAGAATCATTCTCAGAAACTGCTCTGCGATGTGTGCGTTCAACTCTCAGAGTTTAACTTTTCTTTTCATTCAGCAGTTTGGAAACACTCTGTTTGTAAAGTCTGCACGTGGATAATTTGACCACTTAGAGGCCTTCGTTGGAAACGGGTTTTTTCCTGTAAGGCTAGACAGAAGAATTCCCAGTAACTTCCTTGTGTTGTGTGCATTCCACTCACAGAGTTGAACGTTCCTTTAGACAGAGCAGATTTGAAACACTCTATTTGTGCAATTTGCAAGTGTAGATTTCAAGCGCTTTAAGGTCAATGGCAGAAAAGGAAATATCTTCGTTTCAAAACTAGACAGAATCATTCCCAAAAACTGCGTTGTGATGTGTTCGTTCAGCTCACAGAGTTTAACCTTTCTTTTCATAGAGCAGTTAGGAAACAGTCTGTTTGTAAATTCTGTAAGTGGATATTCTGACATCTTGTGGCCTTCGTTGGAAACGGGATTTCTTCATATTCTGCTAGACAGAAGAATTCTCAGTAACTTCCTTGTGTTGTGTGTATTCAACTCACAGAGTTGAACGATCCTTTACACAGAGCAGACTTGAAACACTCTTTTTGTGGAATTTGCAAGTGGAGATTTCAGCCGCTTTGAGGTCAATGGTAGAAAAGTAAATAACTTCGTATAAAGACTAGACAGAATGATTCTCAGAAACTCCTTTGTGATGTGTGCGCTCAACTCACAGAGTTTAACCTTTCTTTTCATAGAGCAGTTAGGAAACACTCTGTTTGTAAAGTCTGCAAGTGGATATTCAGACCTCTTTGAGGCCTTCGTAGGAAACGGGATTTCTTCATATTATGCTAGACAGAAGAATTCTCAGTAACTTCCTTGTGTTGTGTGTATTCAACTGACAGAGTTGAACTTTCATTTAGAGAGAGCAGATTTGTAACACTGTTTTTGTGGAATTTGCAAGTGGAGATTTCAAGCGCTTTGCGGCCAAAGGCAGAAAAGGAAATATCTTCGTATAAAAACTAGACAGAATCATTCTCAGAAAATCCTCTGTGATGTGTGCGTTCAACTCTCAGAGTTTAACTTTTCTTTTCATTCAGCAGTTTGGAAACACTCTGTTTGTAAAGTCTGCACGTGGATATTTTGACCACTTAGAGGCCTTCTTTGGAAACGGGTTTTTTTCATGTAAGTGTAGACAGAAGAATTCCCAGTAACTTCCTTGTGTTGTGTGCATTCAACTCACAGAGTTGAACGTTCCCTTAGACAGAGCACATTTGAAACACTCTATTTGTGTAATTTGCAAGTGTAGATTTCAAGCGCTTTAAGGTCAACGGCAGAAAAGGAAATATCTTCGTTTCAAAACTAGACAGAATCATTCTCAGAAACTGCTCTGCGATGTGTGCGTTCAACTCTCAGAGTTTAACTTTTCTTTTCATTCAGCAGTTTGGAAACACTCTGTTTGTAAAGTCTGCAAGTGGATATTCAGACCTCTTTGAGGCCTTCGTTGGAAACGGGATTTCTTCATACTATGCTAGACAGAAGAATTCTCAGTAACTTCCTTGTGTTGTGTGTATTCAACTCACAGAGTTGAATGATCCTTTACACAGAGCAGACATGAAACACTCTTTTTGTGGAATTTGCAAGTGGAGATTTCAGCCGCTTTGAGGTCAATGGTAGAAAAGGGAATATCTTCGTATAGAAACTAGACAGAATGATTCTCAGAAACTCCTTTGTGATGTGTGCGTTCAGCTCACAGAGTTTAACCTTTCTTTTCATAGAGCAGTTAGGAAACACTCTGTTTGTAAAGTCTGCAAGTGGATATTCAGACCTCTTTGAGGCCTTCGTTGGAAACGGGATTTCTTCATATTCTGCTAGACAGAACAATTCTCAGTAACTTCCTTGTGTTGTGTGTGTTCAACTCACAGAGTTGAACTTTCATTTACACAGAGCAGATTTGAAACACTCTTTTTGTGGAATTTGCAAGTGGAGATTTCAAGCGCTTTGAGGCCAAAGGCAGAAAAGGAAATATCTTCGTATAAAAACTAGACAGAATCATTCTCAGAAACTGCTGCGTGATGTGTGCGTTCAACTCTCAGAGTTTAACTTTTCTTTTCATTCAGCGGTTTGGAAACACTCTGTTTGTAAAGTCTGCACGTGGATATTTTGACCACTTAGAGGCCTTCGTTGGAAACGGGTTTTTTTCATATAAGGCTAGACAGAAGAATTCTCAGTAACTTCCTTGTGTTGTGTGTATTCAACTCACACAGTTGAACGATCCTTTACACAGAGTAGACTTGTAACACTCTTTTTGTGGAATTTGCAAGTGGAGATTTCAGCCGCTTTGAAGTCAAATGTAGAAAAGGAAATATCTTCCTATAAAAACTAGACAGAACGATTCTCAGTAAACTCCTTTGTGATGTGTGCGTTCAACTCACAGAGTTTAACCTTTCTTTTCATAGAGCAGTTAGGAAACACTCTGTTTGTAAAGTCTGCAAGTGGATATTCAGACCTCTTTGAGGCCTTCGTTGGAAACGGGATTTCTTCATATTCTGCTAGACAGAAGAATTCTCAGTAACTTCTTTGTGTTGTGTGTATTCAACTCACAGAGTTGAACGATCCTTTACACAGAGCAGACTTGAAACACTCTTTTTGTGGAATTTGCAAGTGGAGATTTCAGCCGCTTTGAGGTCAATAGTAGAAAAGGAAATATCTTCGTAGAAAAACTAGACAGAATGATTCTCAGAAACTCCTTTGTGATGTGTGCGTTCAACTCACAGAGTTCAACCTTTCTTTTCATAGAGCAGTTGGGAAACACTCTGTTTGTAAAGTCTGCAAGTGGATATTCAGACTTCTTTGAGGCCTTCGTTGGAAGCGGGATTTCTTCATGTTCTGCTAGAAAGAAGAATTCCCAGTAACTTCCTTGTGTTGTGTGTGTTCAACTCACAGAGTTGAACTTTCATTTACCCAGAGCAGATTTGAAACTCTCTTTTTGTGGAATTTGCAAGTGGAGATTTCAAGCGCTTTGAGGCCAAAGGCAGAAAAGGAAATATCTTCGTTTCAAAACTAGACAGAATCATTCTCAGAAACTGCTGCGTGATTTGTGCGTTCAACTCTCAGAGTTTAACTTTTCTTTTCATTCAGCGGTTTGGAAACACTCTGTTTGTAAAGTCTGCACGTGGATATTTTGACCACTTAGAGGCCTTCGTTGGAAACGGGTTTTTTTCATGTAAGGCTAGACAGAAGAATTCCCAGTAACTTCCTTGTGTTGTGTGCATTCAACTCACAGAGTTGAACGTTCCCTTAGACAGAGCAGATTTGAAACACTCTATTTGTTCAATTTGCAAGTGTAGATTTCAAGCGCTTTAAGGTCAACGGCAGAAAAGGAAATATCTTCGTTTCAAAACTAGACAGAATCATTCCCACAAACTGCGTTGTGATGTGTTCGTTCAACTCACAGAGTTTAACCTTTCTTTTCATAGAGCAGTTAGGAAACAGTCTGTTTGTCAATTCTGTAAGTGGATATTCTGACATCTTGTGGCCTTCGTTGGAAACGGAATTTCTTCATATTCTGCTAGACAGAAGAATTCTCAGTAACTTCCTTGTGTTGTGTGTATTCAACTCACAGAGTTGAACGATCCTTTACACAGAGCAGACTTGAAATACTCTTTTTGTGGAATTTGCAAGTGGAGATTTCAGCCGCTTTGAGGTCAATGGTAGAAAAGGGAATATCTTCGTATAGAAACTAGACAGAATGATTCTCAGAAACTCCTTTGTGATGTGTGCGTTCAACTCACAGAGTTTAACCTTTCTTTTCATAGAGCAGTTAGGAAACACTCTGTTTGTAAAGTCTGCACGTGGATATTTGGACTTCTTTGAGGCCTTCGTTGGAAACGGGTTTTTTTCATGTAAGGCTAGACAGAAGAATTTTCAGTAACTTCCTTGTGTTGTGTGTATTCAACTGACAGAGTTGAACTTTCATTTAAAGAGAGCAGATTTGTAACACTGTTTTTGAGGAATTTGCAAGTGGAGATTTCAAGCGATTTGCGGCCAAAGGCAGAAAAGGAAATGTCTTCGTATAAAAACTAGACAGAATCATTCTCAGAAACTGCTGCATGATGTGTGCGTTCAACTCTCAGAGTTTAACTTTTCTTTTCATTCAGCGGTTTGGAAACACTCTGTTTGTAAAGTCTGCACCTGGATATTTTGACGACTTAGACGCCTTCGTTGGAAACGGGTTTTTTTCATGTAAGGCTAGACAGAAGAATTCCCAGTAACTTCCTTGTGTTGTGTGCATTCAACTCAAAGAGTTGAACGTTCCATTAGACAGAGCAGATTTGAAACACTCTATTTGTGCAATTTGCAAGTGTAGATTTCAAGCGCTTTAAGGTCAATGGCAGAAAAGGAAATATCTTCGTTTCAACACAAGACAGAATCATTCTCACAAACTGCGTTGTGATGTGTTCGTTCAACTCACAGAGATTAACCTTTCTGTTCATAGAGCAGTTAGGAAACACTCTGTTTGTAAAGTCTGTAAGTGGATATTCTGACATCTTGTGGCCTTCGTTGGAAACGGGATTTCTTCATATTCTGCTAGACAGAAGAATTCTCAGTAACTTCCTTGTGTTGTGTGTATTCAACTCACAGAGTTGAACGATCCTTTACACAGGGCAGACTTGAAACACTCTTTTTGTGGAATTTGCAAGTGGAGATTTCAGCCGCTTTGAGGTCAATGGTAGAAAAGGGAATATCTTCGTTTAGAAACTAGACTGAATGATTCTCAGAAACTCCTTTGTGATGTGTGCGTTCAACTCACAGAGTTTAACCTTTCTTTTCATAGAGCAGTTAGGAAATACTCTGTTTGTAAAGTCTGCAAGTGGATATTCAGACATCCTTGAGGCTTTCGTTGGAAACGGGATTTCTTCATATTCTGCTAGAAAGAATAATTCTCAGTAACTTCCTTGTGTTGTGTGTATTCAACTCACAGTGTTGAACGATCCTTTACAGAGAGCAGACTTGAAACACTCTTTTTGTGGAATTTGCAAGTGGAGATTTCAGCCGCTTTGAGGTCAATGGTAGAATAGGAAATATCTTCCTATAGAAACTAGACAGAATCATTCTCAGAAACTGCTCTGTGATGTGTGCGTTCAACTCTCAGAGTTTAACTTTTCTTTTCATTCAGCAGTGTGGAAAAACTCTGTTTCTAAAGTCTGCACGTGGATATTCTGACCACTTAGAGGCCTTCGTTGGAAACGGGTTTTTTTCCTGTAAGGCTAGACAGAAGAATTCCCAGTAACTTCCTTGTGTTGTGTGCATTCAACTCACAGAGTTGAACGTTCCCTTAGACAGAGCAGATTTGAAACACTCTATTTGTGCAATTTGCAAGTGTAGATTTCCAGCTCTTTATGGTCAACGGCAGAAAAGGAAATATCTTCGTTTCAAAACTAGACAGAATGATTCTCAGAAACTCCTTTGTGATGTGTGCGTTCAACTCACAGAGTTTAACCTTTCTTTTCATAGAGCAGTTAGGAAACACTCTGTTTGTAAAGTCTGCAAGTGGATATTCAGACATCCTTGAGGCTTTCGTTGGAAACGGGATTTCTTCATATTCTGCTGGAAAGAAGAATTCTCAGAATCTTCCTTGTGTTGTGTGTATTCAACTCACAGAGTTGAACGATGATTTACACAGAGCAGATTTGAAACACTCTTTTTGTGGAATTTGCAAGTGGAGATTTCAGCCGCTTTGAGGTCAGTGGTAGAAAAGGAAATATCTTCATATAAAAATTAGACAGAATGATTCTCAGAAACTCCTTTGTGATGTGTGCGTTCAACTCACAGAGTTTAACCTTTCTTTTCATAGAGCAGTTAGGAAACACTCTGTTTGTAAAGTCTGCAAGTGGATATTCTGACCTCCTTGAGGCCTTCGTGGGAAACGGGATTTCTTCATATTCTGCTAGACAGAAGAATTCTCAGTAACTTCCTTGTGTTGTGTGTATTCAACTGACAGAGTTGAACTTTCATTTAGAGAGAGCAGATTTATAACACTGTTTTTGTGGAATTTGCAAGTGGAGATTTCAAGCGCTTTGGGGCCAAAGGCAGAACAGGAAATATCTTCGTATAAAAACTAGACAGAATCATTCTCAGAAAATGCTCTGTGATGTGTGCATTCAACTCTCAGAGTTTAACGTTTCTTTTCATTCAGCAGTTTGGAAACACTCTGTTTGTAAAGTCTGCACGTGGATATTTTGACCACTTAGAGGCCTTCGTTGGAAACGGGTTTTTTTCATGTAAGGGTAGACAGAAGAATTCCCAGTAACTTGCCTTGTGTTGTGTGCATTCAACTCACAGAGCTGAACGTTCCCTTAGACAGAGCAGATTTGAAACACTCTATTTGTGCAATTTGCAAGTGTAGATTTCAAGCGCTTTAAGGTCAATGGCAGAAAAGGAAATATGCTTCGTTTCAAAACTAGACAGAATGATTCTCAGAAACTCCTTTGTGATGTGTGCGTTCAACTCACAGAGTTTAACCTTTCTTTTTATAGAGCAGTTAGGAAACACTCTCTAAAGTCTGCAAGTGGATATTCAGACCTCCTTGACGTCTTCGTTGGAAACGGGATTTCTTCATATTCTGCTAGACAGAAGAATTCTCAGTAACTTCCTTGTATTGTGTGTATTCAACTCACAGAGTTGAACGATCCTTTACACAGAGCAGACTTGAAACACTCTCTTTGTGGAATTTGCAAGTGGAGATTTCAGCCGCTTTGAGGTCAATGGTAGAATAGGAAATATCTTCCTATAGAAACAAGACAGAATGATTCTCAGAAACTCCTTTGTGATGTGTGCGTTCAACTCACAGAGTTTAACCTTTCTTTTCATAGAGCAGTTAGGAAACACTCTGTTTGTAATGTCTGCAGGTGGATATTCAGACATCTTTGAGGCTTTCGTTGGAAACGGGATTTCTTCATATTCTGCTATACAGAAGAATTCTCATTAACTTCCTTGTGTTGTGTGTATTCAACTGACAGAGTTGAACTTTCATTTAGAGAGAGCAGATTTGAAACACTGTTTTTGTGGAATTTGCAAGTGGAGATTTCAAGCGCTTTGGGGCCAAAGGCAGAAAAGGAAATATCTTCGTATAAAAACTAGACAGAATCATTCTCAGAAAACTGCTGCGTGATGTGTGCGTTCAACTCTCAGAGTTTAACTTTTCTTTTCATTCAGCGGTTTGGAAACACTCTGTTTGTAAAGTCTGCACGTGGATATTTTGACCACTTAGAGGCCTTCGTTGGAAACGGGTTTTTTTTCATGTAAGGCTAGACAGAAGAATTCCCAGTAACTTCCTTGTGTTGTGTACATTCAATTCACAGAGTTGAACGTTCCCTTAGACAGAGCAGATTTGAAACACTCTTTTTGTGCAATTGGCAAGTGGAGATTTCAAGCGCTTTAAGGTCAATGGCAGAAAAGGAAATATCTTCGTTTCAAAACTAGACAGAATCATTCCCACAAACTGCGTTGTGATGTGTTCGTTCAACCCACAGAGTTTAACCTTTCTGTTCATAGAGCAGTTAGGAAACACTCTGTTTGTAAAGTCTGAAAGTGGATATTCTGACATCTTGTGGCCTTCGTTGGAAACGGGATTTCTTCATATTCTGCTAGACAGAAGAATTCTCAGTAACTTCCTTGTGTTGTGTGTATTCAACTCACAGAGTTGAACGATCCTTTACAGAGAGCAGACTTGAAACACTCTTTTTGTGGAATTTGCAAGTGGAGATTTCAGCCGCTTTGAGGTCAATAGTAGAATAGGAAATATCTTCGTAGAAAAACTAGACAGAATGATTCTCAGTAACTCCTTTGTGATGTGTGCGTTCAACTCACAGAGTTTAACCTTTCTTTTCATAGAGCAGTTAGGAAACACTCTGTTTGTAGAGTCTGCAAGTGGATATTCAGACCTCCTTGAGGCCTTCGTTGGAAACGGGATTTCTTCCTATTATGCTAGACAGAAGAATTCTCGGGAACTTCCTTGTGTTGTGTGTATTCAACTGACAGAGTTGAACTTTCATTTAGAGAGAGCAGATTTGAAACACTGTTTTTGTGGAATTTGCAAGTGGAGATTTCAAACGCTTTGGGGCCAAAGGCAGAAAAGGAAATATATTCCTATAAAAACTAGACAGAATCATTCTCAGAAACTGCTGCGTGATGTGTGCGTTCAACTCTCAGAGTTTAACTTTTCTTTTCATTCAGCGGTTTGGAAACACTCTGTTTGTAAAGTCTGCCCGTGGATATTTTGACCACTTAGAGGCCTTCGTGGGAAACGGGTTTTTTTCACGTAAGGCTAGACAGAAGAATTCCCAGTAACTTCCTTGTGTTGTGTGCATTCAACTCACAGAGTTGAACGTTCCCTTAGACAGAGCAGATTTGAAATACTCTATTTGTGCAATTTGCAAGTGTAGATTTCAAGCGCTTTAAGGTCAACGGCAGAAAAGGAAATATCTTCGTTTCAAAACTAGACAGAATGATTCTCAGAAACTTCATTGTGACGTGTGCGTTCAACTCACAGAGTTTAACCTTTCTTTTCATAGAGCAGTTAGGAAACACTCTGTTTGTAAAGTCTGCATGTGGATATTCAGACCTCTTTGAGGCCTTCGTTGGAAACGGGATTTCTTCATACTGTGCTAGACAGAAGAATTCTCAGTAACTTCCTTGTGTTGTGTGTATTCAACTCACAGAGTTGAACGATCCTTTACACAGAGCGGACTTGAAACACACTTTTTGTGGAATTTGCAAGTGGAGATTTCAGCCGCGTTGAGGTCAATGGTAGAAAAGGAAATATCTTCGTATAAAAACTAGACAGAATGATTCTCAGAAACTCCTTTGTGATGTGTGCGTTCAACTCACAGAGTTTAACCTTTCTTTTCATAGAGCAGTTAGGAAACACTCTGTTTGTAAAGTCTGCAAGTGGATTCTCAGTCCTCTTTGAGGCTTTCTTTGGAAACGGCATTTCTTCATATTATGCTAGACAGAAGAATTCCCAGTAACTTCATTGTGTTGTGTGTGTTCAACTCACAGAGTTGAACTTCCATTTACACAGAGCAGATTTGAAACACTCTTTTTGTGGAATTTGCAAGTGGAGATTTCAAGCGATTTGAGGCCAAAGGCAGAAAAGGAAATATCTTCGTTTCAAAACTAGACAGAATCATTCTCAGAAACTGCTGCGTGATGTGTGCGTTCAACTCTCAGAGTTTAACTTTTCTTTTCATTCAGCGGTTTGGAAACACTCTGTTTGTAAAGTCTGCACGTGGAAATTTTGACCACTTAGATGCCTTCGTTGGAAACGGGTTTTTTTCATGTAAGGCTAGACAGAAGAATTCCCAGTAACTTCCTTGTGTTGTGTGCATTCAACTCACAGAGTTGAACGTTCCCTTAGACAGAGCAGATTTGAAAAACTCTATTTGTGCAATTTGCAAGTGTAGATTTCAAGCGCTTTAAGGTCAACGGCAGAAAAGGAAATATCTTCGTTTCAAAACTAGACAGAATCATTCCCACAAACTGCGTTGTGAAGTGTTCGTTCAACTCACAGAGTTTAACCTTTCTGTTCATAGAGCAGTTAGGAAACACTCTGTTTGTAAAGTCTGTAAGTGGATATTCTGACATCTTGTGGCCTTCGTTGGAAAAGGGATTTCTTCATATTCTGCTAGACAGAAGAATTCTCAGTAACTTCCTTGTGTTGTGTGTATTCAACTCACAGAGTTGAACGATCCTTTACACAGAGCAGACTTGAAACACTCTTTTTGTGGAATTTGCAAGTGGAGATTTCAGCCGCTTTGGGGTCAATGGTAGAAAAGGAAATATCTTCGTATAAAAACTAGACAGAATGATTCTCAGAAACTCCTTTGTGATGTGTGCGTTCAACTCACAGAGTTCAACCTTTCTTTTCATAGAGCAGTTGGGAAACACTCTGTTTGTAATGTCTGCAAGTGGATATTCAGACTTCTTTGAGGCCTTCGTTGGAAGCGGGATTTCTTCATGTTCTGCTAGACAGAAGAATTCTCAGTAACTTCCTTGTGTTGTGTGTATTCAACTCACACAGTTGAACGATCCTTTACACAGAGCAGACTTGTAACACTCTTTTTGTGGAATTTGCAAGTGGAGATTTCAGCCGCTTTGAAGTCAAAGGTAGAAAAGGAAATAACTTCCTATAAAAACTAGACAGAATGATTCTCAGAAACTCCTTTGTGATGTGGGTGTTCAACTCACAGAGTTTAACCTTTCTTTTCGTAGAGCAGTTAGGAAACACTGTGATTGTAAAGTCTGCAAGTGGATATTCCGACCTCTTTGAGGCCTTCGTTGGAAACGGGTTTTTTTCATATAAGACTAGACAGAAGAATTCTCAGTAACTTCCTTGTGTTGTGTGTATTCAACTGACAGAGTTGAACTTTCATTTAGAGAGAACAGATTTGAAACACTGTTTTTGTGGAATTTGCAAGTGGAGATTTCAAGCGCTTTGGGGCCAAAGGCAGAAAAGGGAATATCTTCGTAGAAAAACAAGACAGAATCATTCTCAGAAACTGCTCTGCGATGTGTGCGTTCAACTCTCAGAGTTTAACTTTTCTTTTCATTCAGCAGTTTGGAAACACTCTGTTTGTAAAGTCTGCACGTGGATATTTTGACCACTTAGAGGCCTTCGTTGGAAACGAGTTTTTTTCCTGTAAGGCTAGACAGAAGAATTCCCCGTAACTTCCTTGTGTTGTGTGCATTCAACTCACAGAGTTGAACGTTCCCTTAGACAGAGCAGATTTGAAACACTCTATTTGTGCAATTTGCAAGTGTAGATTTCAAGCGCTTTAAGGTCAATGGCAGAAAAGGAAATATCTTCGTTTCAAAACTAGACAGAATCATTCCCACAAACTGCGTTGTGATGTGTTCGTTCAACTCACAGAGTTTAACCTTTCCGTTCATAGAGCAGTTAGGAAACACTCTGTTTGTAAAGTCTGTAAGTGGATATTCTGACATCTTGTGGCCATCGTTGGAAACGGGATTTCTTCATATTCTGCTAGACAGAAGAATTCTCAGTAACTTCCTTGTGTTGTGTGCATTTAACTCACAGAGTTGAACGATCCTTTACACAGAGCAGACTTGAAACACTCTTTTTGTGGAATTTGCAAGTGGAGATTTCAGCCGCTTTGAGGTCAATGGTAGAAAAGGAAATATCTTCGTATAAAGACTAGACAGAATCATTCTCAGAAAGTCCTTTGTGATGTGTGTGTTCAACTCACAGAGTTTAACCTTTCTTTTCATAGAGCAGTTAGTAAACACTCTGTTTATAAAGTCTGCAAGTGGATATTCAGACCCCTTTGAGGCCTTCGTTGGAAACGGGATTTCTTCATATTATGCTAGACAGAAGAATTCCCAGTAACTTCCTTGTGTTGTGTGTGTTCAACTCACAGAGTTGAACTTCCATTTACACAGAGCAGATTTGAAACACTCTTTTTGTGGAATTTGCAAGTGGAGATTTCAAGCGATTTGAGGCCAAAGGCAGAAAAGGAAATATCTTCGTTTCAAAACTAGACAGAATCATTCTCAGAAACTGATGCGTGATGTGTGCGTTCAACTCTCAGAGTTTAACTTTTCTTTTCATTCAGGGGTTTGGAAACACTCTGTCTGTAAAGTCTGCACGTGGATATTTTGACCACTTAGAGGCCTTCGTTGGAAAAGGGTTTTTTTCATGTAAGGCTAGACAGAAGAATTCCCAGTAACTTCCTTGTGTTGTGTGCATTCAACTCACAGAGTTGAACGTTCCCTTAGACAGAGCACATTTGAAACACTCTATTTGTGCAATTTGCAATTGTAGATTTCAAGCGCTTTAAGGTCAATGGCAGAAAAGGAAATATCTTCGTTTTAAAACTAGACAGAATCATTCCCACAAACTGCGTTGTGATGTGTTCGTTCAACTCACAGAGTTTTACCTTTCTGTTCATAGAGCAGTTAGGAAACACTCTGTTTGTAAAGTCTGTAAGTGGATATTCTGACATCTTGTGGCCTTCGTTGGAAATGGGATTTCTTCATATTCTGCTAGACAGAAGAATTCTCAGTAACTTCCTTGTGTTGTGTGTATTCAACTCACAGAGTTGAACGATCCTTTACACAGAGCAGACTTGAAACACTCTTTTTGTGGAATTTGCAAGTGTAGATTTCAGCCGCTTTGAGGTCAATAGTAGAAAAGGAAATATCTTCGTAGAAAAACTAGACAGAATGATTCTCAGAAACTCCTTTGTGATGTGTGCGTTCAACTCACAGAGTTTAACCTTTCTTTTCATAGAGCAGTTAGGAAACACTCTGTTTGTAAAGTCTGCAAGTGGATATTCAGACCTCTTTGAGGCCTTCGTTGGAAACGGGTTTTTTTCTTGTAAGGCTAGACAGAAGAATTCCCAGTAACTTCCTTGTGTTGTATACATTCAACTCACAGAGTTGAACGTTCCCTTAGACAGAGCAGATTTGAAACACTCTTTTTGTGCAATTGGCAAGTGGTGATTTCAGCCGCTTTGAGGTCAATGGTAGAAAAGGGAATATCTTCGTATAAAAACTAGACAGAATCATTCTCAGAAACTGCTCTGCGATGTGTGCGTTCAACTCTCACAGTTTAACTTTTCTTTTCATTCAGCAGTTTGGAAACACTCTGTTTGTAAAGTCTGCACGTGGATAATTTGACCACTTAGAGGCCTTCGTTGGAAACGGGTTATTTTCATGTAAGTCTAGACAGAAGAATTCCCAGTAACTTCCTTGTGTTGTGTGCATTCAACTCACAGAGCTGAACGTTCCCTTAGACAGAACAGATTTGAAACACTCTATTTGTGCAATTTGCAAGTGTAGATTTCAAGCGCTTTAAGGTCAACGGCAGAAAAGGAAATATCTTCGTTTCAAAACTAGACAGAATCATTCCCACAAACTGCGTTGTGATGTGTTCGTTCAACTCACAGAGTTTAACCTTTCTGTTCATAGAGCAGTTAGGAAACACTCTGTTTGTAAAGTCTGCAAGTGGATATTCTGACATCTTGTGGCCTTCGTTGGAAACGGGATTTCTTCCTATTCTGCTAGACAGAAGAATTCTCAGTAACTTCCTTGTGTTGTGAGTATTCAACTCACAGATTTGAACGATCCTTTACACAGAGCAGACTTGAAACACTCTTTTTGTGGAATTTGCAAGTGGAGATTTCAGCCTCTTTGAGGTCAATGGTAGAATAGGAAATATCTTCCTATAGAAACTAGACAGAATGATTCTCAGAAACTCCTTTGTGATGTGTGCGTTCAACTCAGAGAGTTTAACCTTTCTTTTCATAGAGCAGTTAGGAAACACTCCGTTTGTAAAGACTGCAAGTGGATATTCAGACCTCTTTGAGGCCTTCTTTGGAAACGGGATTTCTTCATATTATGCTAGACAGAAGAATTCTCAGTAACTTCCTTGTGTTGTGTGTATTCAACTGACAGAGTTGAACTTTCATTTAGAGAGAGCAGATTTGAAACACTGTTTTTGTGGAATTTGCAAGTGGAGATTTCAAGCGCTTTGGGGCCAAAGGCAGAAAAGGAAATATCTTCGTAGAAAAACTAGACAGAATCATTCTCAGAAACTGCTCTGCGATGTGTGCGTTCAACTCTCAGAGTTTAACTTTTCTTTTCATTCAGAAGTTTGGAAACACTCTGTTTGTAAAGTCTGCACGTGGATAACTTGACCACTTAGAGGCCTTCGTTGGAAACGGGTTTTTTTCATGTAAGGCTAGACAGAAGTATTCCCAGTAACTTCCTTGTGTTGTGTACATTCAACTCACAGAGTTGAACGTTCCCTTAGACAGAGCAGATTTGAAACACACTTTTTGTGCAATTGGCAAGTGGAGATTTCAAGCGCTTTAAGGTCAATGGCAGAAAAGGAAATATCTTCGTTTCAAAACTAGACAGAATCATTCCCACAAACTGCGTTGTGATGTGTTCGTTCAACTCACAGAGTTTAACCTTTCTTTTCATAGAGCAGTTAGGAAACAGTCTGTTTGTAAATTCTGTAAGTGGATATTCTGACATCATGTGGCCTTCATTGGAAACGGGATTTCTTCATATTCTGCTAGACAGAAGAATTCCCAGTAACTTCCTTGTGTTGTGTGTATTCAACTCACAGAGTTGACCGATCCTTTACACAGAGCAGACTTGTAACACTCTTTTTGTGGAATTTGCAAGTGGAGATTTCAGCCGCTTTGAAGTCAAAGGTAGAAAAGGGAATATCTTCCTATAAAAACTAGACAGAATGATTCTCAGAAACTCCTTTGTGATGTGTGTGTTCAACTCACAGAGTTTAACCTTTCTTTTCATAGAGCAGCTAGTAAACACTCTGTTTATAAAGTCTGCAAGTGGATATTCAGACCCCTTTGAGGCCTTCTTTGGAAACGGGATTTCTTCATATTCTGCTAGACAGAAGAATTCTCAGTAACTTCCTTGTGTTGTGTGTATTCAACTGACAGAGTTGAACTATCATTTAGAGAGAGCAGATTTGAAACACTGTTTTTGTGGAATTGGCAAGTGGAGATTTCAAGCGCTTTGGGGCCAAAGGCAGAAAAGGAAATATCTTCGTATAAAAACTAGACAGAATCATTCTCAGAAACTGCTCTGCGATGTGTGCGTTCAACTCTCAGAGTTTAACTTTTCTTTTCATTCAGCAGTTTGGAAACACTCTGGTTGTAAAGTCTGCACGTGGATAACTTGACCACTTAGAGGCCTTCGTTGGAAACGGGTTTTTTTACCTGTAAGGCTAGACAGAAGAATTCCCAGTAACTTCCTTGTGTTGTGTACATTCAACTCACAGAGTTGAACGTTCCCTTAGACAGAGCAGATTTGAAACACTCTTTTTTTGCAATTGGCAAATGGAGATTTCAAGCGCTTTAAGGTCAATGGCAGAAAAGGAAATATCTTCGTTTCAAAACTAGACAGAATGATTCTCAGAAACTCTTTTGTGATGTGTGCGTTCAACTCACACAGTTTAACCTTTCTTTTCATAGAGCAGTTAGGAAACACTGTTTGTAAAGTCTGCAAGTGGATATTCAGACCTCCTTGAGGCCTTCGTTGGAAACGGGATTTCTTCATATTATGCTAGACAGAAGAATTCTCAGTAACTTCCTTGTGTTGTGTGTATTCAACTCACAGAGTTGAACGATCCTTTACACAGAGCAGACTTGAAACACTCTTTTTGTGGAATTTGCATATGGAGACTTCAGCCGCTTTGAGGTCAATGGTAGAATAGGAAATATCTTCCTATAGAAACTAGACAGAATGATTCTCAGAAACTTCTTTGTGATGTGTGCGTTCAACTCACAGAGTTTAACCTTTCTTTTCATAGAGCAGTTAGGAAACACTCTGTTTGTAAACTCTGCAAGTGGATGTTCAGACCTCTTTGAGGCCTTGGTTGGAAACGGGATTTCTTCATACTATGCTAGACAGAAGAATTCTCAGTAACTTCCTTGTGTTGTTTGTATTCAACTGACAGAGTTGAACTTTCATTTAGAGAGAGCAGATTTGAAACACTGTTTTTGTGGAATTTGCAAGTGGAGATTTCAAGCGCTTTGGGGCCAAAGGCAGAAAAGGAAATATCTTCGTATAAAAACTAGACAGAATCATTCTCAGAAACTGCTGCGTGATGTGTGCGTTCAACTCTCAGAGTTTAACTTTTCTTTTCATTCAGCGGTTTGGAAACACTCTGTAAAGTCTGCACGTGGATATTTTGACCACTTAGATGCCTTCGTTGGAAACGGGTTTTTTTCATGTAAGGCTAGACAGAAGAATTCCCAGTAACTTCCTTGTGTTGTGTGCATTCAACTCACAGAGTTGAACGTTCCCTTAGACAGAGCAGATTTGAAACACTCTATTTGTGCAATTTGCAAGTGTAGATTTCAAGCGCTTTAAGGTCAATGGCAGAAAAGGAAATATCTTCGTTTCAAAACTACAGAGAATCATTCCCCCAAACTGCGTTGTGATGTGTTCGTTCAACTCACAGAGTTTAACCTTTCTTTTCATAGAGCAGTTAGGAAACAGTCTGTTTGTCAATTCTGTAAGTGGATATTCTGACATCTTGTGGCCTTCGTTGGAAACGGGATTTCTTCATATTCTGCTAGACAGAAGAATTCTCAGTAACTTCCTTGTGTTGTGTGTATTCAACTCACAGGGTTGAACGATCCTTTACACAGAGCAGACTTGTAACACTCTTTTTGTGGAATTTGCAAGTGGAGATTTCAGCCGCTTTGAAGTCAAAGGTAGAAAAGGAAATATCTTCCTATAAAAACTAGACAGAATGATTCTCAGAAACTTCTTTGTGATGTGTGCGTTCAACTCACAGAGTTTAACCTTTCTTTTCATAGAGCAGTTAGGAAACACTCTGTTTGTAAACTCTGCAAGTGGATATTGAGACCTCTTTGAGGCCTTCGTTGGAAACGGGATTTCTTCATACTGTGCTAGACAGAAGAATTCTCAGTAACTTCCTTGTGTTGTGTGTATTCAGCTGACAGAGTTGAACTATCATTTAGAGAGAGCAGATTTGAAACACTGTTTTTGTGGAATTGGCAAGTGGAGATTTCAAGCGCTTTGGGGCCAAAGGCAGAAAAGGAAATATCTTCGTATAAAAACTAGACAGAATGATTCTCAGAAACTGCTCTGCGATGTGTGCGTTCAACTCTCAGAGTTTAACTTTTCTTTTCATTCAGCAGTTTGGAAACACTCTGTTTGTAAAGTCTGCACGTGGATAATTTGACCACTTAGAGGCCTTCGTTGGAAACGGGTTTTTTTCATGTAAGGCTAGACAGAAGAATTCTCAGTAACTTCCTTGTGTTGTGTGTATTCAACTCACAGAGTTGAACGATCCTTTACACAAAGCAGACTTGTAACACTCTTTTTCTGGAATTTGCAAGTGGAGATTTCAGCCGCTTTGAAGTCAAAGGTAGAAAAGGAAATATCTTCCTATAAAAACTAGACAGAAATCATTCCCACAAACTGCGTTGTGATGTGTTCGTTCAACTCACAGTAGTTTAACCTTTCTGTTCATAGAGCAGTTAGGAAACACTCTGTTTGTAAAGTCTGTAAGTGGATATTCTGACATCTTGTGGCCTTCGTTGGAAACGGGATTTCTTCATATTCTGCTAGACAGAAGAATTCTCAGTAACTTTCCTTGTGTTGTGTGTATTCAACTCACAGAGTTGAACGATCCTTTACACAGAGCAGACTTGAAACATTCTTTTTGTGGAATTTGCAAGTGGAGATTTTAGCCGCTTTGAGGTCAATGGTAGAATAGGAAATATGTTCCTATAGAAACTAGACAGAATGATTCTCATAAACTCCTTTGTGATGTGTGCGTTCAACTCACAGAATTTAACCTTTCTTTTCATAGCGCAGTTAGGAAACACTCTGTTTGTAAAGTCTGCAAGTGGATATTCAGACATCTTTTAGGCCTTCGTTGGAAACGGGATTTCTTCATATTATGCTAGACAGAAGAATTCTCAGTAACTTCCTTGTGTTGTGTTTATTCAACTCACAGATTTGAATGATCCTTTACACAGAGCAGACTTGAAACACCCTTTTTGTGGAATTTGCAAGTGGAGATTTCAGCCGATTTGAAGTCAATGGTAGAAAAGTAAATATCTTCGTATAAAGACTAGACAGAATCATTCTCAGAAACTGCTGCGTGATGTGTGCGATCAACTCTCAGAGTTTAACTTTTCTTTTCATTCAGCGGTTTGGAAACACTCTGTTTGTAAAGTCTGCACGTGGAAATTTTGACCACTTAGAGACCTTCGTTGGAAACGGGATTTTTTCATGTAAGGCTAGACAGAAGAATTCCCAGTAACTTCCTTGTGTTGTGTACATTCAACTCACAGAGTTGAACGTTCCCTTAAACAGAGCAGATTTGAAACACTCTTTTTGTGCAATTGGCAAGTGGAGATTTCAAGCGCTTTGAGGTCAATGGCAGAAAAGGAAATATCTTCGTTTCAAAACTAGACAGAATGATTCTCAGAAAACTCCTTTGTGATGTGTGCGTTCAACTCACAGAATTTAACTTTTCTTTTCATAGAGCAGTTAGGAAACACTCTGTATGTAAAGTCTGCAAGTGGATATTCAGACCTCTTTTGAGGCCTTCGTTGGAAACGGGATTTCTTCATATTCTGCTAGACAGAATAATTCTCAGTAACTTCTTTGTGTTGTGTGTATTCAACTCACAGAGTTGAAGGATCCTTTACAGAGAGCAGGCTTGAAACACTCTTTTTGTCGAATTTGCAAGTGGAGATTTCAGCCGCTTTGAGGTCAATGGTAGAATAGGAAATATCTTCTTATAGAAACTAGACAGAATGATTCTCAGAAACTTCTTTGTGATGTGTGTGTTCAACTCACAGAGTTTAACCTTTCTTTTCATAGAGCAGTTAGGAAACACTCTGCTTGTAAAGTCTGCAAGTGGATATTCAGACCTCGTTGAGGCCTTCGTTGGAAACGGGATTTCTTCATATTCTGCTAGACAGAAGAATTCTCAGTAACTTCCTTGTGTTGTGTGTATTCAACTGACAGAGTTGAACTTTCATTTAGAGAGAGCAGATTTGAAACACTGTTTTTGTGGAATTTGCAAGTGGAGATTTCAAGCGCTTTGGGGCCAAAGGCAGAAAAGGAAATATCTTCGTATAACAACTAGACAGAATCATTCTCAGAAACTGCTGCGTGATGTGTGCGTTCAACTCTCAGCAGTTTAACTTTTCTTTTCATTCAGCGGTTTGGAAACACTCTGTTTGTAAAGTCTGCACGTGGATATTTTGACCACTTAGAGACCTTCGTTGGAAACGGGTTTTTTTCATGTAAGGCTAGACAGAAGAATTCCCAGTAACTTCCTTGTGTTGTGTGCATTCAACTCACAGAGTTGAACGTTCCCTTAGACAGAGCAGATTTGAAACACTCTATTTGTGCAATTTGCAAGTGTAGTTTTCAAGCTCTTTGAGGTCAACGGCAGAAAAGGAAATATCTTCGTTTCAAAACTAGACAGAATCATTCCCACAAACTGCGTTGTGATGTGTTCGTTCAACTCACAGAGTTTAACCTTTCTGTTCATAGAGCAGTTAGGAAACACTCTGTTTGTAAAGTCTGTAAGTGGATATTCTGACATCTTGTGGCCTTCGTTGGAAACGGGATTTCTTCATATTCTGCTAGACAGAAGAATTCTCAGTAACTTCCTTGTGTTGTGTGTATTCAACTCACAGAGTTGAACGTTCCTTTACACAGAGCGGACTTGAAACACTCTTTTTGTGGAATTTGCAAGTGGAGATTTCAGCCGCTTTGAGGTCAATGGTAGAAAAGGAAATATCTTCCTATAAAAACTAGACAGAATGATTCTCAGAAACTCCTTTGTGATGTGTGCGTTCAACACACAGAGTTAAACTTTTCTTTTCATAGAGCAGTTAGGAAACACTCTGTTTGTAAAGTCTGCAAGTGGATATTCAGACCTCTTTGAGGCCTTCGTTGGAAACGAGATTTCTTCATATTATGCTAGACAGAAGAATTCTCAGTAACTTTCTTGTGTTGTGTGTATTCAACTGTGAGAGTTGAACTTTCATTTAGAGAGACCAGATTTGAAACACTGTTTTTGTGGAATTTGCAAGTGGAGATTTCAAGCGCTTTGGGGCCAAAGGCAGAAAAGGAAATATCTTCGTATAAAAACTAGACAGAATCATTCTCAGAAACTGCTCTGCGATGTGTGCGTTCAACTCTCAGAGTTTAAATTTGCTTTTCATTCAGCAGTTCGGAAACACTCTGTTTGTAAAGTCTGCACGTGGATAATTTGACCACTTAGAGGCCTTCGTTGGAAACGGGTTTTTTTCATGTAAGGCTAGACAGAAGAATTCCCAGTAACTTCCTTGTGTTGTGTGCATTCAACTCACAGAGTTGAACGTTCCCTTAGAGCAGATTTGAAACACTCTATTTGTGCAATTTGCAAGTGTAGATTTCGAGCGCTTTAAGGTCAATGGCAGAAAAGGAAATATCTTCGTTTCAAAACTAGACAGAATCATTCCCACAAACTGCGTTGTGATGTGTTCGTTCAACTCACGGAGTTTAACCTTTCTGTTCATAGAGCAGTTAGGAAACACTCTGTTTGTAAAGTCTGCAAGTGGATATTCAGACCTCCTTGAGGCCTTCGTTGGAAACGGGATTTCTTCATATTCTGCTAGACAGAATAATTCTCAGTAACTTCCTTGTGTTGTGTGTATTCAACTCACAGACTTGAACAATCCTTTACACAGAGCCGACTTGAAACACTCTTTTTGTGGAATTTGCAAGTGGAGATTTCAGCCGCTTTGAGGTCAATGGTAGAAAAGGAAACATCTCCGTATAAAGACTAGACAGAATGATTCTCAGAAAATCCTTTGTGATGTGTGCGTTCAACTCACAGAGTTTAACTTTTCTTTTCATAGAGCAGTTAGGAAACACTCTGTTTGTAAAGTCTGCAAGTGGATATTCAGATCTCTTTGAGGCCTTCGTTGGAAACGGGATTTCTTCATATTCTGCTAGACAGAAGAATTCCCAGTAACTTCCTTGTGTTGTGTGTGTTCAACTCACAGAGATGAACTCTCATTTACACAGAGCAGAGTTGAAACACTCTTTTTGTGGAATTTGCAAGTGGAGATTTCAAGCGCTTTGAGGCCAAAGGCAGAAAAGGAAATATCTTCGTATAAAAACTAGACAGAATCATTCTCAGAAACTGCTCTGTGATGTGTGCGTTCAACTCTCAGAGTTTAACTTTTCTTTTCATTCAGCAGTTTGGAAACACTCTGTTTGTAAAGTCTGCACGTGGATATTTTGACCACTTAGAGGCCTTCGTTGGAAACGGGTTTTTTTCATGTAAGGGTAGACAGAAGAATTCCCAGTAACTTCCTTGTGTTGTGTGCATTCAACTCACAGAGTTGAACGTTCCCTTAGACAGAGCAGATTTGAAACACTCTATTTGTGCAATTTACAAGTGTAGATTTCAAGCGCTTTAAGGTCAACGGCAGAAAAGGAAATATCTTCGTTTCAAAACTAGACAGAATCATTCCCACAAACTGCGTTGTGATGTGTTCGTTCAACTCACAGAGTTTAACCTTTCTGTTCATAGAGCAGTTAGGAAACACTCTGTTTGTAAAGTCTGCAAGTGGATATTCAGACCTCCTAGAGGCCTTCGTTGGAAACGGGATTTCTTCATATTCTGCTAGACAGAAGAATTCTCAGTAACTTCATTGTGTTGTGTGTATTCAACTCACAGATTTCAACGATCCTTTACACAGAGCAGACTTGAAACACTCTTTTTGTGGAATTTGCAATTGGAGATTTCAGCCGCTTTGAGGTCAATGGTAGAATAGGAAATATCTTCCTATAGAAACTAGACAGAATGATTCTCATAAACTCCTTTGTGATGTGTGCGTTGAACTCACAGAGTTTAACCTTTCTTTTCATACAGCAGTTAGGAAACACTCTGTCTATAAAGTCTGCAAGTGGATATTCAGACCCCTTTGAGGCCTTCGTTGGAAACGGGATTTCTTCATATTATGCTAGACAGAAGAATTCTCACTAACTTCCTTGTGTTGTGTGTATTCAACTGACAGAGTTGAACTTTCATTTAGAGAGAGCAGATTTGAAACACTGTTTTTGTGGAATTTGCAAGTGGAGACTTCAAGCGCTTTGGGGCCAAAGGCAGAAAAGGAAATATCTTCGTATAAAAACTAGACAGAATCATTCTCAGAAACTGCTCTGCGATGTGTGCGTTCAACTCTCAGAGTTTAACTTTTCTTTTCATTCAGCAGTTTGGAAACACTCTGTTTGTAAAGTCTGCACGTGCATAATTTGACCACTTAGAGGCCTTCGTTGGAAACGGGTTTTTTTCATGTAAGGCTAGACAGAAGAATTCTCAGTAACTACCTTGTGTTGTGTGTATTCAACTCACAGAGTTGAACGATCCTTTACACAGAGCAGACTTGTAACACTCTTTTTGTGGAATTTGCAAGTGGAGATTTCAGCCGCTTTGAAGTCAAAGGTAGAAAAGGAAATATCTTCCTATAAAAACTAGACAGAATCATTCCCACAAACTGCTTTGTGATGTGTTCGTTCAACTCACAGAGTTTAACCTTTCTTTTCATAGAGCAGTTAGGAAACAGCTCTGTTTGTAAATTCTGTAAGTGGATATTCTGACATCTTGTGGCCTTCGTTGGAAACGGGATTTCTTCATATTCTGCTAGACAGAAGAATTCTCAGTAACTTCCTTGTGTTGTGTGTATTCAACTCACAGAGTTGAACGATCCTTTACACAGAGCAGACTTGAAACACTCTTTTTGTGGAATTTGCTAGTGGAGATTTCAGCCGCTTTGAGGTCAATAGTAGAAAAGGAAATATCTTCGTAGAAAAACTAGACAGAATGATTCTCAGAAACTTCATTGTGATGTGTGCGATCAACTCACAGAGTTTAACCTTTCTTTTCATAGAGCAGTTAGGAAACACTCTGTTTGTAAACTCTGCAAGTGGATATTCAGTCCTCTTTGAGGCCTTCGTTGGAAACGGGATTTCTTCATACTGTGCTAGACAGAGAATTCCCAGTAACTTCCTTGTGTTGTGTGTGTTCAACTCACAGAGTTGAACTTTCATTTACACAGAGCAGATTTGAAACACTCTTTTTGTGGAATTTGCAAGTGGAGATTTCAAGCGCTTTGAGGCCAAAGGCAGAAAAGGAAATATCTTCGTATAAAAACTAGACAGAATCATTCTCAGAAGCTGCTCTGCGATGTGTGCGTTCAACTCTCAGAGTTTAACTTTTCTTTTCATTCAGCAGTTTGGAAACACTCTGTTTGTAAAGTCTGCACGTGGATATTTTGACCACTTAGAGGCCTTCGTTGGAAACGGGTTTTTTTCCTGTAAGGCTAGACAGAAGAATTCCCAGTAACTTCCTTGTGTTGTGTACATTCAACTCACAGAGTTGAACGTTCCCTTAGACAGAGCAGATTTGAAACACTCTTTTTGTGCAATTGGCAAGTGGAGATTTCAAGCGCTTTGAGGTCAATGGCAGAAAAGGAAATATCTTCGTTTCAAAACTAGACAGAATCATTCCCACAAACTGCGTTGTGATGTGTTCGTTCAACTCACAGAGTTTAACCTTGCTTTTCATAGAGCAGTTAGGAAACAGTCTGTTTGTAAATTCTGTAAGTGGATATTCTGACATCTTGTGGCCTTCCTTGGAAACGGGATTTCTTCATATTCTGCTAGACAGAAGAATTGTCAGTAACTTCCTTGTGTTGTGTGTATTCAACTCACAGAGTTGAACGATCCTTTACAGAGAGCAGACTTGAAACACTCTTTTTGTGGAATTTGCAAGTGGAGATTTCAGCCGCTTTGAGGTCAATAGTAGAAAAGGAAATATCTTCGTAGAAAAACTAGACAGAATGATTCTCAGAAACTCCTTTGTGATGTGTGCGTTCAACTCACAGAGTTTAACCTTTCTTTTCATAGAGCAGTTAGGAAACACTCCGTTTGTAAAGTCTGCAAGTGGATATTCAGACCTCTTTGAGGCCTTCGTTGGAAACGGGTTTTTTCCATATAAGGCTAGACAGAAGAATTCTCAGTAACTTCCTTGTGTTGTGTGTATTCAACTGACAGAGTTGAACGTTCATTTAGAGAGAGCAGATTTGAAACACTGTTTTTGTGGAATTTGCAATTGGAGATTTCAAGCGCTTTGGGGCCAAAGGCAGAAAAGGAAATATCTTCGTATAAAAACTAGACAGAATCATTCTCAGAAACTGCTCTGTGATGTGTGCGTTCAACTCTCAGAGTTTAACTTTTCTTTTCATTCAGCACTTTGGAAACACTCTGTTTGTAAAGTCTGCACGTGGATATTTTGACCACTTAGAGGCCTTCGTTGGAAACGGGTTTTTTTCCTGTAAGGCTAGACAGAAGAATTCCCAGTAACTTCCTTGTGTTGTGTGCATTCAACTCACAGAGATGAACGTTCCCTTAGACAGAGCAGATTTGAAACACTCTATTTGTGCAATTTGCAAGTGTAGATTTCAAGCGCTTTAAGGTCAACGGCAGAAAAGGAAATATCTTCGTTTCAAAACTAGACAGAATGATTCTCAGAAACTCCTTTGTGATGTGTGCGTTCAACTCACAGACTTTAACCTTTCTTTTCATAGAGCAGTTAGGAAACACTCTGTTTGTAAAGTCTGCAAGTGGATATTCAGACATCCTTGAGGCTTTCGTTGGAAACGGGATTTCTTCATATTCTGCTAGAAAGATGAATTCTCAGTAACTTCCTTGTGTTGTGTGTATTCAACTCACAGAGTTGAACGATCCTTTACACAGAGCAGATTTGAAACACTGTTTTTCTGGAATTTGCAAGTGGAGATTTCAGCCGCTTTGAGGTCAATGGTAGAAAAGGAAATATCTACGTATAAAAACTAGACAGAATGATTCTCAGAAACTCCTTTGTGATGTGTGCGTTCAACTCACAGAGTTCAAACTTTCTTTTCATAGAGCAGTTGGGAAACACTCTGTTTGTAAAGTCTGCAAGTGGATATTCAGACTTCTTTGAGGCCTTCGTTGGAAGCGGGATTTCTTCATATTATGCTAGACAGAAGAATTCCCAGTAACTTCCTTGTGTTGTGTGTGTTCAACTCACAGAGTTGAACTTTCATTTACACAGAGCAGATTTGAAACACTCTTTTTGAGGAATTTGCAAATGGAGATTTCAAGCGCTTTGAGGCCAAAGGCAGAAAATGAAATATCGTCGTATAAAAACTAGACAGAATCATTCTCAGAAACTGCTCTGCGATGTGTGCGTTCAACTCTCAGAGTTTAACTTTTCTTTTCATTCAGCAGTTTGGAAACACTCTGTTTGTAAAGTGTGCACGTGGATATTTTGACCACTTAGAGGCCTTCGTTGGAAACGGGTTTTTTTCCTGTAAGGCTAGACAGAAGAATTCCCAGTAACTTCCTTGTGTTGTGTACATTCAACTCACAGAGTTGAACGTTCCCTTAGACAGAGCAGATTTGAAACACTCTTTTTGTGCAATTGGCAAGTGGAGATTTCAAGCGCTTTAAGGTCAATGGCAGAAAAGGAAATATCTTCGTTTCAAAACTAGGCAGAATCATTCCCACAAACTGCGTTGTGATGTGTTCGTTCAACTCACAGAGTTTAACCTTTCTGTTCATAGAGCAGTTAGGAAACACTCTGTAAAGTCTGTAAGTGGATATTCTGACATCTTGTGGCCTTCGTTGGAAACGGGATTTCTTCATATTCTGCTAGACAGAAGAATTCTCAGTAACTTCCTTGTGTTGTGTGTATTCAACTCACAGAGTTGAACTATCCTTTACACAGAGCAGACTTGTAACACTCTTTTTGTGGAATTTGCAAGTGGAGATTTCAGCCGCTTTGAAGTCAAAGGTAGAAAAGGAAATATCTTCCTATAAAAACTAGACAGAATGATTCTCAGAAACTCCTTTGTGATGTGTGCGTTCAACTCACAGAGTTTAACTTTTCTTTTCATAGAGCAGTTGGGAAACACTCTGTTTGTAAAGTCTGCAAGTGGATATTCAGACCTCTTTGAGGCCTTCGTTGGAAACGGGATTTTTTCATATTATGCTAGACAGAAGAATTCCGAGTAACTTCCTTGTGTTGTGTGTGTTCAACTCACAGAGTTGAACTTTCATTTACACAGAGCAGATTTGAAACACTCTTTTTGTGGAATTTGCAAGTGGAGATTTCAAGCGCTTTGAGGCCAAAGGCAGAAAAGGAAATATACTCCGTTTCAAAACTAGACAGAATCATTCTCAGAAACCGCTCTGTGATGTGTGCATTCAACTCTCAGAGTTTAACTTTTCTTTTCATTCAGCAGTTTGGAAACACTCTGTTTGTAAAGTCTGCACGTGGATATTTTGACCACTTAGACGCCTTCTTTTGAAACGGGTTTTTTTTCATGTAAGGCTAGACAGAAGCAATTCCCAGTAACTTCCTTGTGTTGTGTACATTCAACTCACAGAGTTGAACGTTACCTTAGACAGAGCAGATTTGAAACACTCTTTTTGTGCAATTGGCAAATGGAGATTTCAAGCGCTTTAAGGTCAATGGCAGAAAAGGAAATATCTTCGTTTCAAAACTAGACAGAATCATTCCCACAAACTGCGTTGTGATGTGTTCGTTCAACTCACAGAGTTTAACCTTTCTTTTCATAGAGCAGTTAGGAAACAGTCTGTTTGTCAATTCTGTAAGTGGATATTCTGACATCTTGTGGCCTTCTTTGGAAACGGGATTTCTTCATATTCTGCTAGACAGAAGAATTCTCAGTAACTTCCTTGTGTTGTGTGTATTCAACTCACAGCAATTTAACGATCCTTTACACAGAGCAGACTTGAAACACTCTTTTTGTGGAATTTGCAAGTGGAGATTTCAGCCGCTTTGTGGTCAATGATAGAAAAGGAAATATCTTCGTATAAAAACTAGACAGAATGATTCTCAGAAACTCCTTTGTGATGTGTGCGTTCAACTCACAGAGTTTAACCTTTCTTTTCATAGAGCAGTTAGGAAACACTCTGTTTGTAAAGTCTGCAAGTAGATATT
Source organism: Homo sapiens (assembly GCF_000001405.40). Taxonomy (NCBI): domain Eukaryota; kingdom Metazoa; phylum Chordata; class Mammalia; order Primates; family Hominidae; genus Homo; species Homo sapiens. Next base: position 25,664,311 of record NC_000019.10, read on the forward strand.
CAGACATCTTTGAGGCTTTCGTTGGAAACGGGATTTCTTCATATTCTGCTAGACAGAAGAATTCCCAGTAACTTCCTTGTGTTGTGTGTGTTCAACTTCACAGAGTTGAACTTTCATTTACACAGAGCAGATTTGAAACACTCTTTTTGTGGAATTTGCAAGTGGAGATTTCAAGCGCTTTGAGGCCAAAGGCAGAAAAGGAAATATCTTCGTTTCAAAACTAGACAGAATCATTCTCAGAAACTGCTGCGTGATGTGTGCGTTCAACTCTCAGAGTTTAACTTTTCTTTTCATTCAGCGGTTTGGAAACACTGTGTTTGTAAAGTCTGCACGTGGATATTTTGACCACTTACAGGCCTTCGTTGGAAACGGGTTTTTTTCATGTAAGGCTAGACAGAAGAATTCCCAGTAACTTCCTTGTGTTGTGTACATTCAACTCACAGAGTTGAACGTTCCCTTAGACAGAGCAGATTTGAAACACTCTTTTTGTGCAATTGGCAAATGGAGATTTCAAGCGCTTTAAGTTCAATGGCAGAAAAGGAAATATCTTCGTTTCAAAACTAGACAGAATGATTCTCAGAAACTCCTTTGTGATGTGTGCGTTCAACTCACAGAGTTTAACCTTTCTTTTCATAGAGCAGTTAGGAAACACTCTGTTTGTGAAGTCTGCAAGTGGATATTCAGACCTCCTTGAGGCCTTCGTTGGAAACGGGATTTCTTCATATTCTGCTAGACAGAAGAATTCTCAGTAACTTCCTTGTGTTGTGTGTATTCAACTCACAGAGTTGAACGATCCTTTACACAGAGCAGACTTGAAACACTCTTTTTGTGGAATTTGCAAGTGGAGATTTCAGCCGCTGTGAGTTCAATGGTAGAATAGGAAATATCTTCCTATAGAAAGTAGACAGAATGATTCTCAGAAACTCCTTTGTGATGTGTGCGTTCAACTCACAGAGTTTAACCTTTCTTTTCATAGAGCAGTTAGGAAACACTCTGTTTGTAAAGTCTGCAAGTGGATATTCTGACCTCCTTGAGGCGTTCGTTGGAAAAGGGATTTCTTCATATTCTGCTAGACAGAATCATACTCAGAAACTGCTCTGCGATGTGTGCGTTCAACTCTCAGAGTTTAACTTTTCTTTTCATTCAGCAGTTTGGAAACACTCTGTTTGTGAAGTCTGCACGTGGATATTTTGACCACTTAGTGGCCTTCGTTGGAAACGGTTTTTTTTCCTGTAAGGCTAGACAGAAGAATTCCCAGTAACTTCCTTGTGTTGTGTACATTCAACTCACAGAGTTGAACGTTCCCTTAGACAGAGCAGATTTGAAACACTCTTTTTGTGCAATTGGCAAGTGGTGATTTCAGCCGCTTTGAGGTCAATGATAGAAAAGGAAATATCTTCGTATAATAACTAGACAGAATGATTCTCAGAAACTTCATTGTGATGTGTGCGTTCAACTCACAGAGTTTAACCTTTCTTTTCATAGAGCAGTTAGGAAACACTCTGTCTGTAAAGTCTGCAAGTGGATATTCAGACCTCTTTGAGGCCTTCGTTGGAAACGGGTTTTTTTCATATAAGGCTAGACAGAAGAATTCTCAGTAACTTCCTTGTTTTGTGTGAATTCACCTCACAGATTTGAACGATCCTTTACACAGAGCAGACTTGAAACACTCTTTTTGTGGAATTTGGAAGTGGAGATTTCAGCCGCTTTGTGGTCAATAGTAGAATAGGAAATATCTTCCTATAGAAACTAGACAGAATGATTCTCAGAAACTCCTTTGTGATGTGTGCGTTCAACTCACAGAGTTTAACCTTTCTTTTCATAGAGCAGTTAGGAAACACTCTGTTTTTAAAGTCTGCAAGTGTATATTCAGACATCCTTGAGGCTTTCGTTGCAAACGGGATTTCTTCATATTCTGCTAGAAAGAAGAATTCTCAGAAACTTCCCTGTGTTGTGTGAATTCAACTCACAGAGTTGAACGATCCTTTACACAGAGCAGACTTGAAACACTCTTTTTGTGGAATTTGCAAGTAGAGATTTCAGCCGCTTTGAGGTCAATGGTAGAATAGGGAATATCTTCCTATAGAAACTAGACAGAATGATTCTCAGAATCTCCTTTGTGATGTGTGCGTTCAACTCACAGAGTTTAACCTTTCTTTTCATAGAGCAGTTGGGAAACACTCTGTTTGTAAAGTCTGCAAGTGGATATTCAGACATCCTTGAGGCTTTCGTTGGAAACGGGATTTCTTCATATTCTGCTAGAAAGAAGAATTTTCAGAAACTTCCTTGTGTTGTGTGTATTCAACTCACAGAGTTGAACGATCATTTACACAGAGCAGACTTGAGACACTCTTTTTGTGGAATTTGTAAGTGGAGATTTCAGCCGCTTTGAGGTCAATGGTAGAAAAGGAAATATCTTCGTATAAAAACTAGACAGAATGATTCTCAGAAACTCCTTTGTGATGTGTGCGTTCAACTCACAGAGTTTAACCTTTCTTTTCATAGAGCAGTTAGGAAACACTCTGTTTGCAAAGTCTGCAAGTGGATATTCAGACCTCTTTGAGGCCTTCGTTGGAAACGGTTTTTTTTCATATAAGGCTAGACAGAAGAATTCTCAGTAACTTCCTTGTGTTGTGTGTATTCAACTGACAGATTTGAACTTTCATTTAGAGAGAGCAGATTTGAAACACTGTTTTTGTGGAATTTGCAAGTGGAGATTTCAAGCGCTTTGGGGCCAAAGGCAGAAAAGGAAATATCTTCGTATAAAAACTAGACAGAATCATTCTCAGAAACTGCTCTGCGATGTGTGCGTTCAACTCTCAGAGTTTAACTTTTCTTTTCATTCAGCAGTTTGGAAACACTCTGTTTGCAAAGTCTGCACGTGGATATTTTGACCACTTAGAGGCCTTCGTTGGAAACGGGTTTTTTTCATGTAAGGCTAGACAGAAGAATTCCCAGTAACTTCCTTGTGTTGTGTACATTCAACTCACAGAGTTGAACGTTCCCTTAGACAGGAGCAGATTTGAAACACTCTTTTTGTGCAATTGGCAAGTGGTGATTTCAGCCGCTTTGAGGTCAATGGTAGAAAAGGAAATATCTTCGTATAAAAACTAGACAGAATGATTCTGAGAAACTCCTTTGTGATGTGTGCGTTCAACTCACAGAGTTCAACCTTTCTTTTCATAGAGCAGTTGGGAAACACTCTGTTTGTAAATTCTGCAAATGCATATTCAGACTTCTTTGAGGCCTTCGTTGGAAGCGGGATTTCTTCATATTCTGCTAGACAGAAGAATTCTCAGAAACTTCGATGTGTTGTGTGTTTTCAAATCACAGAGTTCAACGATCCTTTACACAGAGTAGACTTGAAACACTCTTTTTGTGGAATTGGCAGGGTGGAGATTTCAGCCGCTTTGAGGTCAATGGTAGAAAAGGAAATATCTTCGTATAAAAACTAGACAGAATGATTCTCAGAAACTTCTTTGTGATGTGTGCGTTCAACTCACAGAGTTTAACCTTTCTTTTCATAGAGCAGTTAGGAAACACTCTGTTTGTAAAGTCTGCAAGTGGATATTCAGACCTCTTTGAGGCCTTCGTTGGAAACGGGTTTTTTTCATATAAGGCTAGACAGAAGAATTCCCAGTAACTTCCTTGTGTTGTGTGTGTTCAACTCACAGCAGTTGAACTTTCATTTACACAGAGCAGATTTGAAACACTCTTTTTGTGGAATTTGCAAGTGGAGATTTCAAGCGCTTTGAGGCCAAAGGCAGAAAAGGAAATATCTTCGTATAAAAACTAGACAGAATCATTCTCAGAAACTGCTCTGCGATGTGTGCGTTCAACTCTCAGAGTTTAAGTTTTCTTTTCATTCAGCAGTTTGGAAACACTCTGTTTGTAAAGTCTGCACGTGGATATTTTGACCACTTAGAGGCCTTCGTTGGAAACGGGTTTCTTTCCTGTAAGGCTAGACAGAAGAATTCCCAGTAACTTCCTTGTGTTGTGTGCATTCAACTCACAGAGTTGAACGTTCCCTTAGACAGAGCAGATTTGAAACAGCCTATTTGTGCAATTTGCAAGTGTAGATTTCAAGCGCTTTAAGGTCAACGGCTGAAAAGGAAATATCTTCGTTTCAAAACTAGACAGAAATCATTCCCACAAACTGCGTTGTGATGTGTTCGTTCAACTCACAGAGTTTAACCTTTCTGTTCATAGAGCAGTTAGGAAACACTCTGTTTGTAAAGTCTGCAAGTGGATATTCAGACCTCCTTGAGGCCTTCGTTGGAAACGGGATTTCTTCATATTCTGCTAGACAGAATAATTCTCAGTAACTTCCTTGTGTTGTGTGTATTCAACTCACAGAGTTGAAGGATCCTTTACAGAGAGCTGGCTTGCAACACTCTTTTTGTCGAATTTGCAAGTGGAGATTTCAGCCGCTTTGAGGTCAATGGTAGAATAGGAAATATCTTCTTATAGAAACTAGACAGAATGATTCTCAGAAACTCCTTTGTGATGTGTGTGTTCAACTCACAGAGTTTAACCTTTCTTTTCCTAGAGCAGTTAGTAAACACTCTGTTTATAAAGTCTGCAAGTGGATATTCAGACCCCTTTGAGGCCTTCGTTGGAAACGGGATTTCTTCATATTATTCTAGACAGAAGAATTCTCAGTAACTTCCTTGTGTTGTGTGTATTCAACTCACAGAGTTGAACTTTCATTTAGAGAGAGCAGATTTGAAACACTGTTTTTGTGGAATTTGCAAGTGGTGACTTCAAGCGCTTTGGGGCCAAACGCAGAAAAGGAAATATCTTCGTATAAAAACTAGACAGAAATCATTCTCATAAACTGCTGCGTGATGTGTGCGTTCAACTCTCAGAGTTTAACTTTTCTTTTCATTCAGCGGTTTGGAAACACTCTGTTTGTAAAGTTTGCACGTGGATATTTTGACCACTTAGAGGCCTTCGTTGGAAACGGGTTTTTTTCATGTAAGGCTAGACAGAAGAATTCCCAGGAACTTCCTTGTGTTGTGTACATTCAACTCACAGAGTTGAACGTTCCCTTAGACAGAGCAGATTTGAAACACTCTTTTTGTGCAATTGGCAAATGGAGATTTCAAGCGCTTTAAGGTCAATGGCAGAAAAGGAAATATCTTCGTTTCAAAACTATACAGAATCATTCCCACAAACTGCGTTGTGATGTGTGCGTTCAACTCAAAGAGTTTAACCTTTCTTTTCATAGAGCAGTTAGGAAACACTCTGTTTGTAAAGTCTGCAAGTGGATATTCAGACCTCCTTGAAGCCTTCGTTGGAAACGGGATTTCTTCATATTCTGCTAGACAGAAGAATTCTCAGAAACTTCCTTCTGTTGTGTGTATTCAACTCACAGAGTTGAACGATCGTTTACACAGAGCAGACTTGAGACACTCTTTTTGTGGAATTTGTAAGTGGAGATTTCAGCCGCTTTGAGGTCAATGGTAGAAAAGGAAATATCTTCATATAAAAACTAGACAGAATGATTCTCAGAAACTCCTTTGTGATGTGTGCGTTCAACTCACAGAGTTCAACCTTTCTTTTCATAGAGCAGTTGGGAAACACTCTGTTTGTAAAGTCTGCAAGTGGATATTCAGACTTCTTTGAGGCCTTCGTTGGAAGCGGGATTTCTTCATGTTCAGCTAGACAGAAGAATTCTCAGAAACTTCCTTGTGTTGTGTGTATTCAACTCACAGAGTTGAACGATCCTTTACACAGAGCAGACTTGAAACACTCCTTTTGTGGAATTTGCAAGTGGAGATTTCAGCCGCTTTGAGGTCAATGGTAGAATAGGAAATATCTTCCTATAGAAACTAGACAGAATCATTCTCAGAAACTGCTCTGCGATGTGTGCGTTCAACTCTCAGTGTTTAACTTTTCTTTTCATTCAGCAGTTTGGAAACACTCTGTTTGTAAAGTCTGCACGTGGATAACTTGACCACTTAGAGGCCTTTGTTGGAAACGGGTTTTTTTCATGTAAGGCTAGACAGAAGAATTCTCAGTAACTTCCTTGTGTTGTGTGTATTCAACTCACAGAGTTGAACGATCCTTTACACAGAGCAGACTTTTAACACTCTTTTTGTGGAATTTGCAAGTGGAGATTTCAGCCACTTTGAAGTCAAAGGTAGAAAAGGAAATAACTTCCTATAAAAACTAGACAGAATGATTCTCAGAAACTCCTTTGTGATGTGTGCGTTCAACTCACAGAGTTTCACCTTTCTTTTCATAGAGCAGATAGGAAACACTCTGTTTGTAAAGTCTGCAAGTGGATATTCAGACATCCTTGAGGCTTTCGTTGGAAACGGGATTTCTTCATATTCTGCTAGAAAGAAGAATTCTCAGTAACTTCCTTGTGTTGTGTGTATTCAACTCACAGAGTTGAACGATCCTTTACACTCAGCAGACTTGAAACACTCTTTTTGTGGAATTTGCAAGTGGAGATTTCAGCCGCTTTGAGGTCAATGGTAGAATAGGAAATATCTTCCTATAGAAACTAGACAGAATGATTCTCAGAAACTCCTTTGTGATGTGTGTGTTCAACTCACAGAGTTTAACCTTTCTTTTCATAGAGCAGTTAGGAAACACTCTGTTTGTAAAGTCTGCAAGTGGATATTCAGACCTCTTTGAGGCCTTCGTTGGAAACGCGTTTTTTTCATATAAGGCTAGACAGAAGAATTCCCAGTAACTTCCTTGTGTTGTGTGTGTTCAAGTCACAGAGTTGAACTTTCCTTTACACAGAGAAGATTTGAAACACTCTTTTTGTGGAATTTGCAAGTGGAGATTTCAAGCGCTTTGAGGCCAAAGGCAGAAAAGGAAATATCTTCGTTTCAAAACTAGACAGAATCATTCTCAGAAACTGCTGCGTGATGTGTGCGTTCAACTCTCAGAGTTTAACTTTTCTTTTCATTCAGCGGTTTGGAAACACTCTGTTTGTAAAGTCTGCACGTGGACACTTTGACCACTTAGAGGCCTTCTTTGGAAACGGGTTTTTTTTATTTAAGGCTAGACAGAAGAATTCCCAGTAACTTCCTTGTGTTGTGTGCATTCAACTCACAGAGTTGAACGTTCCCTTAGACAGAGCAGATTTGAAACACTCTATTTGTGCAATTTGCAAGTGTAGATTTCAAGCGCTTTAAGGTCAATGGCAGAAAAGGAAATATTTTCGTTTCAAAACTAGACAGAATCATTCTCAGAAACTCCTTTGTGATGTGTGCGTTTAACTCACAGAGTTTAACCTTTCTTTTCATAGAGCAGTTAGGAAACACTCTGTTTGTAAAGTCTGCAAGTGGATATTCAGACCTCTTTGAGGCCTTCGTTGGAAACGGGATTTCTTCATATTCTGCTAGACAGAAGAATTCTTAGTAACTTCCTTGGGTTGTGTGTATTCAACTCACAGAGTGGAACGATCCTTTACACAGAGCAGACTTGAAACACTCTTTTTGTGGAATTTGCAAGTGGAGATTTCAGCCGCTTTGAGGTCAATGGTAGAAAAGGAAATATCTTCGTATAAAAACTAGACAGATAATGATTCTCAGAAAGTCCTTTGTGATGTGTGTGTTCAAATCACAGAGTTTAACCTTTCTTTTCATAGAGCAGTTAGTAAACACTCTGTTTATAAAGTCTGCAAGTGGATAATCAGACCCCTTTGAGGCCTTCGTTGGAAACGGGATTTCCTCATATTATGCTAGACAGAAGAATTCCCAGTAACTTCCTTGTGTTGTGTGTGTTCAACTCACAGAGTTGAACTTTCATTTACACAGAGCAGATTGGAAACACTCTTTTTGTGGAATTTGCAAGTGGAGATTTCAAGCGCTTTGAGGCCAAAGGCAGAAAAGGAAATATCTTCATATAAAAACTAGACAGAATCATTCTCAGAAACTGCTCTGCGATGTGTGCGATCAACTCTCAGAGTTTAACTTTTCTTTTCATTCAGCAGTTTGGAAACACTCTGTTTGTAAAGTCTGCACGTGGATATTTTGACCACTTAGAGGCCTTCGTTGGAAACGGGTTTCTTTCCTGTAAGGCTAGACAGAAGAATTCACAGTAAGTTCCTTGTGTTGTGTGCATTCACCTCACAGGGTTGAAGGTTCCTTTAGACAGAGCAGATTGGAAACACTCTTTTTGTGCAATTTGCAAGTGGAGATTTCAAGCGCTTTAAGGTCAATGGCAGAAAAGGAAATATCTTCGTTTCAAAACTAGACAGAATCATTCCCACAAACTGCGTTGTGATGTGTGAGTTCAAGTCAAAGAGTTTAACCTTTCTTTTCATAGAGCAGTTAGGAAACACTCTGTTTGTAAAGTCTGCAAGTGGATATTCAGACCTCCTTGAGGCCTTCGTTGGAAACGGGATTTCTTCATATTCTGCTAGACAGAAGAATTCTCAGTAACTTCCTTGTGTTGTGTGTATTCAACTCACAGAGTTGAACGATCCTTTACACAGAGCAGACTTGAAACACTCTTTTTGTGGAGTTTGCAAGTGGAGATTTCAGCCGCTTTGAGGTCAATAGTAGAAAAGGAAATATCTTCGTAGAAAAACTAGACAGAATGATTCTCAGAAACTCCTTAGTGATGTGTGTGTCCAACTCACAGGGTTTAACCTTTCTTTTCATAGAGCAGTTAGCAAACACTCTGTTTGTAAAGTCTGCAAGAGGATATTCAGACCTCTTTGAGGCCTTCGTTGGAAACGGGTTTTTTTCATATAAGGCTAGACAGAAGAATTCCCAGTAACTTCCTTGTGTTGTGTGTGTTCAACTCACACAGTTGAACTTTCATTTACAGAGAGCAGATTTGAAACACTCTTTTTGTGGAATTTGCAAATGGAGATTTCAAGCGCTTTGAGGCCAAAGGCAGAAAAGGAAATATCTTCGTATAAAAACTAGACAGAATCATTCTCAGAAACTGCTGCGTGATGTGTGCGTTCAACTCTCAGAGTTTAACTTTTCTTTTCATTCAGCGGTTTGGAAACACACTGTTTGTAAAGTCTGCACGTGGATATTTTGACCACTTAGAGGCCTTCGTTGGAAACGGGATTTTTTCATGTAAGGCTAGACAGAAGAATTCCCAGTAATTTCCTTGTGTTGTGTGCATTCAGCTCACAGAGTTGAACGTTCCCTTAGACAGAGCAGATTTGAAACACTCTATTTGTGCAATTTGCAAGTGTAGATTTCAAGCGCTTTAAGGTCAATGGCAGAAAAGGAAATATCTTCGTTTCAAAACTAGACAGAATCATTCCCACAAACTGCGTTGTGATGTGTTCGTTCAACTCACAGAGTTTAACCTTTCTGTTCATAGAGCAGTTAGGAAACACTCTGTTTGTAAAGTCTGCAAGTGGATATTCAGACCTCTTTGAGGCCTTCGTTGGAAACGGGATTTCTTCATATGATGCTAGACAGAAGAATTCTCAGTAACTTCCTTGTGTTGTGTGTATTCAACTTACAGAGTTGACCGATCCTTTACACAGAGCAGACTTGTAACACTCTTTTTGTGGAATTTGCAAGTGGAGATTTCAGCCGCTTTGAAGTCAAAGGTAGAAAAGGAAATATCTTCCTATAAAAACTAGACAGAATGATTCTCAGAAACTCCTTTGTGATGTGTGTGTTCAACTCACAGAGTTTAACCTTTCTTTTCATAGAGCAGTTAGGAAACACTCTGTTTCTAAAGTCTGCAAGTGGATATTCAGACCTCTTTGAGGTCTTCGTTGGAAACGGGTTTTTTTCATATAAGGCTAGACAGAAGAATTCCCAGTAACTTCCTTGTGTTGTGTGTGTTCAACTCACAGTGTTGAACTTTCATTTACACAGAGCAGATTTGAAACACTCTTTTTGTGGAATTTGCAAGTGGAGATTTCAAGCGCTGTGAGGCCAAAGGCAGAAAAGGAAATATCTTCGTATAAAAACTAGACAGAATCATTCTCAGAAACTGCTCTGCGATGTGTGCGTTCAACTCTCAGAGTTTAACTTTGCTTTTCATTCAGCAGTTTGGAAACACTCTGTTTCTAAAGTCTGCACGTGGATAATTTGACCACTTAGAGGCCTTCGTTGGAAACGGGTTTTTTTCCTGTAAGGCTAGACAGAAGAATTCCCAGTAACTTCCTTGTGTTGTGTGCATTCAACTCACAGAGTTGAACGTTCCCTTAGACAGAGCAGATTTGAAACACTCTATTTGTGCAATTTGCAAGTGTATATTTCAAGCGCTTTAAGGTCAAAGGCAGAAAAGGAAATATCTTCGTTTCAAAACTAGACAGAATCATTCCCACAAACTGCGTTGTGATGTGTTCGTTCAACTCACAGAGTTTAACCTTTCTGTTCATAGAGCAGTTAGGAAACACTCTGTTTGTAAAGTATGCAAGTGGATATTCAGACCTCCTTGAGGCCTTCATTGGAAACGGGATTTCTTCATATTCTGCTAGACTGAAGAATTCTCAGTAACTTCCTTGTGTTGTGTGTATTCAACTCACAGAGTTGAACGATCCTTTACACAGAGCAGACTTGAAACACTCTTTTTGTGGAATTTGCAAGTGGAGATTTCAGCCGCTTTGAGGTCAATAGTAGAAAAAGAAATATCTTCGTAGAAAAACTAGACAGAATGATTCTCAGAAACTCCTTTGTGATGTGTGCGTTCAACTCACAGAGTTTAACCTTTCTGTTCATAGAGCAGTTAGGAAACACTCTGTTTGTAAAGTCTGCAAGTGGATATTCAGACCTCCTTGAGGCCTTCGTTGGAAACGGTATTTCTTCATATTCTGCTAGACAGAAGAATTCTCAGTCACTTCCTTGTGTTGTGTGTATTCAACTGACAGAGTTGAACTTTCATTTAGAGAGAGCAGATTTGAATCACTGTTTTTGTGGAATTTGCAAGTGGAGATTTCAAGCGCTTTGGGGCCAAAGGCAGAAAAGGATATATCTTCGTATAAAAACTGGACAGAATCATTCTCAGAAACTGCTCTGCGATGTGTGCGTTCAACTCTCAGAGTTTAACTTTTCTTTTCATTCAGCAGTTTGGAAACACTCTGTTTGTAAAGTCTGCACGTGGATAACTTGACCACTTAGAGGCCTTCGTTGGAAACGGGTTTTTTTCATGTAAGGCTATACAGAAGAATTCCCAGTAACTTCCTTGTGTTGTGTACATTCAACTCACAGAGTTGAACGTTCCCTTAGACAGAGCAGATTTGAAACACTCTTTTTGTGCAATTGGCAAATGGAGATTTCAAGCGCTTTAAGTTCAAAGGCAGAAAAGGAAATATCTTCGTTTCAAAACTAGACAGAATCATTCCCACAAACTGCGTTGTGATGTGTTCGTTCAACTCACAGAGTTTAACCTTTCTGTTCATAGAGCAGTTAGGAAACACTCTGTTTGTAAAGTCTGTAAGTGGATATTCAGACATCTTGTGGCCTTCGTTGGAAACGGGATTTCTTCATATTCTGCTAGACAGAAGAATTCTCAGTAACTTCCTTGTGTTGTGTGTATTCATCTTACAGAGTTGAACGATCCTTTACACAGAGCAGACTTGTAAAACTCTTTTTGTGGAATTTGCAAGTGGAGATTTCAGCCGCTTTGAAGTCAAAGGTAGAAAAGGAAATATCTTCCTATAAAAACTAGACAGAACGATTCTCAGAAACTCCTTTGTGATGTGTGCGTTCAACTCACAGAGTTTAACCTTTCTTTTCATAGAGCAGTTAGGAAACAGTCTGTTTGTAAAGTCTGCAAGTGGATATTCAGACCCCTTTGAGGCCTTCGTTGGAAACGGGATTTCTTCCTATTCTGCTAGACAGAAGAATTCCCAGTAACTTCCTTGTGTTGTGTGTGTTCAACTCACAGAGTTGAACTTTCATTTACACAGAGCAGATTTGAAACACTCTTTTTGTGGAATTTGCAAATGGAGATTTCAAGCGCTTTGCGGCCAAAGGCAGAAAAGGAAATATCTTCGTATAAAAACTAGACAGAATCATTCTCAGAAACTGCTCTGCGATGTGTGCGTTCAACTCTCAGAGTTTAACTTTTCTTTTCATTCAGCAGTTTGGAAACACTCGGTTTGTAAAGTCTGCACGTGGATATTTTGACCACTTAGAGGCCTTCGTTGGAAACGGGTTTTTTTCCTGTAAGGCTAGACAGAAGAATTCTCAGTAACTTCCTTGTGTTGTGTGTATTCAACTCACAGAGTTGAACGATCCTTTACACAGAGCAGACTTGTAACACTCTTTTTGTGGAATTTGAAAGTGGAGATTTCAGCCGCTTTGAAGTCAAAGGTAGAAAAGGAAATATCTTCCTATAAAAACTAGACAGAATGATTCTCAGAAACTCCTTTGTGATGTGTGCGTTCAACTCACAGAGTTTAACTTTTCTTTTCATAGAGCAGTTAGGAAACACTCAGTTTGTAAAGTCTGCAAGTGGATATTCAGACCTCCTTGAGGCCTTCGTTGGAAAAGGGATTTCCTCATATTATGCTAGACAGAAGAATTCTCAGTAACTTCCTTGTGTTGTGTGTATTCAACTCACAGAGTTGAACGATCCTTACAGAGAGCAGACTTGAAACACTCTTTTTGTGGAATTTGCAAGTGGAGATTTCATCCGCTTTGAGGTCAATGGTAGAATAGGAAATATCTTCCTATAGAAACTAGACAGAATGATTCTCAGAAACTCCTTTGTGATGTGTGTGTTCAACTCACAGAGTTTAACCTTTCTTTTCATAGAGCAGTTAGGAAACACTCTGTTTGTAAAGTCTGCAAGTGGATATTCAGACCTCTTTGAGGCCTTCGTTGGAAACGGGTTTTTTTCATATAAGGCTACACAGAAGAATTCCCAGTAACTTCCTTGTGTTGTGTGTGTTCAACTCACAGAGTTGAACTTTCATTTACACAGAGCAGATTTGAAACACTCTTTTTGTGGAATTTGCAAGTGGAGATTTCAAGCGCTTTGAGGCCAAAGGCAGAAAAGGAAATATCTTCGTATAAAAATTAGACAGAATCATTCTCAGAAACTGCTCTGCGATGTGTGCGTTCAACTCTCAGAGTTTAACTTTTCTTTTCATTCAGCAGTTTGGAAACACTCTGGTTGTAAAGTCTGCACGTGGATAACTTGACCACTTAGAGGCCTTCGTTGGAAACGGGTTTTTTTCCTGTAAGGCTAGACAGAAGAATTCCCAGGAACTTCCTTGTGTTGTGTACATTCAACTCACAGAGTTGAACGTTCCCTTAGACAGAGCAGATTTGAAACACTCTTTTTGTACAATTGGCAAGTGGTGATTTCAGCCGCTTTGAGGTCAATGGTAGAAAAGGAAATATCTTCGTATAAAAACTAGACAGAATGATTCTCAGAAACTTCATTGTGACGTGTGCGTTCAACTCACAGAGTTTAACCTTTCTTTTCATAGAGCAGTTAGGAAACACCCTGTTTGTAAAGTCTGCAAGTGGATATTCAGACCTCTTTGAGGCCTTCGTTGGAAACGGGATTTCTTCATACTGTGCTAGACAGAAGAATTCTCAGTAACTTCCTTGTGTTGTGTGTATTCAACTCACAGAGTTGAACGATCCTTTACACAGAGCAGATTACAAACACTCTTTTTGTGGAATTTGCAAGTGGAGATTTCAGCCGCTTTGAGGTCAATAGTAGAAAAGGAAATATCTTCGTATAAAAACTAGACAGAATGATTCTCAGAAACGGCTTTGTGATGTGTGTGTTCAACTCACAGAGTTTAACCTTCCTTTTCATAGAGCAGTTAGTAAACACTCTGTTTATAAAGTCTGCAAGTGGATATTCAGACCCCTTTGAGGCCTTCGTTGGAAACGGGATTTCTTCATATTATGCTAGACAGAAGAATTCCCAGTAACTTCCTTGTGTTGTGTGTGTTCAACCCACAGAGTTGAACTTTCATTTACACAGAGCAGATTTGAAACACTCTTTTTGTGGAATTTGCAAGTGGAGATGTCAAGCGCTTTGAGGCCAAAGGCAGAAAAGGAAATATCTTCGTTTCAAAACTAGACAGAATCATTCTCAGAAACTGCTCTGCGATGTGTGCGTTCAACTCTCAGAGTTTAACTTTTCTTTTCATTCAGCAGTTTGGAAACATTCTGTTTGTAAAGTCTGCACGTGGATATTTTGACCACTTAGAGGCCTTCGTTGGAAACGGGTTTTTTTCCTGTAAGGCTAGACAGAAGAATTCCCAGTAACTTCCTTGTGTTGTGTACATTCAACTCACAGAGTTGAACGTTCCCTTAGACAGAGCAGATTTGAAACACTCTTTTTGTGCAATTGGCAAGTGGAGATTTCAAGCGCTTTAAGGTCAATGGCAGAAAAGGAAATATCTTCGTTTGAAAACTAGACAGAATCATTCCCACAAACTGCGTTGTGATGTGTTCGTTCAACTCACAGAGTTTAACCTTTCTTTTCATAGAGCAGTTAGGAAACAGTCTGTTTGTCAATTCTGTAAGTGGATATTCTGACATCTTGTGGCATTCGTTGGAAACGGGATTTCTTCATATTACTGCTAGACAGAAGAATTCTCAGTAACTTCCTTGTGTTGTGTGTATTCAACTCACAGAGTTGAACGATCCTTTACACAGAGCAGACTTGAAACACTCTTTTTGTGGTATTTGCAAGTGGAGATTTCAGCCGCTTTGAGGTCAATGGTAGAATAGGAAATATCTTCCTATAGAAACTAGACAGAATGATTCTCAGAAACTCCTTTGTGATGTGTGTGTTCAACTCACAGAGTTCAACCTTTCTTTTAATAGAGCAGTTGGGAAACACTCTGTTTGTAAAGTCTGCAAGTGGATATTCAGACTTCTTTGAGGCCTTCGTTGGAAACGGGATTTCTTCATATTATGCTAGACAGAAGAATTCTCAGTAACTTCCTTGTGTTGTGTGTATTCAACTGACAGAGTTGAACTTTCATTTAGAGAGAGCAGATTTGAAACACTGTTTTTGTGGAATTTGCAAGTGGAGATTTCAAGCGCTTTGGGGCCAAAAGCAGAAAAGGAAATATCTTCGTATAAAAACTAGACAGAATCATTCTCAGAAACTGCTCTGCGATGTGTGCGTTCAACTCTCAGAGTTTAACTTTTCTTTTCATTCAGCAGTTTGGAAACACTCTGTTTGTAAAGTCTGCACGTGGATATTTTGACAACTTAGAGGCCTTCGTTGGAAACGGGTTTTTTTCCTGTAAGGCTAGACAGAAGAATTCCCAGTAAATTCCTTGTGTTGTGTGCATTCAACTCACAGAGTTGAACGTTCCCTTAGACAGAGCAGATTTGAAACACTCTATTTGTGCAATTTGCAAGTGTAGATTTCAAGCGCTTTAAGGTCAATGGCAGAAAAGGAAATATCTTCGATTCAAAACTAGACAGAATCATTCCCTCAAACTGCGTTGTGATGTGTTCGTTCAACTCACAGAGTTTAACCTTTCTTTTCATAGAGCAGTTAGGAAACAGTCTGTTTGTAAATTCTGTAAGTGGATATTCTGACATCTTGTGGCCTTCGTTGGAAACGGGATTTCTTCATATTCTGCTAGACAGAAGAATTCTCAGTAACTTCCTTGTGTTGTGTGTATTCAACTCACAGACTTGAACGATCCTTTACACAGAGCAGACTTGTAACACTCTTTTTGTGGAATTTGCAAGTGGAGATTTCAGCCGCTTTGAAGTCAAAGGTAGAAAAGGAAATATCTTCCTATAAAAACTAGACAGAATGATTCTCAGAAACTCCTTTGTGATGTGTGCGTTCAACTCACAGAGTTTATCTTTTCTTTTCATAGAGCAGTTAGGAAACACTCTGTTTGTAAAGTCTGCAAGTGGATATTCAGACCTCTTTGAGGCCTTCGTTGGAAACGGGATTTCTTCATATTCTGCTAGACAGAAGAATTCCCAGTAACTTCCTTGTGTTGTGTGTGTTCAACTCACAGAGTTGAACTCTCATTTACACAGAGCAGATTTGAAACACTCTTTTTGTGGAATTTGCAAGTGGAGATTTCAAGCGCTTTGAGGCCAAAGGCAGAAAAGGAAATATCTTCGTATAAAAACTAGACAGAATCATTCTCAGAAACCGCTCTGTGATGTGTGCGTTCAACTCTCAGAGTTTAACTTTTCTTTTCATTCAGCAGTTTGGAAACACTCTGTTTGTAAAGTCTCCACGTGGATATTTTGACCACTTAGAAGCCTTCGTTGGAAACGTGTTTTTTTTTCATGTAAGGCTAGACAGAAGAATTCCCAGGAACTTCCTTGCGTTGTGTACATTCAACTCACAGAGTTGAACGTTCCCTTAGACAGAGCAGATTTGAAACACTCTTTTTGTGCAATTGGCAAGTGGAGATTTCAAGCGCTTTAAGGTCAATTGCAGAAAAGGAAATATCTTCGTTTCAAAACTAGACAGAATGATTCTCAGAAACTTCTTTGTGATGTGTGCGTTCAACTCACAGAGTTTAACCTTTCTTTTCATAGAGCAGTTAGGAAACACTCTGTTTGTAAACTCTGCAAGTGGATATTCAGACGTCTTTGAGGCCTTCGTTGGAAACGGGATTTCTTCATACTGTGCTAGACAGAAGAATTCTCAGTAACTTCATTGTGTTGTGTGTATTCAACTCACAGATTTCAACGATCCTTTACACAGAGCAGACTTGAAACACTCTTTTTCTGGAATTTGCAATTGGAGATTTCAGCCGCTTTGAGGTCAATGGTAGAATAGGAAATATCTTCCTATAGAAACTAGACAGAATGATTCTCAGAAACTCCTTTGTGATGTGTGTGTTCAACTCACAGATTTTAACCTTTCTTTTCATAGAGCAGTTAGTAAACACTCTGTTTATAAAGTCTGCAAGTGGATATTCAGACCCCTTTGAGGCCTTCGTTGGAAACGGGATTTCTTCATATTCTGCTAGACAGAAGAATTCTCAGTAACTTCCTTGTGTTGTGTGTAGTCAACTCACAGAGTTGAACGATCCTTTACAGAGAGCAGACTTGAAACACTCTTTTTGTGGAATTTGCAAGTGGAGATTTCAGCCGCTTTGAGGTCAATGGAAGAAAAGGAAACTATCTTCGTATAAAGACTAGACAGAATCATTCTCAGAAACTGCTCTGCGATGTGTGCGTTCAACTCTCAGAGTTTAACCTTTCTTTTCATTCAGCAGTTGGGAAACACTCTGTTTGTAAAGTCTGCACGTGGATAACTTGACCACTTAGAGGCCTTCGTTGGAAACGGGTTTTTTTCATGTAAGGCTAGACAGAAGAATTCTCAGTAACTTCCTTGTGTTGTGTGTATTCAACTCACAGAGTTGAACGATCCTTTACACAGAGCAGACTTGTAACACTCTTTTTGTGGAATTTGCAAGTGGAGATTTCAGCCGCTTTGAAGTCAAAGTTAGAAAAGGAAATAACTTCCTATAAAAACTAGACAGAATCATTCCCACAAACTGCGTTGTGATGTGTTCGTTCAACTCACAGAGTTTAACCTTTCTTTTCATAGAGCAGTTAGGAAACAGTCTGTTTGTCAATTCTGTAAGTGGATATTCTGACATCTTGTGGCCTTCGTTGGAAACGGGATTTCTTCATATTCTGCTAGACGGAAGAATTCTCAGAATCTTTCCTTGTGTTGTGTGTATTCAACTCACAGAATTGAACGATCCTTTACACAGAGCAGACTTGAAACACTCTTTTTGTGGAATTTGCAAGTGGAGATTTCAGCCGCTTTGAGGTCCATGGTAGAAAAGGAAATATCTTCGTATAAAAACTAGACAGAATGATTCTCAGAAACTCCTTTGTGATGTGTGCGTTCAACTCACAGTTTAACCTTTCTTTTCATAGAGCAGTTAGGAAACACTCTGTTTGTAAAGTCTGCAAGTGGATATTCAGACATCTTTGAGGCTTTCGTTGGAAACGGAATTTCTTCATATTCTGCTAGACAGAAGAATTCTCAGTAACTTCCTTGTGTTGTGTGTATTCAACTGACAGAGTTGAACTTTCATTTAGAGAGAGCAGATTTGAAACACTGTTTTTGTGGAATTTGGAAGTGGAGATTTCAAACGCTTTGGGGCCAAAGGCAGAAAAGAAAATATATTCGTATAAAAACTAGACGGAATCATTCTCAGAAACTGCTGCGTGATGTGTGCGTTCAACTCTCAGAGTTTAACTTTTCTTTTCATTCAGCGGTTTGGAAACACTCTGTTTGTAAAGTCTGCACGTGGATATTTTGACCACTTAGAGGCCTTCGTTGGAACCGGGTTTTTTGCATGTAAGGCTAGACAGAAGAATTCCCAGGAACTTCCTTGTGTTGTGTACATTCAACTCACAGAGTTGAACGTTCCCTTAGACAGAGTAGATTTGAAACACTCTTTTTGTGCAATTGGCAAGTGGTGATTTCAGCCGCTTTGAGGTCAATGGTAGAAAAGGAAATATCTTCGTATAAAAACTAGACAGAATCATTCCCACAAACTGCGCTGTGATGTGTTCGTTCATCTCACAGAGTTTAACCTTTCTTTTCATAGAGCAGTTAGGAAACACTCTGTTTGTAAATTCTGTAAGTGGATATTCTGACATCTTGTGGCCTTCGTTGGAAACGGGATTTCTTCATATTCTGCTAGACAGAAGAATTCTCAGAAACTTCCTTGTGTTGTGTGTTTTCAACTCACAGAGTTGAACCGATCCTTTACACAGAGCAGACTTGAAACACTCCTTTTGTGGAATTTGCAAGTGGAGATTTCAGCCGCTTTGAGGTCAATGGTAGAATAGGAAATATCTTCCTATAGAAAGTAGACAGAATGATTCTCAGAAACTCCTTTGTGATGAGTGCGTTCAACTCACAGAGTTTAACCTTTCTTTTCATAGAGCAGTTAGGAAACACTCTGTTTTTAAAGTCTGCACGTGGATATTTTGACCTCTTTGAGGCCTTCCTTGGAAACGGGATTTTTTCATATAAGGCTAGACAGAAGAATTCTCAGTAACTTCCTTGTGTTGTGTGTATTCAACTGACAGAGTTGAACTTTCATTTAGACCGAGCAGATTTGAAACACTATTTATGTGGAATTGGCAATTGGAGATTTCAAGCTCTTTGAGGCCAAAGGCAGAAAAGGAAATATCTTCGTTTCAAAACTAGACAGAATCATTCTCAGAAACTGCTCTGCGATGTGTGCGTTGAACTCTCAGAGTTTAACTTTTCTTTTCATTCAGCAGTTTGGAAACACTCTGTTTGTAAAGTCTGCACGTGGATATTTTGACCACTTAGAGGCCTTCGTTGGAAACGGGTTTTTTTCCTGTAAGGCTAGACAGAAGAATTCCCAGTAACTTCCTTGTGTTGTGTGCATTCAACTCACAGAGTTGAACGTTCCCTTAGACAGAGCAGATTTGAAACACTCTATTTGTGCAATTTGCAAGTGTAGATTTCAAGCGCTTTATGGTCAACGGCAGAAAAGGAAATATCTTCGTTTCAAAACTAGACAGAATCATTCCCACAAACTGCGTTGTGATGTGTTCGTTCAACTCACAGAGTTTAACCTTTCTGTTCATAGAACAGTTAGGAAACACTCTGTAAAGTCTGTAAGTGGATATTCTGACATCTTGTGGCCTTCGTTGGAAACGGGATTTCTTCATATTCTGCTAGACAGAAGAATTCTCAGTAACTTCCTTGGGTTGTGTGTATTCAACTCACCGAGTTGAAGGATCCTTTACAGAGAGCAGGCTTGAAACACTCTTTTTGTCGAATTTGCAAGTGGAGATTTCAGCCGCTTTGAGGTCAATGGTAGAATAGGAAATATCTTCATATAAAGACTAGACAGAATGATTCTCAGAAACTCCTTTGTGATGTGTGCGTTCAACTCACAGAGTTTAACTTTTCTTTTCATAGAGCAGTTAGGAAACACTCTGTTTGTAAAGTCTGCAAGTGGATATTCCGACCTCTTTGAGGCCTTCGTTGGAAACGGGATTTCTTCATATTATGCTGGACAGAAGAATTCTCAGTAACTTCCTTGTGTTGTGTGTATTCAACTGACAGAGTTGAACTTTCATTTAGAGAGAGCACATTTGAAACACTGTTTTTGTGGAATTTGCAAGTGGAGATTTCAAGCGCTTTGGGGCCAAAGGCAGAAAAGGAAATATCTTCGTATAAAAACTAGACAGAATCATTCTCAGAAACTGCTGCGTGATGTGTGCGTTCAACTCTCAGAGTTTAACTTTTCTTTTCATTCAGCGGTTTGGAAACACTGTGTTTGTAAAGTCTGCACGTGGATATTTTGACCACTTAGAGGCCTTCGTTGGAAACGGGTTTTTTTCATGTAAGGCTAGACAGAAGAATTCCCAGTAACTTCCTTGTGTTGTGTGCATTCCACTCACAGAGTTGAACGTTCCCTTAGACAGAGCAGATTTGAAACACTCTATTTGTGCAATTTGCAAGTGTAGATTTCAAGCGCTTTAAGGTCAATGGCAGAAAAGGAAATATCTTCGTTTCAAAACTAGACAGAATCATTCCCACAAACTGCGTTGTGATGTGTTCGTTCAAGTCACAGAGTTTAACCTTTCTTTTCATAGAGCAGTTAGGAAACAGTCTGTTTGTCAATTCTGTAAGTGGATATTCTGACATCTTGTGGCCTTCGTTGGAAACGGGATTTCTTCATATTCTGCTAGACAGAAGAATTCTCAGTAACTTCCTTGTGTTGTGTGAATTCAACTCACAGAGTTGAACGATCCTTTACACAGAGCAGACTTGAAACACTGTTTTTGTGGAATTTGCCAGTGGAGATTTCAGCCGCTTTGAGGTCAATGGTAGAATAGGAAATATCTTCCTATAGAAACTAGACAGAATGATTCTCAGAAACTCCTTTGTGATGTGTGCGTTCAACTCACAGAGTTTAACCTTTTTTTTCATAGAGCAGTTAGGAAACACTCTGTTTGTAAAGTCTGCAAGTGGATATTCAGACCTCTTTGAGGCCTTCGTTGGAAACGGGTTTTTTACATATAAGGCTAAACAGAAGAATTCCCAGTAACTTCCTTGTGTTGTGTGTGTTCAACTCACAGAGTTGAACTTTCATTTACCCAGAGCAGATTTGAAACACTCTTTTTGTGGAATTTGCAAGTGGAGATTTCAAGCGCTTTGAGGCTAAAGGCAGAAAAGGAAATATCTTCGTTTCAAAACTAGACAGAATCATTCTCAGAAACTGCTCTGCGATGTGTGCGTTCAACTCTCAGAGTTTAACTTTTCTTTTCATTCAGCAGTTTGGAAACACTCTGTTTGTAAAGTCTGCACGTGGATATTTTGATAGAGGCTTTCGTTGGAAACGGGTTTTTTTCTTGTAAGGCTAGAAAGAAGAATTCCCAGTAACTTCCTTGTGTTGTGTGCATTCAACTCACAGAGTTGAACGTTCCCTTAGACAGAGCAGATTTGAAACACTCTATTTGTCCAATTTGCAAGTGTAGATTTCAAGCGCTTTAAGGTCAACGGCAGAAAAGGAAATATCTTCGTTTCAAAACTAGACAGAATGATTCTCAGAAACTCCTTTGTGATGTGTGCGTTCAACTCACAGAGTTTAACCTTTCTTTTCATAGAGCAGTTAGGAAACACTCTGTTTGTAAAGTCTGCAAGTGGATATTCACACCTCCTTGAGGCCTTCGTTGGAAACGGGATTTCTTCACATTCTGCTAGACAGAAGAATTCTCAGTAACTTCCTTGTGTTGTGTGTATTCAACTCACTGAGTTGAACGATCCTTTACACAGAGCAGACTTGAAACACTCTTTTTGTGGAATTTGCAAGTGGAGATTTCAGCCGCTTTGAGGTCAATGGTAGAAAAGGAAACTATTTTCGTATAAAGACTAGACAGAATGATTCTCAGAAACTCCTTTGTGATGTGTGCGTTCAACTCACAGAGTTTAACCTTTCTTTTCATAGAGCAGTTAGGAAACACTCTGTTTGTAAAGTCTGCACGTGGATATTTGGACTTCTTTGAGGCCTTCGTTGGAAACGGGGTATTTTCATGTAAGGCTAGACAGAAGAATTCCCAGTAACTTCCTTGTGTTTTGTGTGTTCAACTCACAGAGTTGAACTTTCATTTACACAGAGCAGATTTGAAACACTCTTTTTGTGGAATTTGCAAATGGAGATTTCAAGCGCTTTGAGGCCAAAGGCAGAAAAGGAAATATCTTCGTATAAAAACTAGACAGAATCATTCCCAGAAACTGCTCTGCGATGTGTGCGTTCAACTCTCAGAGTTTAACTTTTCTTTTCATTCAGCAGTTTGGAAACACTCTGTTTGTAAAGTCTGCACGTGGATATTTTGACCATTTAGAGGCCTTCGTTGGAAACGGGTTTTTTTCTTGTAAGGCTAGACAGAAGAATTCCCAGTAACTTCCTTGTGTTGTGTACATTCAACTCACAGAGTTGAACGTTCCCTTAGACAGAGCAGATTTGAAACACTCTTTTTGTGCAATTGGCAAGTGGAGATTTCAAGCGCTTTGAGGTCAATGGCAGAAAAGGAAATATCTTCGTTTCAAAACTAGACAGAATCATTCCCACAAACTGCGTTGTGATGTGTTCGTTCAACTCACAGAGTTTAACCTTTCTGTTCATAGAGCAGTTAGGAAACACTCTGTTTGTAAAGTCTGTAAGTGGATATTCTGACATCTTGTGGCCTTCGTTGGAAACGGGATTTCTTCATATTCTGCTAGAGAGAAGAATACTCAGTAACATCCGCGTGTTGTGTGTATTCAACTCAGAGAGTTGAACGATCCTTTACACAGAGCAGACTTGAAACACTCTTTTTGTGGAATTTGCAAGTGGAGATTTCAGCCGCTTTGAAGTCAATGGTAGAAAAGGAAATATCTTCCTATAAAAACTAGACAGAATGATTCTCAGAAACTTCATTGTGATGTGTGCGTTCAACTCACAGAGTTTAACCTTTCTTTTCATAGAACAGTTAGGAAACACTCTGTTTGTAAACTCTGCAAGTGGATATTCAGACCTCTTTGAGGCCTTCGTTGGAAACGGGTTTTTTCATGTAAGGCTAGACAGAAGAATTCTCAGTAACTTCCTTGTGTTGTGTGTATTCAACTCACAGAGTTGAATGATCCTTTACACAGAACAGTCTTGAAACACTCTTTTTGTGGAATTTGCAAGTGGAGATTTCAGCCGCTTTGAGGTCAATGGTGGAATAGGAAATATCTTCCTATAGAAATTAGACAGAATGATTCTCAGAAACTCCTTTGTGATGTGTGTGTTCAACTCACAGAGTTTAACCTTTCTTTTCATAGAGCAGTTAGGAAACACTCTGTTTGTAAAGTCTGCAAGTGGATATTCAGACCTCTTTGAGGCCTTCGTTGGAAACGGGATTTCTTCATATTATGCTAGACAGAAGAATTCCCAGTAACTTCCTTGTGTTGTGTGTGTTCAACTCACAGAGTTGAACTTTCATTTACACAGAGCAGATTTGAAACACTCTTTTTGTGGAATTTGCAAGTGGAGATTTCAAGCGCTTTGAGGCCAAAGGCAGAAAAGGAAATATCTTCGTATAAAAACTGGACAGAATCATTCTCAGAAACTGCTGCGTGATGTGTGCGTTCAACTCTCAGAGTTTAACTTTTCTTTTCATTCAGCGGTTTGGAAACACTCTGTTTGTAAAGTCTGCACGTGGAAATTTTGACCACTTAGAGGCCTTCGTTGGAAACGGGTTTTTTTCATATAAGGCTAGACAGAAGAATTCCCAGTAACTTCCTTGTGTTGTGTGCATTCAACTCACAGAGTTGAACGTTCCCTTAGACAGAGCAGATTTGAAACACTCTATTTGTCCAATTTGCAAGTGTAGATTTCAAGCGCTTTAAGGTCAACGGCAGAAAAGGAAATATCTTCGTTTCAAAACTAGACAGAATGATTCTCAGAAAATCTTTTGTGATGTGTGCGTTCAACTCACAGAGTTTAACTTTTCTTCTCATAGAGCAGTTAGGAAACACTCTGTTTGTAAAGTCTGCAAGTGGATATGCATACCTCTTTGAGGCCTTCGTTGGAAACGGGATTTCTTCATATTCTGCTAGACAGAAGAATTCTCAGTAACTTCCTTGTGTTGTGTGTATTCAACTCACAGAGTTGAAGGATCCTTTACAGAGAGCAGGCTTGAAACACTCTTTTTGTCGAATTTGCAAATGGAGATTTCAGCCGCTTTGAGGTCAATGGTAGAAGAGGAAATATCTTCTTATAGAAACTAGACAGAATGATTCTCAGAAACTTCTTTGTGATGTGTGCGTTCAACTCACAGAGTTTAACCTTTCTTTTCATAGAGCAGTTAGGAAACACTGTGTTTTTAAACTGTGCAAGTGGATATTGAGACCTCTTTGAGGCCTTCTTTGGAAACGGGATTTCTTCATACTGTGCTAGACAGAAGAATTCCCAGTAACTTCCATGTGTTGTGTGTGTTCAACTCACAGAGTTGAACTTTCATTTACACAGAGCAGATTTGAAACACTCTTTTTGTGGAATTTGCAAATGGAGATTTCAAGCGCTTTGAGGCCAAAGGCAGAAAGGGAAATATCTTCGTCTAAAAACTAGACAGAATCATTCTCAGAAACTGCTCTGCGATGTGTGCGTTCAACTCTCAGAGTTTAACTTATCTTTTCATTCAGCAGTTTGGAAACACTCTGTTTGTAAAGTCTGCACGTGGATAATTTGACCACTTAGAGGTCTTCGTTGGAAACGGGTTTTTATCATGTAAGGCTAGACAGAAGAATTCTCAGTAACTTCCTTGTGTTGTGTGTATTCAACTGACAGAGTTGAACTTTCATTTAGACAGAGCAGATTTGAAAAACTCTTTATGTGGAATTTGCAAGTGGAGATTTCAAGCGCTTTGAGGCCAAAGACAGAAAAGGAAATATCTTCGTATAAAAACTAGACAGAATCATTCCCTCAAACTGCGTTGTGATGTGTTCGATCAACTCACGGAGTTTAACCTTTCTTTTCATAGAGCAGTTAGGAAACACTCTGTTTGTAAACTCTGCAAGTGGATATTCAGACCTCTTTGAGGACTTCGTTGGAAACGGGATTTCTTCATATTATGCTAGACAGAAGAATTCTCAGTAACTTCTTTGTGTTGTGTGTATTCAACTCACAGAGTTTACCGATCCTTTACACAGAGCTGACCTGAAACACTCTTTTTGTCGAATTTGCAAGTGGAGATTTCAGCCGCTTTGAGGTCAATGGTAGAATAGGAAATATCTTCCTATGGAAATTCGACAGAATGATTCTCAGAAAATCTTTTGTGATGTGTGCGTTCAACTCACAGAGTTTAACTTTTCTTCTCATAGAGCAGTTAGGAAACACTCTGTTTGTAAAGTCTGCAAGTGGATATTCAGACCTCTTTGAAGCCTTCGTTGGAAACGGGATTTCTTCATATTATGCTAGACAGAAGAATTCTCAGTAACTTCCTTGTGTTGTGTGTATTCAACTGACAGAGTTGAACTTTCATTTAGAGAGAGCAGATTTGAAACACTCTTTTTGTGGAATTTGCAAGTGGAGATTTCAAGCGCTTTGAGGCCAAAGGCAGAAAAGGAAATATCTTCGTATAAAAACTAGACAGAATCATTCTCAGAAACTGCTGCGTGATGTGTGCGTTCAACTCTCAGAGTTTAACTTTTCTTTTCATTCAGCGGTTTGGAAACACTCTGTTTGTAAAGTCTGCACGTGGAAATTTTGACCACTTAGAGGCCTTCGTTGGAAACGGGATTTTTTCATGTAAGGCTAGACAGAAGAATTCCCAGTAACTTCCTTGTGTTGTGTGCATTCAACTCACAGAGTTGAACGTTCCCTTAGACAGAGCAGATTTGAAACACTCTATTTGTGCAATTTGCAAGTGTAGTTTTCAAGCTCTTTAAGGTCAACGGCAGAAAAGGAAATATCTTGGTTTCAAAACTAGACAGAATCATTCCCACAAACTGCGTTGTGATGTGTTCGTTCAACTCAGAGAGTTTAACCTTTCTGTTCATAGAGCAGTTAGGAAACACTCTGTTTGTAAAGTCTGTAAGTGGATATTCTGACATCTTGTGGCCTTCGTTGGAAACGGGATTTCTTCATATTCTGCTAGACAGAAGAATTCTCAGTAACTTCCTTGTGTTGTGTGTATTCAACTCACAGAGTTGAACGATCCTTTACACAGAGCAGACTTGAAACACTCTTTTTGTGGAATTTGCAAGTGGAGATTTCAGCCTCTTTGTGGTCAATGGTAGAAAAGGAAATATCTTCGTATAAAGACTAGACAGAATGATTCCCAGAAACTCCTTTGTGATGTGTGCGTTCAACTCACAGAGTTTAACCTTTCTTTTCATAGAGCAGTTAGGAAACACTCTGTTTGTAAAGTCTGCAAGGGGATATTCAGACCTCTTTGAGGCCTTCGTTGGAAACGGGATTTCTTCGTATTCTGCTAGATAGAAGAATTCTCAGTAACTTCCTTGTGTTGTGTGTATTCAACTGACAGAGTTGAACTTTCATTTAGAGAGAGCAGATTTGAAACTCTGTTTTTGTGGAATTTGCAAGTGGAGATTTCAAGCGCTTTGAGGCCAAAGGCAGAAAAGGAAATATCTTCGTATAAAAACTAGACAGAATCATTCTCAGAAACTGCTCTGCGATGTGTGCGTTCAACTCTCAGAGTTTAACTTTTCTTTTCATTCAGCAGTTTGGAAACACTCTGTTTGTAAACTCTGCACGTGGATATTTTGACCACATAGAGGCCTTCGTTGGAAACGGGTTTCTTTCCTGTAAGGCTAGACAGAAGTATTCCCAGTAACTTCCTTGTGTTGTGTACATTCAACTCACAGAGTTGAACGTTCCCTTAGACAGAGCAGATTTGAAACACTCTTTTTGTGCAATTGGCAAGTGGAGATTTCAAGCGCTTTAAGGTCAATGGCAGAAAAGGAAATATCTTCGTTTCAAAACTAGACAGAATCATTCCCACAAACTGCGTTGTGATGTGTTCGTTCAACTCACAGAGTTTAACCTTTCTTTTCATAGAGCAGTTAGGAAACAGTCTGTTTGTAAATTCTGTAAGTGGATATTCTGACATCTTGTGGCCTTCGTTGTAAACGGGATTTCTTCATATTCTGCTAGACAGAAGAATTCTCAGAAACTTCCTTGTGCTGTGGGTTTTCAACTCACAGAGTTGAACGATCCTTTACACAGAGCAGACTTGAAACACTCCTTTTGTGGAATTTGCAAGTGGAGATTTCAGCCGCTTTGAGGTCAATGGTAGAATAGGAAATATCTTCCTATAGAAAGTAGACAGAATGATTCTCAGAAACTCCTTTGTGATGTGTGCGTTCAACTCACAGAGTTTAACCTTTCTTTTCATAGAGCAGTTAGGAAACACTCTGTTTGTAAATTCTGCAAGTGGATATTCAGACCTCTTTGAGACCTTCCTTGGAAACGGGTTTTTTTCATATAAGGCTAGACAGAAGAATTCCCAGTAACTTCCTTGTGTTGTGTGTGTTCAACTCACAGAGCTGAACTTTCATTTACACAGAGCAGATTTGAAACACTCTTTTTGTGGAATTTGCAAGTGGAGATTTCAAGCGCTTTAAGGCCAAAGGCAGAAAAGGAAATATCTTCGTTTCAAAACTAGACAGAATCATTCTCGGAAACTGCTCTGTGATGTGTGCGTTCAACTCTCAGAGTTTAACTTTTCTTTTCATTCAGCAGTTTGGAAACACTCTGTTTGTAAAGTCTGCACGTGGATATTTTGACCACTTAAAGGCCTTCGTTGGAAACGTGTTTTTTTCCTGTAAGGCTAGACAGAAGAATTCCCAGTAACTTCCTTGTGTTGTGTACATTCAACTCACAGAGTTGAACGTTCCCTTAGACAGAGCAGATTTGAAACACTCTTTTTGTGCAATTGGCAAGTGGAGATTTCAAGCGCTTTGAGGTCAATGGCAGAAAAGGAAATATCTTCGTTTCAAAACTAGACAGAATCATTCCCACAAACTGCGTTGTGATGTGTTCGTTCAACTCACAGAGTTTAACCTTTCTTTTCATAGAGCAGGTAGGAAACACTCTGTTGGTAAATTCTGTAAGTGGATATTCTGACATCTTGTGGCCTTCGTTGGAAACGGGATTTCTACATATTCTGCCAGACAGAAGAATTCTCAGAAACTTACTTGTGTTGTGTGTTTTCAACTCTCAGAGTTGAACGATCCTTTACACAGAGCAGACTTGAAACACTCCTTTTGTGGAATTTGCAAGTGGAGATTTCAGCCGCTTTGAGGTCAAAGGTAGAATAGGAAATATCTTCCTATAGAAAGTAGACAGAATGATTCTCAGAAACTCCTTTGTGATGTGTGCGTTCAACTCACAGAGTTTAACCTTTCTTTTCACAGAGCAGTTAGGAAACACTCTGCTTGTAAAGTCTGCAAGTGGATATTCAGCCCTCTTTGAGGCCTTCGTTGGAAACGGGTTTTTTTCATATAAGGCTAGACAGAAGAATTCTCAGAATCTTCCTTGTGTTGTGTGTATTCAACTCACAGAGTTGAACGATCCTTTTCACAGAGCAGACTTGAAACACTCTTTTTGTGGAATTTGCAAGTGGAGATTTCAGCCGCGTTGAGGTCAATGGTAGAAAAGGAAATATGTTCGTATAAAAACTAGACAGAATGATTCTCATAAACTCCTTTGTGAAGTGTGCGTTCAAATCACAGAGTTTAACTTTTCTTTTCATAGAGCAGTTAGGAAACACTCTGTTTGTAAAGTCTGCAAGTGGATATTCAGACCTCTTTGAAGCCTTCGTTGGAAACGGGATTTCTTCATATTATGCTAGACAGAAGAATTCTCAGTAACTTCCTTGTGTTGTGTGTATTCAACTCACAGAGTTGAACGATCCTTTACACAGAGCAGCCTTGAAACATTCTTTTTGTGGAATTTGCAAGTGGAGATTTCAGCCGCTTTGAGGTCAATGGTAGAATAGGAAATATCTTCCTATAGAAACTAGACAGAATGATTCTCAGAAACTCCTTTGTGATGTGTGCGTTCTACTCACAGAGTTTAACCTTTCTTTTCATAGAGCAGTTAGGAAACACTCTGTTTGTAAAGTCTGCAAGTGGATATACAGACCTCCTTGAGGCCTTCGTTGGAAACGGGATTTCTTCATATTATGCTAGACAGAAGAATTCCCAGTAACTTCCTTGTGTTGTGTGTGTTCAACTCACAGAGTTGAACTTTCATTTACACAGAGCACATTTGAAACACTCTTTTTGTGGAATTTGCAAGTGGAGATTTCAAGCGCTTTGAGGCCAAAGGCAGAAAAGGAAATATCTTCGTTTCAAAACTAGACAGAATCATTCTCAGAAACTGCTCTGCGATGTGTGCGTTCAACTCTCAGAGTTTAACTTTTGTTTTCATTCAGCAGTTTGGAAACACTCTGTTTGTAAAGTCTGCACGTGGATAATTTGACCACTTAGAGGCCTTCGTTGGAAACGGGTTTTTTCCATGTAAGGCTAGACACAAGAATTCCCAGTAACTTCCCTTGTGTTGTGTACATTCAACTCACAGAGTTGAACGTTCCCTTAGACAGAGCAGATTTGAAACACTCTTTTTGTGCAATTGGCAAATGGAGATTTCAAGCGCTTTAAGGTCAATGGCAGAAAAGGAAATATCTTCGTTTCAAAACTAGACAGAATCATTCCCACAAACTGCGTTGTGATGTGTTCGTTCAACTCACAGCAGTTTAACCTTTCTATTCATAGAGCAGTTAGGAAACACTCTGTTTGTAAAGTCTGTAAGTGGATATTCTGACATCTTGTGGCCTTCGTTGGAAACGGGATTTCTTCCTATTCTGCTAGACAGAAGAATTCTCAGTAACTTCCTTGTGTTGTGTGCATTCAACTCACAGAGTTGAACGATCCTTTACACAGAGCAGACTTGAAACACTCTTTTTGTGGAATTTGCAAGTGGAGATTTCAGCCGCTTTGAGGTCAATGGTAGAAAACGAAATATCTTCGTATAGAAACTAGACAGAATGATTCTCAGAAACTCCTTTGTGATGTGTGTGTTCAACTCACAGAGTTTAACCTTTCTTTTCATAGAGCAGTTAGGAAACACTCTGTTTGTAAAGTCTGCAAGTGGATATTCAGACCTCCTTGAGGCCTTCGTTGGAAACGGGATTTCTTCATATTCTGCTAGACAGAAGAATTCTCAGTAACTTCCTTGTGTTGTGTTTATTCAACTCACAGAGTTGAACGATCCTTTACACAGAGCAGACTTGAAACACTCTTTTTGTGGAATTTGCAAGTGGAGATTTCAGCCGCTTTGAGGTCAATAGTAGAAAAGGAAATATCTTCGTAGAAAAACTAGACAGAATCATTCTCAGAAACTGCTGCGTGATGTGTGCGTTCAACTCTCAGAGTTTAACTTTTCTTTTCATTCAGCGGTTTGGAAACACTCTGTTTGTAAAGTCTGCACGTGGATATTTTGACCACTTAGAGGCCTTCGTTGGAAACGGGTTTTTTGCATGTAAGGCTAGACAGAAGAATTCCCAGTAACTTCCTTGTGTTTTGTACATTCAACCCACAGAGTTGAACGTTTCCTTAGACAGAGCAGATTTGAAACACTCTTTTTGTGCAATTGGCAAGTGGTGATTTCAGCCGCTTTCAGGTCAAAGGTAGAAAAGGAAATATCTTCCTATAAAAACTAGACAGAATCATTCCCACAAACTGCGTTGTGATGTGTTCGTTCAACTCACAGAGTTTAACCTTTCTGTTCATACAGCAGTTAGGAAACACTCTGTTTGTAAAGTCTGTAAGTGGATATTCTGACATTTTGTGGCCTTCGTTGGAAATGGGATTTCTTCATATTCTGCTAGACAGAAGAATTCTCAGTAAGTTCCTTGTGTTGTGTGTATTCAACTCACAGAGTTGAACGATCCTTTACACAGAGCAGACTTGAAACACTCTTTTTGTGGAATTTGCAAGTGGAGATTTCAGCCGCTTTGAGGTCAATGGCAGAATAGGAAATATCTTCCTATAGAAACTAGACAGAATGATTCTCAGAAACTCCTTTGTGATGTGTGCGTTCATCTCACAGAGTTTAACTTTTCTTTTCATAGAGCAGTTAGGAAACACTCTGTTTGTAAAGTCTGCATGTGGATATTCAGACCTCTTTGAGGCCTTCGTTCGAAAAGGGATTTCTTCATATTATGCTAGACAGAAGAATTCTCAGTAACTTCCTTGTGTTGTGTGTATTCAACTGACAGAGTTGAACTTTCATTTAGAGAGAGCAGATTTGAAACACTGTTTTTGTGGAATTTGCAAATGGAGATTTCAAGCGCTTTGGTGCCAAAGGCAGAAAAGGAAATATCTTCGTATAAAAACTAGACTGAATCATTCTCAGAAACTGCTGCGTGATGTGTGCGTTCAACTCTCAGAGTTTAACTTTTCTTTTCATTCAGCGGTTTGGAAACACTCTGTTTGTAAAGTCTGCACGTGGATATTTTGACCACTTAGAGGCCTTCGTTGGAAACGGGTTTTTTTTCATGTAAGGCTAGACAGAAGAATTCCCAGTAACTTCCTTCTGTTGTGTGCATTCAACTCACAGAGTTGAACGTTCCCTTAGACAGAGCAGATTTGAAACACTCTATTTGTGCAATTTGCAAGTGTAGATTTCAAGCGCTTTAAGGTCAACGGCAGAAAAGGAAATATCTTCGTTTCAAAACTAGACAGAATCATTCCCACAAACTGCGTTGTGATGTGTTCGTTCAACTCACAGAGTTTAACCTTTCTGTTCATAGAGCAGTTAGGAAACACTCTGTTTGTAAAGTCTGTAAGTGGATATTCTGACATCTTGTGGCCTTCGTTGGAAACGGGATTTCTTCCTATTCTGCTAGACAGAATAATTCTCAGTAACTTCCTTGTGTTGTGTGTATTCAACTCACAGAGTTGAAGGATCCTTTACAGAGAGCAGGCTTGAAACACACTTTTTGTCGAATTTGCAAGTGGAGATTTCAGCCGCTTTGAGGTCAATGGTAGAATAGGAAATATCTTCTTATAGAAACTAGACAGATTGATTCTCAGAAACTCCTTTGTGATGTGTGCGTTCAACTCACAGAGTTTAACCTTTCTTTTCATAGAGCAGTTAGGAAACACTCTCTTTGTAAAGTCTGCAAGTGGATATTCAGACCTCCTTGAGGCCTTCGTTGGAAACGGGATTTCTTCATATTATGCTAGGCAGAAGAATTCTCAGTAACTTCCTTGTGTTGTGCGTATTCAACTCACAGAGTTGAACGATCCTTTACACAGAGCAGACGTGAAACACTCTTTTTGTGGAATTTGCAAGTGGAGATTTCAGCCGCTTTGAGGTCAATGGTAGAATAGGAAATATCTTCCTATAGAAACTAGACAGAATCATTCTCAGAAAATGCTCTGTGATGTGTGCGTTCAACTCTCAGAGTTTAACTTTTCTTTTCATTCAGCAGTTTGGAAACACTCTGTTTGTAAAGTCTGCACGTGGATATTTTGACCACTTAGAGGCCTTCGTTGGAAACGGGTTTTTTTCATGTAAGGGTAGACAGAAGAATTCTCAGTAACTTCCTTGTGTTGTGTGTATTCAACTCACAGAGTTGAACGATCCTTTAAACAGAGCAGACTTGAAACACTCTATTTGTGCAATTTGCAAGTGTAGATTTCAAGCGCTTTAAGGTCAATGGCAGAAAAGGAAATATCTTCGTTTTAAAACTAGACAGAATCATTCCCACAAACTGCGTTGTGATGTGTTCGTTCAACTCACAGAGTTTAACTTTTCTGTTCATAGAGCAGTTAGGAAACACTCTGTTTGTAAAGTCTGCAATTGGATATTCAGACCTCCTTGAGGCATTCGTTGGAAACGGGATTTCTTCATATTCTGCTAGACAGAATAATTCTCAGTAACTTCCTTGTGTTGTGTGTATTCAACTCACAGAGTTGAACGATCCTTTACACAGAGCAGACTTGAAACATTCTTTTTGTGGAATTTGCAACTGGAGATTTCAGCCGCTTTGAGGTCAATGGTAGAATAGGAGATATCTTCCTATAGAAACTAGACAGAATGATTCTCAGAAACTCCTTTGTGATGTGTGCGTTCAACTCACAGAGTTTAACCTTTCTTTTCATAGAGCAGTTAGGAAACACTCTGTTTGTAAACTCTGCAAGTGGATATTCAGACCTCCCTGAGGCCTTCGTCGGAAATGGGATTTCTTCATATTCTGCTAGACAGAAGAATTCCCAGTAACTTCCTTGTGTTGTGTGTATTCAACTCACAGAGTTGAACTTTCATTTACACAGAGCAAATTTGAAACACTCTTTTTGTGGAATTTGCAAGTGGAGATTTCAAGCGCTTTGAGGCCAAAGGCAGAAAAGGAAATATCTTCGTATAAAAACTAGACAGAATCATTCTCAGAAACTGCTCTGCGATGTGTGCGTTCAACTCTCAGAGTTTAACTTTTCTTTTCATTCAGCAGTTTGGAAACACTCTGTTTGTAAAGTCTGCACGTGGATATTTTGATCACTTAGAGGCCTTCGTTGGAAACGGGTTTCTTTCTTGTAAGGCTAGACAGAAGAATTCCCAGTAACTTCCTTGTGTTGTGTACATTCAACTCACAGGAGTTGAACGTTCCCTTAGACAGAGCAGATTTGAAACACTCTTTTTGTGCAATTGGCAAGTGGAGATTTCAAGCGCTTTATGGTCAATGGCAGAAAAGGAAATATCTTCGTTTCAAAACTAGACAGAATCATTCCCACAAACTGCGTTGTGATGTGTTCGTTCAACTCACAGAGTTTAACCTTTCTTTTCATAGAGCAGTTAGGAAAGAGTCTGTTTGTCAATTCTGTAAGTGGATATTCTGACATCTAGTGGCCTTCGTTGGAAACGGGATTTCTTCATATTCTGCTAGACAGAAGAATTCTCAGTAACTTCCTTGTGTTGTGTGTATTCAACTCACAGAGTTGAACGATCTTTTACAGAGAGCAGACTTGAAACACTCTTTTTGTGGAATTTGCAAGTGGAGATTTCAGCCGCTTTGAAGTCAAAGGTAGAATAGGAAATATCTTCCTATAGAAACTAGACAGAATGATTCTCAGAAACTCCTTTGTGATGTGTGCGTTCAACTCACAGAGTTTAACCTTTCTTTTCATAGAGCAGTTAGGAAACACTCTGTTTGTAAAGTCTGCAAGTGGATATTCAGACCTCATTGAGGCCTTCGTTGGAAACGGGATTTCTACATATTATGCTAGACAGAAGAATTCTCAGTAACTTCCCTGTGTTGTGTGTATTCAACTGACAGAGTTGAACTTTCATTTAGAGAGAGCAGATTTGAAACACTGTTTTTGTGGAATTTGCAAGTGGAGATTTCAAGCGCTTTGGGGCCAAAGGCAGAAAAGGAAATATCTTCGTATAAAAACTAGACAGAATCATTCTCAGAAACTGCTCTGCGATGTGTGCGTTCAACTCTCAGAGTTTAACTTTTCTTTTCATTCAGAAGTTTGGAAACACTCTGTTTGTAAAGTCTGCACGTGGATAACTTGACCACTTAGAGGCCTTCGTTGGAAACGGGTTTTTTTCATGTAAGGCTAGACAGAAGAATTCCCAGTAACTTCCTTGTGTTGTGTGCACTCAACTCACAGAGTTGAACGTTCCCTTAGACAGAGCAGATTTGAAACACTCTATTTGTGCAATTTGCAAGTGGAGATTTCAAGCGCTTTATGGTCAATGGAAGAAAAGGAAATATCTTCGTTTCAAAACTAGACAGATAATCATTCCCACAAACTGCGTTGTGATGTGTTCGTTCAACTCACAGTAGTTTAACCTTTCTTTTCATAGAGCAGTTAGGAAACAGTCTGTTTGAAAATTCTGTAAGTGGATATTCTGACATCTTGTGGCCTTCGTTGGAAACGGGATTTCTTCATATTCTGCTAGACAGAAGAATTCTCTGTAACTGCCTTGTGTTGTGTGTATTCAACTCACAGAGTTGAACGATCCTTTACACAGAGCAGACTTGAAACACTCTTTTTTTGGAATTTGCAAGTGGAGATTTCAGCCGCTTTGAGGTCAATGGTAGAATAGGAAATATCTTCCTATAGAAAGTAGACAGAATGATTCTCAGAAACTCCTTTGTGATGTGTGTGTTCAACTCACAGAGTTTAACCTTTCTTTTCATAGAGCAGTTAGGAAACACTCTGTTTGTAAAGTATGCAAGTGGATATTCAGACCTCTTTGAGGCCTTCGTTGGAAACGGGATTTTTCATATAAGGCTAGACAGAAGAATTCCCAGTAACTTCCTTGTGTTGTGTGTGTTCAACTCACAGAGTTGAACTTTCATTTACACAGAGCAGATTTGAGACACTCTTTTTGTGGAATTTGCTAATGGAGATTTCAAGCGCTTTGAGGCCAAAGGCAGAAAAGGAAATATCTTCGTATAAAAACTAGACAGAATCATTCTCAGAAACTGCTCTGCGATGTGTGCGTTCAACTCTCAGAGTTTAACTTTTCTTTTCCTTCAGCAGTTTGGAAACACTCTGTTTGTAAAGTCTGCACGTGGATATTTTGACCACTTAGAGGCCTTCGTTGGAAACGGGTTTTTTTCCTGTAAGGCTAGACAGAAGAATTCCCAGTAACTTCCTTGTGTTGTGTGCATTCCACTCACAGAGTTGAACGTTCCCTTAGACAGAGCAGATTTGAAACACTCTATTTGTGCAATTTGCAAGTGTAGATTTCAAGCGCTTTAAGGTCAATGGCAGAAAAGGAAATATCTTCGTTTCAAAACTAGACAGAATTATTCCCACAAACTGCGTTGTGATGTGTTCGTTCAACTCACAGAGTTTAACCTTTCTTTTCATAGAGCAGTTAGGAAACAGTCTGTTTGTAAATTCTGTAAGTGGATATTCTGACATCTTGTGGCCTTCGTTGGAAACGGGATTTCTTCATATTCTGCTAGACAGAAGAATTCTCAGTAACTTCCTTGTGTTGTGTGTATTCAACTCACAGAGTTGAACGATCCTTTACACAGAGCAGACTTGAAACACTCTTTTTCTGGAATTTGCAAGTGGAGATTTCAGCCGCTTTGAGGTCAATGGTAGAAAAGGAAACTATCTTCTTATAAAGACTAGACAGAATGATTCTCAGAAACTCCTTTGTGATGTGTGCGTTCAACTAACAGAGTTTAACCTTTCTTTTCATAGAGCAGTTAGGAAACACTCTGTTTGTAAAGTCTGCAAGTGGATATTCAGACCTCTTTGAGGCCTTCGTTGGAAACGGGATTTCTTCATATTCTGCTAGACAGAAGAATTCTCAGTAACTTCCTTGTGTTGTGTGTATTCAACTGACAGAGTTGAACTTTCATTTATGGAGAGCAGATTTGAAACACTGGTTTTGTGGAATTTGCCAGTGGAGATTTCAAGCGCTTTGGGGCCAAAGGCAGAAAAGGAAATATCTTCGTATAAAAACTAGACAGAATCATTCTCAGAAACTGCTCTGCGATGTGTGCGTTCAACTCTCAGAGTTTAACTTTTCTTATCATTCAGCAGTTTGGAAACACTCTGTTTGTAAAGTCTGCACGTGGATAATTTGACCACTTAGAGGCCTTCCTTGGAAACGGGTTTTTTTCATGTAAGGCTAGACAGAAGAATTCCCAGTAACTTCCTTGTGTTGTGTGCATTCAACTCACAGAGTTGAACGTTCCCTTAGACAGAGCAGATTTGAAACACTGTATTTGTGCAATTTGCAAGTGTAGATTTCAAGCGCTTTAAGGTCAATGGCAGAAAAGGAAATATCTTCGTTTCAAAACTACACAGAATCATTCCCACAAACTGCGTTGTGATGTGTTCGTTCAACTCACAGA
Source organism: Homo sapiens (assembly GCF_000001405.40). Classification (NCBI taxonomy): domain Eukaryota; kingdom Metazoa; phylum Chordata; class Mammalia; order Primates; family Hominidae; genus Homo; species Homo sapiens. Next base: position 25,701,126 of record NC_000019.10, read on the forward strand.
GTTTAACCTTTCTTTTCATACAGCAGTTAGGAAACAGTCTGTTTGTAAATTCTGTAAGTGGATATTCTGACATCTTGTGGCCTTCGTTGGAAACGGGATTTCTTCATATTCTGCTAGACAGAAGAATTCTCAGTAACTTCCTTGTGTTGTGTGTATTCAACTCACAGAGTTGAACGATCCTTTACACAGAGCAGACTTGAAACACTCGTTTTGTGGAATTTGCAAGTGGAGATTTCAGCCGCGTTGAGGTCAATGGTAGAAAAGGAAATATCTTCGTATAAAAACTAGACAGAATGATTCTCAGAAACTCCTTTCTGATGTGTGCGTTCAACTCGCAGAGTTTAACTTTTCTTTTCATTGAGCAGTTAGGAAACACTCTGTTTGTAAAGTCAGCAAGTGGATATTCAGACCTCTTTGAGGCCTTCGTTGGAAACGGGATTTCTGCATATTATGCTAGACAGAAGGATTCCCAGTAACTTCCTTGTGTTGTGTGTGTTCAACTCACAGAGTTGAACTTTCATTTACACAGAGGAGATTTGAAACACTCTTTTTGTGGAATTTGCAGGTGGAGATTTCAAGCGCTTTGAGGCCAAAGGCAGAAAAGGAAATATCTTCGTATAAAAACTAGACAGAATGATTCTCAGAAACTCCTTTGTGATGTGGGCGTTCAACTCACAGAGTTTAACGTTTCTTTTCATAGAGCCGTTAGGAAACACTCTGTTTGTAAAGTCTGCACGTGGATATTTGGACTTCTTTGAGGCCTTCGTTGGAAACGGGTTTTTTTCATGTAAGGCTAGACGGAAGAATTCCCAGTAACTTCCTTGTGTTGTGTGCATTCAACTCACAGAGCTGAACGTTCCCTTAGACAGAGCAGATTTGAAACACTCTATTTGTGCAATTTGCAAGTGTAGATTTCAAGCGCTTTAAGGTCAACGGCAGAAAAGGAAATATCTTCGTTTCAAAACTAGACAGAATCATTCCCACAAACTGCGTTGTGATGTGTTCTTTCAACTCACAGAGTTTAACCTTTCTGTTCATAGAGCAGTTAGGAAACACTCTGTTTGTAAAGTCTGTAAGTGGATATTCTGACATCTTGTGGCCTTCGTTGGAAACGGGATTTCTTCATATTACTGCTAGACAGAATAATTCTCAGTAATTTCCTTGTGTTGTGTGTATTCAACTCACAGAGTTGAAGGATCCTTTACAGAGAGCAGGCTTGAAACACTCTTTTTGTCGAATTTGCAAGTGGAGATTTCAGCCGCTTTGAGGTCAATGGTAGAATAGGAAATATCTTCTTATAGAAACTAGACAAAATGATTCTCATAAACTCCTTTGTGATGTGTGCGTTCAACTCACAGAGTTTAACCTTTCTTTTCATAGAGCAGTTAGGAAACACTCTGTTTGTAAAGTCTGCAAGTGGATATTCAGACCTACTTGAGGCCTTCGTTGGAAACGGGATTTCTTCATATTCTGCTAGACAGAAGAATTCCCAGTAACTTCCCTTGTGTTGTGTGTGTTCAACTCACAGAGTTGAACTTTCATTTACACAGAGCAGATTTGAAACACTCTTTTTGTGGAATTTGAAAGTGGAGATTTCAAGCGCTTTGAGGCCAAAGGCAGAAAAGGAAATATCTTCGTATAAAAACTAGACAGAATCATTCTCAGAAACTGCTCTGCGATGTGTGCGTTCAGCTCTCAGAGTTTAACTTTTCTTTTCATTCAGCAGTTTGGAAACACTCTGTTTGTAAAGTCTGCACGTGGATATTTTGACCACTTGGAGGCCTTCATTGGAAACGGGTTTTTTTCATGTAAGGCTAGACAGAAGAATTCCCAGTAACTTCCTTGTGTTGTGTACATTCCACTCACAGAGTTGAACGTTCCCTTAGACAGAGCAGATTTGAAACACTCTTTTTGTGCAATTGGCAAGTGGAGATTTCAAGCGCTTTAAGGTCAATGGCAGAAAAGGAAATATCTTCGTTTCAAAACTAGACAGAATCATTCCCACAAACTGCGTTGTGATGTGTTCGTTCAACTCACAGAGTTTAACCTTTCTTTTCATAGAGCAGTTAGGAAACAGTCTGTTTGTAAATTCTGTAAGTGGATATTCTGACATCTTGTGGCCTTCGTTGGAAACGAGATTTCTTCATATTCTGCTAGACAGAAGAATTCTCAGAAACTTCCTTGTGTTGTGTGTTTTCAACTCACAGAGGTGAACGATCCTTTACACAGAGCAGACATGAAACAGTCTTTTTGTGGAATTTGGAAGTGGAGAATTCAGCCGCTTTCAGGTCAATGGTAGAATAGGAAATATCTTCCTATAGAAAATTGACAGAATGATTCTCAGAAACTCCTTTGTGATGTGTGCGTTCAACTCACAGAGTTCAACCTTTCTTTTCATAGAGCAGTTGGGAAACACTCTGTTTGTAAAGTCTGCATGTGGATATTCAGACATCCTTGAGGCTTTCGTTGGAAACGGGATTTCTTCATATTCTGCTAGAAAGAAGAATTCTCAGTAACTTCCTTGTGTTGTGTGTATTCAACTGACAGAGTTGAACTTTCATTTAGAGAGAGCAGATTTGAAACACTGTTTTTGTGGAATTTGCAAGTGGAGATTTTAAGCGCTTTGGGGCCAAAGGCAGAAAAGGAAATATCTTCGTATAAAAACTAGACAGAATCATTCTCAGAAACTGCTCTGCGATGTGTGCGTTCAACTCTCAGAGTTTAACTTTTCTTTTCATTCAGCAGTTTGGAAACACTCTGTATGTAAAGTCTGCACGTGGATATTTTGACCACTTAGAGGCCTTCGTTGGAAACGGGTTTTTTTCCTGTAAGGCTAGACAGAAGAATTCCCAGTAACTTCCTTGTGTTGTGTACATTCAACTCACAGAGTTGAACGTTCCCTTAGACAGAGCAGATTTGAAACACTCTTTTTGTGCAATTGGCAAATGGAGATTTCAAGCGCTTTAAGTTCAAAGGCAGAAAAGGAAATATCTTCGTTTCAAAACTAGACAGAATGATTCTCAGAAACTCCTTTGTGATGTGTGCGTTCAACTCAAAGAGTTTAACCTTTCTTTTCATAGAGCAGTTAGGAAACACTCTGTTTGTAAAGTCTGCAAGTGGATATTCAGACCTCTTTGAGGCCTTCGTTGGAAACGGGATTTCTTCATATTATGCTAGACAGAAGAATTCTCAGTAACTTCCTTGTGTTGTGTGTATTCAACTCACAGAGTTGAACGATCCTTTACACAGAGCAGACTTTAAACACTCTTTTTGTGGAATTTGCAAGTGGAGATTTCAGCCGCTTTGGGGTCAATAGTAGAAAAGGAAATATCTTCGTAGAAAAACTAGACAGAATGATTCTCAGAAAATCCTTTGTGATGTGTGCGTTCAACTCACAGAGTTTAACTTTTCTTTTCATAGAGCAGTTAGGAAACACTCTGTTTGTAAAGTCTTCAAGTGGATATTCAGACCTCTTTGAGGCCTTCGTTGGAAACGGGATTTCTTCATATTATGCTAGACAGAAGAATTCTCAGTAACTTCCTTGCGTTGTGTGTATTCAACTGATAGAGTTGAACTTTCATTTAGACAGAGCAGATTTGAAACACGCTTTTTGTGGAATTTGCAAGTCGAGATTTCAAGCGCTTTGAGGCCAAAGGCAGAAAAGGAAATATCTTCGTATAAAAACTAGACCGAATCATTCTCAGAAACTGCTCTGCGATGTGTGCGTTCAACTCTCAGAGTTTAACTTTGCTTTTCATTCAGCAGTTTGGAAACACTCTGTTTGTAAAGTCTGCACGTGGATATTTTGACCACTTAGAGGCCTTCGTTGGAAACGGGTTTTTTTCCTGTAAGGCTAGACAGAAGAATTCCCAGTAACTTCCTTGTGTTGTGTACATTCAACTCACAGAGTTGAACGATCCCTTAGACAGAGCAGATTTGAAACACTCTTTTTGTGCAATTGGCAAATGGAGATTTCAAGCACTTTAAGGTCAATCGCAGAAAAGGAAATATCTTCGTTTCAAAACTAGACAGAATGATTCTCAGAAACTCCTTTGTGATGTGTGCGTTCAACTCACAGAGTTTAACTTTTCTTTTCATAGAGCAGTTAGGAAACACTCTGTTTGTAAAGTCTGCAAGTGGATATTCAGACGTCTTTGAGGCCTTCGTTGGAAACGGGATTTCTTCATATTCTGCTAGACAGAAGAATTCTCAGTAACTTCCTTGTGTTTTGTGTATTCAACTCACAGAGTTGAACGATCCTTTACACAGAGCAGACTTGAAACACACTTTTTGTGGAATTTGCAAGTGGAGATTTCAGCCGCTTTGAGGTCAATGGTAGAATAGGAAATATCTTCCTATAGAAACTAGACAGAATGATTCTGAGAAACTCCTTTGTGATGTGTGCATTCAACTCACAGAGTTTAACCTTTCTTTTCATAGAGCAGTTAGGAAACACTGTGCTTGTATAGTCTGCAAGTGGATACTCAGACCTCCTTGAGGCCTTCGTTGGAAACGGGATTTCTTCCTATTATGCTAGACAGAAGAATTCTCAGTAACTCCCTTGTGTTGTGTGTATTCAACTGACAGAGTTGAACTTTCATTTAGAGGGAGCAGATTTGAAACACTGTTTTTGTGGAATTTGCAAGTGGAGATTTCAAACGCTTTGGGGCCAAAGGCAGAAAAGGAAATATCTTCGTATAAAAACTAGACAGAATCATTCTCAGAAACTGCTCTGCGATGTGTGCGTTCAACTCTCAGAGTTTAACTTTTCTTTTCATTCAGCAGTTTGGAAACACTCTGTTTGTAAAGTCTGCACGTGCATAATTTGACCACTTAGAGGCCTTCGTTGGAAACGGTTTTTTTTCATGTAAGGCTAGACAGAAGAATTCCCAGTAACTTCCTTGTGTTGTGTGCATTCAACTCACAGAGTTGAACGTTCCCTTAGACAGAGCAGATTTGAAACACTCTATTTGTGCAATTTGCAAGTGTAGATTTCAAGCGCTTAAAGTCAACGGCAGAAAAGGAAATATCTTCGTTTCAAAACTAGACAGAATCATTCCCACAAACTGCGTTGTGATGTGTTCGTTCAACTCACAGAGTTTAACCTTTCTTTTCATAGAGCAGTTAGGAAACACTCTGTTTGTAAAGTCTGCAAGTGGATATTCAGACCTCTTTGAGGCCTTCGTTGGAAACGGGATTTCTTCATATACTGCTGGACAGAGGAATTCTCAGTAACTTCCTTGTGTTGTGTGTATTCAACTCACAGAGTTGAACGATCCTTTACACAGAGCAGACTTGAAACACTCTTTTTGTGGAATTTGCAAGTGGAGATTTCAGCCGCTTTGATGTCAATGGTAGAAAAGGAAATATCTTCGTATAAAGCCGAGACAGAATGATTCTCAGAAACTCCTTTGTGATGTGTGCGTTCAACTCACAGAGTTTAACCTTTCTTTTCATAGAGCAGTTAGTAAACACTCTGTTTATAAAGTCTGCAAGTGGATATTCAGACCCCTTTGAGGCCTTCGTTGGAAACGGGATTTCTTCATATTCTGCTAGACAGAAGAATTCCCAGTAACTTCCTTGTGTTGTGTGTGTTCGACTCACAGAGTTGAACTTTCATTTACACAGAGCAGATTTGAAACACTCTTTTTGTGGAATTTGCAAGTGGAGATTTCAAGCACTTTGAGGCCAAAGGCAGAAAAGGAAATATACTTCGTTTCAAAACTAGACAGAATCATTCTCAGAAACTGCTCTGCGATGTGTGCGTTCAACTCTCAGAGTTTAACTTTTCTTTTCATTCAGCAGTTTGGAAACACTCTGTTTGTAAAGTCTTCACGTGGATAATTTGACCACTTAGAGGCCTTCGTTGGAAACGGGTTTTTTCATGTAAGGCTAGACAGAAGATTTCCCAGTAACTTCCTTGTGTTGTGTACATTCAACTCACAGAGTTGAACGTTCCCTTAGACAGAGCAGATTTGAAACACTCTTTTTGTGCAATTGGCAAATGGAGATTTCAAGCGCTTTAATGTCAATGGCAGAAAAGGAAATATCTTCGTTTCAAAACTAGACAGAATGATTCTCAGAAACTCCTTTGTGATGTGTGCGTTCAACTCACACAGTTTAACCTTTCTGTTCATAGAGCAGTTAGGAAACACTCTGTTTGTAAAGTCTGTAAGTGGATATTCTGACATCTTGTGGCCTTCGTTGGAAACGGGATTTCTTCATATTCTGCTAGACAGAAGAGTTCTCAGTAACTTCCTTGTGTTGTGTGTATTCAACTCACACGGTTGAACGATCCTTTACACAGAGCAGACTTGTAACACTCTTTTTGTGGAATTTGCAAGTGGAGATTTCAGCCGCTTTGAAGTCAAAGTAGAAAAGGAAATATCTTCCTATAAAAACTAGACAGAATGATTCTCAGAAACTCCTTTGTGATGTGTGCGTTCAACTCACAGAGTTTAACCTTTCTTGTCATAGAGCAGTTAGGAAACACTCTGTTTGTAAAGTCTGCAAGTGGATATTCAGACATCTTTGAGGCTTTCGTTGGAAACGGGATTTCTTCATATTCTGCTAGACAGAAGAATTCTCAGTAACTTCCTTGTTTTGTGTGTATTCAACTGACAGAGTTGAACTTTCATTTAGAGAGAGCAGATTTGAAACACGGTTTTTGCGGAATTTGCAAGTGGAGATTTCAAGCGCTTTGGGGCCAAAGGCAGAAAAGGAAATATCTTCGTATAAAAACTAGACAGAATCATTCTCAGAAACTGCTGCGTGGTGTGTGCGTTCAACTCTCAGAGTTTAACTTTTCTTTTCATTCAGCGGTTTGGAAACACTCTGTTTGTAAAGTCTGCACGTGGATATTTTGACCACTTAGAGGCCTTCGTTGGAAACGGGTTTTCTTCATGTAAGGCTAGACAGAAGAATTCCCAGTAACTTCCTTGTGTTGTGTGCATTCAACTCACAGAGTTGAACGTTCCCTTAGACAGAGCAGATTTGAAACACTCTTTTTGTGCAATTGGCAAGTGGAGATTTCAAGCGCTTTAAGGTCAATGGAAGAAAAGGAAATATCTTCGTTTCAAAACTAGACAGAAGAATTCTCAGTAACTTCCTTGTGTTGTGTGTATTCAACTCACAGAGTTGAACGATCCTTTACACAGAACAGACTTGTAACACTCTTTTTGTGGAATTTGCAAGTGGAGATTTCAGCCATTTTGAAGTCAAAGGTAGAAAAGGAAATAACTTCCTATAAAAACTAGACAGAATGATTCTCAGAAACTCCTTTGTGATGTGTGCGTTCAACTCACAGAGTTTAACCTTTGTTTTCATAGAGCAGTTAGGAAACACTCTGCTTGTAAAGTCTGCAAGTGGATATTCAGCCCTCTTTGAGGCCTTCGTTGGAAACGGGTTTTTTTCATATAAGGCTAGACAGAAGAATTCTCAGTAACTTCCTTGTGTTGTGTGTATTCAAGTGACAGAGTTGAACTTTCATTTAGAGAGAGCAGATTTGAAACACTGTTTTTGTGGAATTTGCAATTGGAGATTTCAAGCGCTTTGGGGCCGAAGGCAGAAAAGGAAATATCTTCGTATAAAAACTAGACAGAATCATTCTCAGAAACTGCTCTGCGATGGGTGCGTTCAACTCTCAGAGTTTAACTTTGCTTTTCATTCAGCAGTTTGGAAACACTCTGTTTGTAAAGTCTGCACGTGGATAATTTGACCACTTAGAGGCCTTCGTTGGAAACGGGTTTTTTTCATGTAAGGCTAGACAGAAGAATTCCCAGTAACTTCCTTGTGTTCTGTACATTCAACTCACAGAGTTGAACGTTCCCTTAGACAGAGCAGATTTGAAACACTCTTTTTGTGCAATTGGCAAGTGGAGATTTCAAGCGCTTTAAGGTCAATGGCAGAAAAGGAAATATCTTCGTTTCAAAACTAGACAGAATGATTCTCAGAAACTCCTTTGTGATGTGTGCGTTCAACTCACAGAGTTTAACCTTTCTGTTCATAGAGCAGTTAGGAAACACTCTGTTTGTAAAGTCTGCAAGTGGATATTCAGACCTCCTTGAGGCCTTCGTTGGAAACGGGATTTCTTTATATTCTGCTAGACAGAAGAATTCTCAGTAACTTCCTTGTGTTGTGTGTATTCAACACACAGAGTTGAACGATCCTTTACACAGAGCAGACTTGAAACACTCTTTTTGTGGAATTTGCAAGTGGAGATTTCAGCCTCTTTGAGGTCAATGGTAGAATAGGAAATATCTTCCTATAGAAACTAGACAGAATGATTCTGAGAAACTCCTTTGTGATGTGTGCGTTCAACTCACAGAGTTTAACCTTTCTTTTCATAGAGCAGTTTGGAAACACTCCGTTTGTAAACTCTGCAAGTGGATATTCAGACCTCCTTGAGACCTTCCTTGGAAACGGGATTTCTTCATATTATGCTAGACAGAAGAATTCTCAGTAACTTCCTAGTGTTGTGTGTATTCAACTGACAGAGTTGAACTTTCATTTAGAGAGAGCAGATTTGAAACACTGTTTTTGTGGAATTTGCAAGTGGAGATTTCAAGCGGTTTGGGGCCAAAGGCAGAAAAGGAAATATCTTCGTATAAAAACTAGACAGAATCATTCTCAGAAACTGCTGCGTGATGTGTGCGTTCAACTCTCAGAGTTTAACTTTTCTTTTCATTCAGCAGTTTGGAAACACTCTGTTTGTAAAGTCTGCACGTGGAAATTTTGACCACTTAGAGGCCTTCGTTGGAAACGGGTTTTTTTCATGTAAGGCTAGACAGAAGAATTCCCAGTAACTTCCCTTGTGTTGTGTGCATTCAACTCACAGAGTTGAACGTTCCCTTAGACAGAGCAGATTTGAAACACTCTATTTGTGCAATTTGCAAGTGTAGTTTTCAAGCTCTTTTAGGTCAACGGCAGAAAAGGAAATATCTTGGTTTCAAAACTAGACAGAATCATTCCCACAAACTGCGTTGTGATGTGTTCGTTCAACTCACAGAGTTTAACCTTTCTGTTCATAGAGCAGTTAGGAAACACTCTATTTGTAAAGTCTGCAAGTGGATATTCAGACCTCCTTGAGGCCTTCGTTGGAAACGGGATTTCTTCATATTCTGCTAGACAGAAGAATTCTCAGAATCTTCCTTGTGTTGTGTGTATTCAACTCACCGAGTTGAACGATCCTTTACACAGAGCAGACTTGAAACACTCTTTTTGTGGAATTTGCAAGTGGAGATTTCAGCCGCTTTGAGGTCCATGTTAGAAAAGGAAATATCTTCGTACAAAAATTGACAGAATGATTCTCAGAAACTTCTTTGTGATGTGTGCCTTCAACTCACAGAGTTTAACCTTTCTTTTCATAGAGCAGTTAGGAAACACTCTGTTTGTAAAGTCTGCAAGTGGATATTCAGACCTCTTTGAGGCCTTCGTTGGAAACGGGTTTTTTTCATATAAGGCTAGACAGAAGAATTCCCAGTAACTTCCTTGTGTTGTGTGTGTTCAACTCACAGAGTTGAACTTTCATTTACACAGAGCAGATTGGAAACACTCTTTTTGTGGAATTTGCAAGTGGAGATTTCAAGCGCTTTGAGGACAAAGGCAGAAAAGGAAATATCTTCGTATAAAAATTAGACAGAATCATTCTCAGAAACTGCTCTGCGATGTGTGCGTTCAACTCTCAGAGTTTAACTTTTCTTTTCATTCAGCAGTTTGGAAACACTCTGTTTGTAAAGTCTGCACGTGGATATTTTGACCACTTAGAGGCCTCCGTTGGAAACGGGTTTCTTTCCTGTAAGGCTAGACAGAAGAATTCCCAGTAACTTCCTTGTGTTGTGTGCATTCAACTCACAGAGTTGAACGTTCCCTTAGACAGAGCCGATTTGAAACACTCTATTTGTGCAATTGGCAAGTGTAGATTTCAAGCGCTTTAAGGTCAACGGCAGAAAAGGAAATATCTTCGTTTCAAAACTAGACAGAATGATTCTCAGAAACTCCTTTGTGATTTGTGCGTTCAACTCACAGAGTTTAACTTTTCTTTTCATAGAGCAGTTAGGAAACACTCTGTTTGTAAAGTGTGCAAGTGGATATTCAGACCTCTTTGAGGCCTTCGTTGGAAACGGGATTTCTTCATATTATGCTAGACAGAATAATTCTCAGTAACTTCCTTGTGTTGTGTGTATTCAACTCACAGAGTTCAACGATCCTTTACAGAGAGCAGACTTGAAACACTCTTTTTGTGGAATTTGCAAGTGGAGATTTCAGCCGCTTTGAGGTCAATGGTAGAATAGGAAATATCTTCCTATAGAAACTAGACAGAATGATTCTCAGAAACTCCTTTGTGATGTGTGCGTTCAACTCACAGAGTTTAACCATTCTTTTCATAGAGCAGTTAGGAAACACTCTGTTTGTAAAGTCTGCAAATGGATATTCAGACCTCCTTGAGGCCTTCGTTGGAAACGGGATTTCTTCATATTCTGCTAGACAGAAGAATTCTCAGTAACTTCCTTGTGTTGTGTGTATTCAACTCACAGACTTGAATGATCCTTTACACAGAACAGTCTTGAAACACTCTTTTTGTGGAATTTGCAAGTGGAGATTTCAGCCGATTTGAGGTCAATGGTAGAATAGAAAATATCTTCCTATAGAAACTAGACAGAATAATTCTCAGAAACTCCTTTGTGATGTGTGCGTTCAACTCACAGAGTTTAACCTTTCTTTTCATAGAGCAGTTAGGAAACACTCTGTTTGTAAAGTCTGCAAGTGGATATTCAGACCTCTTTGAGGCCTTCGTTGGAAACGGGTTTTTTTCATATAAGGCTGGACAGAAGAATTCTCAGTAACTTCCCTGTGTTGTGTGTTTTCAACTGACAGAGTTGAACTTTCATTTAGAGAGAGCAGATTTGAAAAACTGTTTTTGTGGAATTTGCAAGTGGAGATTTCAAGCGTTTTGGAGCCAAAGGCAGAAAAGGAAATATCTTCGTATAAAAACTAGACAGAATCATTCTCAGAAACTGCTGCGTGATGTGTGCGTTCAACTCTCAGAGTTTAACTTTTCTTTTCATTCAGCGGTTTGGAAACACTCTGTTTGTAAAGTCTGCACGTGGATATTTTGACCACTTAGAGGCCTTCGTTGGAAACGGGTTTTTTCATGTAAGGCTAGACAGAAGAATTCCCAGTAACTTCCTTGTGTTGTGTACATTCCACTCACAGAGTTGAACGTTCCCTTAGACAGAGCAGATTTGAAACACTCTTTTTGTGCAATTGGCAAATGGAGATTTCAAGGGCTTTAAGGTCAATGGCAGAAAAGGAAATATCTTCGTTTCAAAACTAGACAGAATCATTCCCACAAACTGCGTTGTGATGGTTCGTTCAACTCACAGAGTTTAAACTTTCTTTTCATAGAGCAGTTAGGAAACAGTCTGTTTGTCAATTCTGTAAGTGGATATTCTGACATCTTGTGGCCTTCGTTGGAAACGGGATTTCTTCATATTCTCCTAGACAGAAGAATTCTCAGAATCTTCCTTGTGTTGTGTGTATTCAACTCACAGAGTTGAACGATCCTTTACACAGAGCAGACTTGAAACACTCTTTTTGTGGAATTTGCAAGTGGAGATTTCAGCCGCTTTGAGGTCCATGGTAGAAAAGGAAATATCTTTGTATAAAAACTAGACAGAATGATTCTCAGGAACTCCTTTGTGATGTGTGTGTTCAACTCACAGAGTTTAACCTTTCTTTTCATAGAGCAGTTAGTAAACACTCTGTTTATAAAGTCTGTAAGTGGGTATTCAGACCCCTTTGGGGCCTTCGTTGGAAACGGGATTTCTTCATATTATGCTAGACAGAAGAATTCTCAGAAACTTCCTTGTGTTGTGTGTATTCAACTCACAGAGTTGAACGATCGTTTACACAGAGCAGACTTGAAACACTCTTTTTGTGGAATTTGCAAGTGGAGATTTCAGCCGCTTTGAGGTCAATGGTAGAAAAGGAAATATCTTCGTATAAAAACTAGACAGAATGATTCTCAGAAACTCCTTTGTGATGTGTGCGTTCAACTCACAGAGTTCAACCTTTCTTTTCACAGAGCAGTTGGGAAACACTCTGTTTGTAAAGTCTGCAAGTGGATATTCAGACTTCTTTGAGGCCTTCGTTGGAAGCGGGATTTCTTCATGTTCTGCTAGACAGAAGAATTCTCAGTAACTTCCTTGTGTTGTGTGTATTCAACTGACAGAGTTGAACTTTCATTTAGAGAGAGCAGATTTGAAACACAGTTTTTGTGGAATTTGCAAGTGGAGATTTCAAGCGCTATGGGGCCAAAGGCAGAAAAGGAAATATCTTCGTATAAAAACTAGACAGAATCATTCTCAGAAACTGCTGCGTGATGTGTGCGTTCAACTCTCAGAGTTTAACTTTTCTTTTCATTCAGCGGTTTGGAAACACTCTGTTTGTAAAGTCTGCACGTGGATATTTTGACCACTTAGAGGCCTTCGTTGGAAACGGGTTTCTTTCATGTAAGGCTAGACAGAAGAATTCCCAGTAACTTCCTTGTGTTGTGTGCATTCAACTCACAGAGTTGAACGTTCCCTTAGACAGAGCAGATTTGAAACACTCTATTTGTGCAATTTGCAAGTGTAGATTTCAAGCGCTTTAAGGTCAACGGCAGAAAAGAAAATATCTTCGTTTCAAAACTAGACAGAATCATTCCCACAAACTGCGTTGTGATGTGTTCGTTCAACTCACAGAGTTTAACCTTTCTTTTCATAGAGCAGTTAGGAAACAGTCTGTTTGTCAATTCTGTAAGTGGATATTCTGACATGCTTGTGGCCTTCGTTGGAAACGGGATTTCTTCATATTCTGCTAGACAGAAGAATTCTCAGTAACTTCCTTGTGTTGTGTGTATTCAACTCACAGAGTTGAACGATCCTTTACACAGAGCAGACTTGAAACACTCTTTCTGTGGAATTTGCAAGTGGAGATTTCAGCCGCTTTGAGGTCAATGGTAGAAAAGGAAATATCTTCGTATAAAGACTAGACAGAATGATTCTCAGAAACTTCTTTGTGATGTGTGCGTTCAACTCACAGAGTTTAGCCTTTCTTTTCATAGAGCAGTTAGGAAACACTCTGTTTGTAAACTCTGCAAGTGGATATTCAGACCTCTTTGAGGCCTTCGTTGGAAACTGGGATTTCTTCATACTATGCTAGACAGAAGAATTCCCAGTAACTTCCATGTGTTGTTTGTGTTCAACTCACAGAGTTGAACTTTCATTTACACAGAGCAGATTTGAAACACTCTTTTTGTGGAATTTGCAAATGGAGATTTCAAGCGCTTTGAGGCCAGAGGCAGAAAAGGAAATATCTTCGTATAAAAACTAGACAGAAATCATTCTCAGAAACTGCTGCGTGATGTGTGCGTTCAACTCTCAGAGTTTAACTTTTCTTTTCATTCAGCGGTTTGGAAACACTCTGTTTGTAAAGTCTGCACGTGGATATTTTGACCACTTAGAGGCCTTCGTTGGAAACGGGTTTTTTTCATGTAAGGCTCGACAGAAGAATTCCCAGTAACTTCTTTGTGTTGTGTGCATTCAACTCACAGAGTTGAACGTTCCTTTAGAAAGAGCAGATTTGAAACACTCTTTTTGTGCAATTTGCAAGTGGAGATTTCAAGCGCTTTAGGGTCAATGGCAGAAAAGGAAATATCTTCGTTTCAAAACTAGACAGAATCATTCACACAAACTGCGTTGTGATGTGTGCGTTAAACTCACAGAGTTTAACCTTTCTTTTCATAGAGCCGTCTGTAAGCGCTCTGTTTGTCAAGTCTGCAAGTGGATATTCTGACCTTTTTGTGGACTTCGTTGGAAACGGGATTTCTTCCTATAATACTAGACAGAAGAATTCTCAGTAACTTCCTTGTGTTGTGTGTATTCAACTCACGGAGTTGAACGATCCTTTACACAGAGCAGACTTGAAACACTCTTTTTGTGGAATTTGCAAGTGGAGATTTCAGCCGCTTTGGGGTCAATGGTAGAAAAGGAAATATCTTCGTATAAAGACTAGACAGAATGATTCTCAGAAACTCCTTTGTGATGTGTGCGTTCAACTCACAGAGTTCAACCTTTCTTTTCATAGAGCAGTTAGGAAACACTCTGTTTGTAAAGTCTGCAAGTGGATATTCAGACATCCTTGAGGCTTTCGTTGGAAACGGGATTTCTTCATATTCTGCTAGAAAGAAGAATTCTCAGTAACTTCCTTGTGTTGTGTGTATTCAACTGACAGAGTTGAACTTTCATTTAGAGAGAGCAGATTTGAAACACTGTTTTTGTGGAATTTGCAAGTGGAGATTTCAAGCGCTTTGGGGCCAAAGGCAGAAAAGGAAATATGCTTCGTATAAAAACTAGACAGAATCATTCTCTGAAACTGCTCTGTGATGTGTGCGTTCAACTCTCAGAGTTTAACTTTTCTTTTCATTCAGCAGTTTGGAAACACTCTGTTTGTAAAGTCTGCACGTGGATATTTTGACTACTTAGAGGCCTTCGTTGGAAACGGGTTTTTTTCATGTAAGGCTAGACAGAAGAATTCCCAGTAACTTCCTTGTGTTGTGTGCATTCAACTCACAGAGATGAACGTTCCCTTAGACAGAGCAGATTTGAAACACTCTATTTGTGCAATTTGCAAGTGTAGATTTCAAGCGCTTTAAGGTCAATGGCAGAAAAGGAAATATCTTCGTTTCAAAACTAGACAGAATCATTCCCACAAACTGCGTTGTGATGTGTTCGTTCAACTCACAGAGTTTAACCTTTCTTTTCATAGAGCAGTTAGGAAACACTCTGTTGGTAAATTCTGTAAGTGGATATTCTGACATCTTGTGGCCTTCGTTGGAAACGGGATTTCTTCATATTCTGCTAGACAGAAGAATTCTCAGAATCTTCCTTGTGTTGTGTGTATTCAACTCACAGAGTTGAACGATCCTTTACACAGAGCAGACTTGAAACACTCTTTTTGTGGAATTTGCAAGTTGAGATTTCAGCCGCTTTGAGGTCCATGGTAGAAAAGGAAATATCTTCGTATAAAACTAGACAGAATGATTCTCAGAAACTCCTTTGTGATGTGTGTGTTCAACTCACAAAGTTTAACCTTTCTTTTCATAGAGCAGTTAGTAAACACTCTGTTTATAAAGTCTGCAAGTGGATATTCAGACCCCTTTGAGACCTTCGTTGGAAACGGGATTTCTTCATATTATGCTAGACAGAAGAATTCTCAGTAACTTCCTTGTGTTGTGTGTTTTCAACTGACAGAGTTGAACATTCATTTAGAGAGAGCAGATTTGTAACACTGTTTTTGTGGAATTTGCAAGTGGAGATTTCAAGTGCTTTGGGGCCAAAGGCAGAAAAGGAAATATCTTCGTATAAAAACTAGACAGAATCATTCTCAGAAACTGCTGCATGATGTGTGCGTTCAACTCTCAGAGTTTAACTTTTCTTTTCATTCAGCGGTTTGGAAACACTCTGTTTGTAAAGTCTGCACGTGGATATTTTGACCACTTAGAGGCCTTCCTTGGAAACGGGTTTTTTTTCATGTAAGGCTAGACAGAAGAATTCTCAGTAACTTCATTGTGTTGTGTGTATTCAACTCACAGATTTCAACGATCCTTTACACAGAGCAGACTTGAAACACTCTTTTTCTGGTATTTGCAAGTGGAGATTTCAGCCGCTTTGAGGTCAATGGTAGAATAGGAAATATCTTCCTATAGAAACTAGACAGAATGATTCTCAGAAACTCCTTTGTGATGTGTGCGTTCAACTCACAGAGTTCAACCTTTCTTTTCATAGAGCAGTTGGGAAACACTCTGTTTGTAAAGTCTGCAAGTGGATATTCAGACTTCTTTGAGGCCTTCGTTGGAAGCGGGTTTTCTTCATATTCTGCTTGACAGAAGAATTCTCAGTAACTTCCTTGTGTTGTGTGTATTCAACTCACAGAGTTGAACGATCCTTTACACAGAGCAGACTTGAAACACTCTTTTTGTGGAATTTGAAAGTGGAGATTTCAGCCGCTTTGAGGTCAATGGTAGAATAGGAAATATCTTCCTATAGAAACTAGACAGAATGATTCTCAGAAACTTCTTTGTGATGTGTGCGTTCAACTCACGGAGTTTAACCTTTCTTTTCATAGAGCAGTTAGGAAACACTCTGTTTGTAAACTCTGCAAGTGGATATTCAGACCTCTTTGAGGCCTTCGTTGGAAACGGGATTTCTTCATACTATGCTAGACAGAAGAATTCCCAGTAACTTCCTTGTGTTGTGTGTGTTCAACTCACAGAGTTGAACTTTCATTTACACAGAGCAGATTTGAAACACTCTTTTTGTGGAATTTGCAAATGGAGATTTCAAGCGCTTTGAGGCCAAAGACAGAAAAGGAAATATCTTCGTATAAAAACTAGACAGAATCATTCTCAGAAACTGCTCTGCGATGTGTGCGTTCAACTCTCAGAGTTTAACTTTTCTTTTCATTCAGCAGTGTGGAAACACTCTGTTTGTAAACTCTGCACGTGGATATTTTGACCACTTAGAGGCCTTCGTTGGAAACGGGTTTTTTTCCTGTAAGGCTAGACAGAAGAATTCCCAGTAACTTCCTTGTGTTGTGTGCATTCAACTCACAGAGTTGAACGTTCCTTAGACAGAGCAGATTTGAAACACTCTATTTGTGCAATTTGCAAGTGTAGATTTCAAGCGCTTTAAGGTCAATGGCAGAAAAGGAAATATCTTCGTTTCAAAACTAGACAGAATCATTCCCACAAACTGCGTTGTGATGTGTTCGTTCAACTCACAGAGTTTACCCTTTCTTTTCTTAGAGCAGTTAGGAAACAGTCTGTTTGTAAATTCTGTAAGTGGTTATTCTGACATCTTGTGGCCTTCGTTGGAAACGGGATTTCTTCATATTCTGCTAGACAGAAGAATTCTCAGTAACTTCCTTGTGTTGTGTGTATTCAACTCACAGAGTTCACCGATCCTTTACACAGAGCAGACTTGTAACACTCTTTTTGTGGAATTTGCAAGTGGAGATTTCAGCCGCTTTGAAGTCAAAGGTAGAAAAGGGAATATCTTCCTATAAAAACTAGACAGAATGATTCTCAGAAACTCCTTTGTGATGTGTGCGTTCAACACACAGAGTTTAACTTTTCTTTTCATAGAGCGGTTAGGAAACACTCTGTTTGTAAAGTCTGCAAGTGGATATTCAGACCTCTTTGAGGCCTTCGTTGGAAACGGGATTTCTTCATATTCTGCTAGACAGAAGAATTCCCAGTAACTTCCTTGTGTTGTGTGTGTTCAACTCACAGAGTTGAACTTTCATTTACACAGAGCAGATTTGAAACACTCTTTTTGTGGAATATGCAAGTGGAGATTTCAAGCGCTTTGAGGCCAAAGGCAGAAAAGGAAATATCTTCGTATAAAAACTAGACAGAATCATTCTCAGAGACTGCTCTGTGATGTGTGCGTTCAACTCTCAGAGTTTAACTTTTCTTTTCATTCAGCAGTTTGGAAACACTCTGTTTGTAAAGTCTGCACGTGGATAATTTGACCACTTAGAGGCCTTCGTTGGAAACGGGTTTTTTTCATGTAAGGCTAGACAGAAGAATTCCCAGTAACTTCCTTGTGTTGTGTACATTCAACTCACAGAGTTGAACGTTCCCTTAGACAGAGCAGATTTGAAACACTCTTTTTGTGCAATTGGCAAATGGAGATTTCAAGCGCTTTAAGTTCAATGGCAGAAAAGGAAATATCTTCGTTTCAAAACTAGACAGAATGATTCTCAGAAACTCCTTTGTGATGTGTGCGTTCATCTCACAGAGTTTAACCTTTCTTTTCGTAGAGCAGTTAGGAAACAGTCTGTTTGTAAATTCTGTAAGTGGATATTCTGACATCTTGTGGCCTTCGTTGGAAACGGGATTTCTTCATATTCTGCTAGACAGAAGAATTCTCAGTAACTTCCTTGTGTTGTGTGTATTCAACTCACAGAGTTGAACGAACCTTTACACAGAGCAGACTTGTAACACTCTTTTTGTGGAATTTGCAATTGGAATTTTCAGCCGCTTTGAAGTCAAAGGTAGAAAAGGAAATATCTTCCTATAAAAACTAGACAGAAATGATTCTCAGAAACTCCTTTGTGATGTGTGCGTTCAACTCACAGAGTTTAACCTTTCTTTTCATAGAGCAGTTAGGAAACACTCTGTTTGTAAAGTCTGCAAGTGGATATTCAGACCTCTTTGAGGCCTTCGTTGGAAACGGGTTTTTTTCATATAAGGCTAGACAGAAGAATTCTCAGTAACTTCCTTGTGTTGTGTGTATTCAACTGACAGAGTTGAACTTTCATTTAGAGAGAGCAGATTTGAAACACTGTTTTTGTGGAATTTGCAAGTGGAGATTTCAAGCGCTTTTGGGCCAAAGGCAGAAAAGGAAATATCTTCGTATAAAAACTAGACAGAATCATTCTCAGAAACTGCTCTGCGATGTGTGCGTTCAACTCTCAGAGTTTAACTTTTCTTTTCATTCAGCAGTTTGGAAACACTCTGTTTGTAAAGTCTGCACGTGGATAACTTGACCACTTAGAGGCCTTCGTTGGAAACGGGTTTTTTTCTTGTAAGGCTAGACAGAAGAATTCCCAGGAACTTCCTTGTGTTGTGTACATTCAACTCACAGAGTTGAACGTTCCCTTAGACAGAGCAGATTTGAAACACTCTTTTTGTGCAATTGGCAAGTGGTGATTTCAGCCGCTTTGAGGTCAATGGTAGAAAAGGAAATATCTTCGTATAAAAACTAGACAGAATCATTCCCACAAACTGCGTTGTGATGTGTTCAGTTCAACTCACAGAGTTTAACCTTTCTGTTCATAGAGCAGTTAGGAAACACTCTGTTTGTAAAGTCTGTAAGTGGATATTCTGACATCTTGTGGCCTTCGTTGGAAACGGGATTTCTTCATATTCTGCTAGACAGAAGAATTCTCAGTAACTTCCTTGTGTTGTGTGTATTGAACTCGCAGAGTTGAACGATCCTTTACACAGAGCAGACTTGAAACACTCTTTTTGTGGAATTTGCAAGTGGAGATTTCAGCCACTTTGAGGTCAATAGTAGAAAAGGAAATATCTTCGTAGAAAAACTAGACAGAATGATTCTCAGAAAATCTTTTGTGATGTGTGCGTTCAACTCACAGAGTTTAACTTTTCTTCTCATAGAGCAGTTAGGAAACACTCTGTTTGTAAAGTCTGCAAGTGGATAGTGGATATTCAGACCTCTTTGAGGTCTTCGTTGGAAACGGGATTTCTTCATATTATGCTAGACAGAAGAATTCCCAGTAACTTCCTTGTGTTGTGGGTGTTCGACTCACAGAGTTGAACTTTCATTTACACAGAGCAGATTTGAAACACTCTTTCTGTGGAATTTGCAAGTGGAGATTTCAAGCGCTTTGAGGCCAAAGGCAGAAAAGGAAATATCTTCGTTTCAAAACTAGACAGAATCATTCTCAGAAACTGCTCTGCGATGTGTGCGTTCAACTCTCAGACTTTAACTTTTCTTTTCATTCAGCAATTTGGAAACACTCTGTTTGTAAAGTCTGCACGTGGATATTTTGACCACTTAGAGGCCTTCGTTGGAAACGGGTTTTTTTCCTGTAAGGCTAGACAGAAGCATTCCCAGTAACTTCCTTGTGTTGTGTGCATTCAACTCACAGAGATGAACGTTCCCTTAGACAGAGCAGATTTGAGACACTCTATTTGTGCAATTTGCAAGTGTAGATTTCAAGCGCTTTAAGGTCAATGGCAGAAAAGGAAATATCTTCGTTTCAAAACTAGACAGAATCATTCCCACAAACTGCGTAGTGATGTGTTCGTTCAACTTACAGAGTTTAACCTTTCTGTTCATAGAGCAGTTAGGAAACACTCTGTTTGTAAAGTCCGTAAGTGGATATTCTGACATCTTGTGGCCTTGTTTGGAAACCGGACTTCTTCATATACTGCTAGACAGAAGAATTCTCAGTAACTTCCTTGTGTTGTGTGTATTCAACTCACAGAGTTGAACGATCCTTTACACAGAGCAGACTTGAAACACTCTTTTTGTGGAATTTGCAAGTGGAGATTTCAGCCGCTTTGAGGTCAATGGTAGAAAAGGAAATATCTTCGTAGAAAAACTAGACAGAACGATTCTCAGAAACTCCTTTGTGATGTGTGCGTTCAACTCACAGAGTTTAACTTTTCTTTTAATATAGCAGTTAGGAAACACTCTGTTTGTAAAGTCTGCAAGTGGATATTCAGACCTCTTTGAGGCCTTCGTTGGAAACGGGATTTCTTCATATTCTGTTAGACAGAAGAATTCTCAGTAACTTCCCTTGTGTTTTGTGTATTCAACTCACAGAGTTGAACGATCCTTTACACAGAGCAGACTTGAAACACTCTTTTTGTGGAATTTGCAAGTGGAGATTTCAGCCGCTTTCAGGTCAATAGTAGAAAAGGAAATATCTTCGTAGAAAAACTAGACAGAATGATTCTCAGAAACTCCTTTGTGATGTGTGCGTTCAACTCACAGAGTTTAACCTTTCTTCTCATAGAGCAGTTAGGAAACACTCTGTTTGTAAAGTCTGCAAGTGGATATTCAGACATCTTTGAGGCCTTCGTTGGAAACGGGATTTCTTCATGTTCTGCTAGACAGAAGAATTCTCAGTAACTTCCTTGTGTTGTGTGTATTCAACTGACAGAGTTGAACTTTCATTTAGAGAGAGCAGATTTGAAACTCTGTTTTTGTGGAATTTGCAAGTGGAGATTTCAAGCGCTTTGGGGCCAAAGGCAGAAAAGGAAATATCTTCGTACAAAAACTAGACAGAATCATTATCAGAAACTGCTGCGTGATGTGTGCGTTCAACTCTCAGAGTTTAACTTTTCTTTTCATTCAGCGGTTTGGAAACACTCTGTTTGTAAAGTCTGCACGTGGAAATTTTGACCACTTAGAGGCCTTCGTTGGAAACGGGTTTTTTTCATGTAAGGCTAGACAGAAGAATTCCCAGTAACTTCCTTGCGTTGTGTACATTCAACTCACAGAGTTGAACGTTCCCTTAGACAGAGCAGATTTGAAACACTCTTTTTGTTCAATTGGCAAGTGGAGATTTCAAGCGCTTTAAGGTCAATGGCAGAAAAGGAAATATCTTCGTTTCAAAACTAGACAGAATCATTCCCACAAACTGCGTTGTGATGTGTTCGTTCATCTCACAGAGTTTAACCTTTCTTTTCATAGAGCAGTTAGGAAACAGTCTGTTTGTAAATTCTGTAAGTGGATATTCCGACATCTTGTGGCCTTCGTTGGAAACGGGATTTCTTCATATTCTGCTAGACAGAAGAATTCTCAGTAACTTCCTTGTGTTGTGTGTATTCAACTCACAGAGTTGAACGATCCTTTACACAGAGCAGACTTGAAACACTCTTTGTGTGGAATTTGCAAGTGGAGATTTCAGCCGCTTTGAGGTCAATAGTAGAAAAGGAAATATCTTCGTAGAAAAACTAGACAGAATGATTCTCAGAAACTCCTTTGAGATGTGTGTGTTCAACTCACAGAGTTTAACCTTTCTTTTCATAGAGCAGTTAGGAATCACTCTGTTTTTAAAGTCTGCAAGTGGATATTCAGACCTCTTTGAGGCCTTCGTTGGAAAAGGGTTTTTTTCATATAAGGCTAGAGAGAAGAATTCCCAGTACCTTCCTTGTGTTGTGTGTGTTCAACTCACAGATTTGAACTTTCATTTACACAGAGCAGATTTGAAACACTCTTTTTGTGGAATTTGCAAATGGAGATTTCAAGCGCTTTGAGGCCAAAGGCAGAAAAGGAAATATCTTCGTATAAAAACTAGACAGAATCATTCTCAGAAACTGCTGTGTGATGTGTGCGTTCAACTCTCAGAGTTTAACTTTTCTTTTCATTCAGCGGTTTGGAAACACTCTGTTTGTAAAGTCTGCACGTGGATATTTTGACCACTTAGAGGCCTTCGTTGGAAACGGGATTTTTTCATGTAAGGCTAGACAGAAGAATTCCCAGTAACTTCCTTGTGTTGTGTACATTCAACTCACAGAGTTGAACGTTCCCTTAGACAGAGCAGATTTGAAACACTCTTTTTGTGCAATTGGCAAGTGGAGATTTCAGCCGCTTTGAAGTCAAATGTAGAAAAGGAAATATCTTCCTATAAAAACTAGACAGAATCATTCCCACAAACTGCGTTGTGATGTGTACGTTCAACTCACAGAGTTTAACCTTTCTGTTCATAGAGCAGTTAGGAAACACTCTGTTTGTAAAGTCTGTAAGTGGATATTCTGACATCTTGTGGCCTTCGTTGGAAACGGGATTTCTTCATATTCTGCTAGACAGAAGAATTCTCAGTAACTTCCTTGTGTTGTGTGTATTCAACTCACAGAGTTGAACGATCCTTTACACAGAGCAGACTTGTAACACTCTTTTTGTGGAATTTGCAAGTGGAGATTTCAGCCGCTTTGAAGTCAAAGGTAGAAAAAAAATATCTTCCTATAAAAACTAGACAGAATGATTCTCAGAAACTCCTTTGTGATGTGTGCCGTTCAACTCACAGAGTTTAACCTTTCTTTTCATAGAGCAGTTAGGAAACACTCTGCTTGTAAAGTCTGCAAGTGGATATTCAGCCCTCTTTGAGGCCTTCGTTGGAAACGGGTTTTTTTCATATAAGGCTAGACAGAAGAATTCTCAGTAACTTCCTTGTGTTGTGTGTATTCAACTGACAGAGTTGAACTTTCATTTAGAGAGAGCAGATTTGAAACACTGTTTTTGTCGAATTTCCAATGGAGATTTCAAGCGCTTTGGGGCCAAAGGCAGAAAAGGAAATATCTTCGTATAAAAACTAGACAGAATCATTCTCAGAAACTGCTCTGTGATGTGTGCGTTCAACTCTCAGAGTTTAACTTTTCTTTTCATTCAGCAGTTTGAAACACTCTGTTTGTAAACTCTGCACGTGGATAATTGGACCACTTAGAGGCCTTCGTTGGAAAAGGGTTTTTTTCCTGTCAGGCTAGACAGAAGAATTCCCAGTAATTTCCTTGTGTTGTGTACATTCAACTCACAGAGTTGAACGTTCCCTTAGACAGAGCAGATTTGAAACACTCTTTTTGTGCAATTGGCAAATGGAGATTTCAAGCGCTTTAAGGTCAATGGCAGAAAAGGAAATATCTTCGTTTCAAAACTAGACAGAATGATTCTCAGAAACTCCTTAGTGATGTGTGCGTTCAACTCACAAAGTTTAACCTTTCTGTTCATAGAGCAGTTAGGAAACACTCTGTTTGTAAAGTCTGCAAGTGGATATTCAGACCTCCTTGAGGCCTTCGTTGGAAACGGGATTTCTTCATATTCTGCTAGACAGAAGAATTCTCAGTAACTTCCTTGTGTTGTGTGTATTCAACTCACAGAGTTGAACGATCCTTTACACAGAGCAGACTTGAAGCACTCTTTTTGTGGAATTTGCAAGTGGAGATTTCAGCCGCTTTGAGGTCAATAGTAGAAAGGAAATATCTTCGTAGAAAAACTAGACAGAATGATTCTCAGAAAATCCTTTGTGATGTGTGCGTTCAACTCACAGAGTTTAACTTTTCTTTTCATAGAGCAGTTAGGAAACACTCTGTTTGTAACGTCTGCAAGTGGATATTCAGACCTCCTTGAGGCCTTCGTTGGAAACGGGATTTCTTCATATTCTGCTAGACAGAAGAATTCTCAGTAACTTCCTTGTGTTGTGTGTATTCAACTGACAGAGTTGAACTTTCATTTAGAGAGAGTAGTTTTGAAACACTTTTTTTTGTGGAATTTGCAAGTGGAGATTTCAAGCGCTTTGGGGCCAAAGGCAGAAAAGGAAATATCTTCGTATAAAAACTAGACAGAATCATTCTCAGAAACTGCTGCGTGATGTGTGCGTTCAACTCACAGAGTTTAACTTTTCTTTTCATTCAGCGGTTTGGAAACACTCTGTTTGTAAAGTCTGCACGTGGAAATTTTGACCACTTAGAGGCCTTCGTTGGAAACGGGTTTTTTTCATGTAAGGCTAGACAGAAGAATTCCCAGTAACTTCCTTGTGTTGTGTGCATTCAACTCACAGAGATGAAAGTTCCCTTCGACAGAGCAGATTTGAAACACTCTATTTGTGCCATTTGCAAGTGTAGATTTCAAGCGCTTTAAGGTCAATGGCAGAAAAGGAAATATCTTCGTTTCAAAACTAGACAGAATCATTCCCACAAACTGCGTTGTGATGTGTTCGTTCAACTCACAGAGTTTAACCTTTCTTTTCATAGAGCAGTTAGGAAACAGTCTGTTTGTCAATTCTGTAAGTGGATATTCTGACATCTTGTGGCTCTTCGTTGGAAACGGGATTTCTTCATATTCTGCTAGACAGAAGAATTCCCAGTAACTTCCTTGTGTTGTGTACATTCAACTCACAGAGTTGAACGTTCCCTTAGACAGAGCAGACTTGTAACACTCTTTTTGTGGAATTTGCAAGTGGAGTTTTCAGCCGCTTTTAAGTCAATGGTAGAAAAGGTAATATCTTCCTATAAAAACTAGACAGAATGATTCTCAGAAACTCCTTTGTGATGTGTGCGTTCAACTCACAGAGTTCAACCTTTCTTTTCATAGAGTAGTTGGAAAACACTCTGTTTGTAAAGTCTGCAAGTGGATATTCAGACTTCTTTGAGGCCTTCGTTGGAAGCGGGATTTCTTCATATTCTGCTAGACAGAAGAATTCTCAGTAACTTCCTTGTGTTGTGTGTATTCAACTGACAGAGTTAAACTTTCATTTAGAGAGAGCAGATTTGAAACACTGTTTTTGTGGAATTTGCAAGTGGAGATTTCAAGCACTTTGGGGCCAAAGGCAGAAAACTAAATATCTTCGTATAAAAACTAGACAGAATCATTCTCAGAAACTGCTGCATGATGTGTGCGTTCAACTCTCAGAGTTTAACTTTTCTTTTCATTCAGCGGTTTGGAAACACTCTGTTTGTAAAGTCTGCACTTGGATATTTTGACCACTTAGAAGCCTTCGTTGGAAACGGGTTTTTTTCATATAAGGCTAGACAGAAGAATTCCCAGTAACTTCCTTGTGTTGTGTGCATTCAACTCACAGAGTTGAACGTTCCCTTAGACAGAGCAGATTTGAAACACTCTATTTGTGCAATTTGCAAGTGTAGATTTCAAGCGCTTTAAGGTCAACGGCAGAAAAAGGAAATATCTTCGTTTCAAAACTAGACAGAATCATTCCCACAAACTGCGTTGTGATGTGTTCGTTCAACTCACAGACTTTAACCTTTCTTTTCATAGAGCAGTTAGGAAACAGTCTGTTTGTCAATTCTGTAAGTGGATATTCTGTCATCTTGTGGCCTTCGTTGGAAACGGGATTTCTTCATATTCTGCTAGACAGAAGAATTCTCAGTAACTTCCTTGTGTTGTGTGTATTCAACTCACAGAGTTGAACGATCCTTTACACAGAGCAGACTTGTAACACTCTTTTTGTGGAATTTGCAAGTGGAGATTTCAGCCGCTTTGAAGTCAAAGGTAGAAAAGGAAATATCTTCTCTATAAAAACTAGACAGAATGATTCTCAGAAACTCCTTTGTGATGTGTGCGTTCAACTCACAGAGTTTAACTTTTCTTTTCATAGAGCAGTTAAGAAACACTCTGTTTGTAATGTCTGCAAGTGGATATTCAGACCTCCTTGAGGCCTTCTTTGGAAACGGGATTTCTTCATATTCTGCTAGACAGAATAATTCTCAGTAACTTCCTTGTGTTGTGTGTATTCAACTGACAGAGTTGAACTTTCATTTAGAGAGAGCAGATTTGAAACACTGTTTTTGTGGAATTTGCAAGTGGAGATTTCAAGCGCTTTGGGGCCAAAGGCAGAAAAGGAAATATCTTCGTATAAAAACTAGACAGAATGATTCTCAGAAACTCCTTTGTGATGTGTGCCTTCAACTCACAGAGTTTAACCTTTCTTTTCATAGAGTAGTTAGGAAACACTCTGTTTGTAAAGTCTGCAAGTGGATATTCAGACCTCTTTGAGGCCTTCGTTGGAAACGGGTTTTTTTCATATAAGGCTAGACAGAAGAATTCTCAGTAACTTCCTTGTGTTGTGTACATTCAACTCACAAGAGTTGAACGTTCCCTTAGACAGAGCAGATTTGAAACACTCTTTTTGTGCAATTGGCAAGTGGTGATTTCAGCCGCTTTGAGGTCAATGGTAGAAAAGGAAATATCTTCGTATAAAAACTAGACAGAATCATCCCCATAAACTGCGTTGTGATGTGTTCGTTCAACTCACAGAGTTTAACCTTTCTTTTCATAGAGCAGTTAGGAAACAGTCTGTTTGTCAATTCTGTAAGTGGATATTCTGACATCTTGTGGCCTTAGTTGGAAACGGGATTTCTTCATATTCTGCTAGACAGAAGAATTCTCAGTAACTTCCTTGTGTTGTGTGTATTCAACTCACAGAGTTGAACGATCCTTTACACAGAGCAGACTTGAAAAACTCTTTTTGTGGAATTTGCAAGTGGAGATTTCAGCCGCTTTGAGTTCAATGGTAGAATAGGAAATATCTTCCTATAGAAACTAGACAGAATGATTCTCAAAAACTCCTTTGTGATGTGTACGTTCAACTCACAGAGTTTAACCTTTCTTTTCATAGAGCAGTTAGGAAACACTCTGTTTGTAAAGTCTGCAAGTGGATATTCAGACCTCTTTGAGGCCTTCGTTGGAAACGGGTTTTTTTCATATAAGGCTAGACAGAAGAATTCTCAGTAACTTCCTTGTGTTGTTTGTATTCAACTCACAGAGTTGAACTTTCATTTACACAGAGCAGATTTGAAACACTCTTTTTGTGGAATTTGCAAATGGAGATTTCAAGCGCTTTGAGGCCAAAGGCAGAAAAGGAAATATCTTCGTATAAAAACTAGACAGAATCATTCTCAGAAACTGCTCTGCGATGTGTGCATTCAACTCTCAGAGTTTAATTTTTCTTTTCATTCAGCAGTTTGGAAACATTCTCTTTGTGAAGTCTGCACGTGGATATTTTGACCACTTAGAGGCCTTCGTTGGAAACGGGTTTTATTCTTGTAAGGCTAGACAGAAGAATTCTCAGTAACTTCCTTGTGTTGTGTGTATTCAACTCACAGAGTGGAACGATCCTTTACACAGAGCAGACTTGAAACACTCTTTTTGTGGAATTTGCAAGTGGAGATTTCTGCCGCTTTGAGGTCAATTGTAGAATAGGAAATATCTTCCTATAGAAACTAGACAGAATGATTCTCAGAAACTCATTTGTGATGTGTGCGTTCAACTCACAGAGTTTAACCTTTCTTTTCATAGAGCAGTTAGGAAACACTCTGTTTGTAAAGTCTGCAAGTGGATATTCAGACCTCTTTGTGGCCTTCGTTGGAAACGGGATTTCTTCATATGATGCTAGACAGAAGAATTCTCAGAATCTTCCTTGTGTGGTGTGTATTCAACTCACAGAGTTGAACGATGGTTTACACAGAGCAGATTTGAAACACTCTTTTTGTGGAATTTGCAAGTGGAGATTTCAGCCGCTTTGAGGTCAATGGTAGAAAAGGAAATATCTTCGTATAAAAACTAGACAGAATGATTCTCAGGAAACTCCTTTGTGATGTGTGTGTTCAACTCACAGAGTTTAACCTTTCTTTTCATAGAGCAGTTAGGAAACACTCTGTTTGTAAAGTCTGCAAGTGGATATTCAGACCTCTTTGAGGCCTTCGTTGGAAACGGGTTTTTTTCATATAAGGCTAGACAGAAGAATTCCCAGTAACTTCCTTGTGTTGTGTGTGTTAAACTCACAGAGTTGAACTTCCATTTACACAGAGCAGATTTGAAACACTCTTTTTGTGGAATTTGCAAGTGGAGATTTCAAGCGCTTTGAGGCCAAAGGCAGAAAAGGAAATATCTTCGTTTCAAAACTAGACAGATAATCATTCTCAGAAACTGCTCTGCGATGTGTGCGTTCAACTCTCAGAGTTTAACTTTTCTTTTCATTCAGCAGTTTGGAAACACTCTGTTTGTAAAGTCTGCAGGTGGATATTTTGACCACTCAGAGGCCTTCGTTGGAAACGGGTTTTTTTCCTGTAAGGCTAGACAGAAGAATTCCCAGTAACTTCCTTGTGTTGTGTGCATTCAAGTCACAGAGTTGAACGTTCCCTTAGACAGAGCAGATTTGAAACACTCTATTTGTGCAATCTCCAAGTGTAGATTTCAAGCGCTTTAAGGTCAACGGCAGAAAAGATAATATCTTCGTTTCAAAACTAGACAGAATCATTCCCACAAACTGCGTTGTGATGTGTTCGTTCAACTCACAGAGTTTAACCTTTCTGTTCATAGTGCAGTTAGGAAACACTCTGTTTGTAAAGTCTGTAAGTGGATATTCTGACATCTTGTGGCCTTCGTTGGAAACGGGATTTCTTCATATTCTGCTAGACAGAAGAATTCTCAGTAACTTCCTTGTGTTGTGTGTATTCAACTCACAGAGTTGAACGATCCTTTACACAGAGCAGACTTGAAACACTCTTTTTGTGGAATTTGCAAGTGGAGATTTCAGCCGCTTTGTGGTCAATGGTAGAAAAGGAAATATCTTCGTATAAAAACTAGACAGAATGATTCTCAGAAACTCCTTTGTGATGTGTGCGTTCAACTCACAGAGTTTAACCTTTCTTTTCATAGAGCAGTTAGGAAACACTCTGTTTGTAAAGTCTGCAAGTGGATATTGAGACCTCCTTGAGGCCTTCGTTGGAAACGGGATTTCTTCATATTATGCTAGACAGAAGAATTCCCAGTAACTTCCTTGTGTTGTGTGTGTTCAACTCACAGAGTTGAACTTTCATTTACACAGAGCAGATTTGAAACACTCTTTTTGTGGAATTTGCAGGTGGAGATTTCAAGCCCTTTGAGGCCAAAGGCAGAAAAGGAAATATCTTCGTATAAAAACTAGACAGAGTCATTCTCAGAAACTGCTGCGTGATGTGTGCGTTCAACTCTCAGAGTTTAACTTTTCTTTTCATTCAGCGGTTTGGAAACACTCTGTTTGTAAAGTCTGCATGTGGAAATTTTGACCATTTAGAGGCCTTCGTTGGAAACGGGTTTTTTTCATGTAAGGCTAGACAGAAGAATTCCCAGTAACTTCCTTGTGTTGTGTACATTCAACTCACAGAGTTGAACGTTCCCTTAGACAGAGCATATTTGAAACACTCTTTTTGTGCAATTGGCAAGTGGAGATTTCAAGCGCTTTAAGGTCAATGGGAGAAAAGGAAATATCTTCGTTTCAAAACTAGACAGAATCATTCCCACAAACTGCGTTGTGATGTGTTCGTTCATCTCACAGAGTTTAACCTTTCTTTTCATAGAGCAGTTAGGAAACAGTCTGTTTGTAAATTCTGTAAGTGGATATTCTGACATCTTGTGGCCTTCGTTGGAAACGGGATTTCTTCATATTCTGCTAGACGGAAGAATTCTCAGTAACTTCCTTGTGTTGTGTGTATTCAACTCACAGAGTTGAACGATCCTTTACACAGAGCAGCCTTGAAACACTCTTTTTGTGGAATTTGCAAGTGGAGATTTCAGCCGCTTTGAGGTCAATGGTAGAATAGGAAATATCTTCCTATAGAAACTAGACAGAATGATTCTCAGAAACTCCTTTGTGATGTGTGTGTCCAACTCACAGAGTTTAACCTTTCTTTTCATAGAGCAGTTAGTAAACACTCTGTTTATAAAGTCTGCAAGTGGATATTCAGACCCCTTTGAGGCCTTCGTTGGAAACGGGATTTCTTCATATTATGCTAGACAGAAGAATTCTCAGTAACTTCCTTGTGTTGTGTGTGTTCAACTCACAGAGTTGAACTTTCATTTACCCAGAGCAGATTTGAAACACTCTTTTTGTGGAATTTGCAAGTGGAGATTTCAAGCGCTTTGAGGCCAAAGGCAGAAAAGGAAATATCTTCGTTTCAAAACTAGACAGAATCATTCTCAGAAACTGCTCGGCGATGTGTGCATTCAACTCTGAGAGTTTAACTTTTCTTTTCATTCAGCAGTTTCGAAACACTCTGTTTGTAAAGTCTGCACGTGGATATTTTGACCACTTAGAGGCCTTCGTTGGAAACGGGTTTTTTTCATGTAAGGCTAGACAGAAGAATTTCCTGTAAGTTCCTTGTGTTGCGTGCATTCAACTCACAGAGTTGAACGTTCCCTTAGACAGAGCAGATTTGAAACACTCTTTTTGTGCAATTGGCAAGTGGAGATTTCAAGCGATTTAAGGTCAATGGCAGAAAACGATATACCTTCATTTCAAAACTAGACAGAAATCATTCCCACAAACTGCGTTGTGATGTGTTCGTTCAACTCACAGAGTTTAACCTTTCTGTTCATAGAGCAGTTAGGAAACACTCTGTTTGTAAAGTCTGTAAGTGGATATTCTGACATCTTGTGGCCTTTGTTGGAAACGGGATTTCTTCATATTCTGCTAGACAGAAGAATTCTCAGTAACTTACTTGTGTTGTGTGTGTTCAACTCACAGAGTTCAACGATCCTTTACACAGAGCAGACTTGAAACACTCTTTTTGTGGAATTTGCAAGTGGAGATTTCAGCCGCTTTGAGGTCAATGGTAGAAAAGGAAATATCTTCGTATAAAAACTAGACAGAATGATTCTCAGAAACTCCTTTGTGATGTGTGCGTTCAACTCACAGAGTTTAACCTTTCTTTTCATAGAGCAGTTGGGAAACACTCTGTTTGTAACGTCTGCAAGTGGATATTCAGACATCCTTGAGGCTTTCGTTGGAAACGGGATTTCTTCATATTCTGCTAGAAAGAAGAATTCCCAGTAACATCCTTGTGTTGTGTGTGTTCAACTCACAAAGTTGAACTTTCATTTACACAGAGCAGATTTGAAACACTCTTTTTGTGGAATTTGCAAATGGAGATTTCAAGCGCTTTGAGGCCAAAGGCAGAAAAGGAAATATCTTCGTATAAAAACTAGACAGAAATCATTCTCAGAAACTGCTCTGCGATGTGTGCGTTCAACTCTCAGGAGTTTAACTTTTCTTTTCATTCAGCAGTTTGGAAACACTCTGTTTGTAAAGTCTGCACGTGGATATTTTGACCACTTAGAGGCCTTCGTTGGAAACGGGTTTTTTTCCTGTAAGGCTAGACAGAATAATTCCCAGTAACTTCCTTGTGTTGTGTACATTCAACTCACAGAGTTGAACGTTCCCTTAGACAGAGCAGATTTGAAACACTCTTTTTGTGAAATTGGCAAGTGGAGATTTCAAGCGCTTTAAGGTCAATGGCAGAAAAGGAAATATCTTCGTTTCAAAACTAGACAGAATGATTCTCAGAAACTCCTTTGTGATGTGTGCGTTCAACTCACAGAGTTTAACCTTTCTGTTCATAGAGCAGTTGGGAAACACTCTGTTTGTAAAGTCTGCAAGTGGATATTCAGACCTCTTTGAGGCCTTCGTTGGAAACGGGATTTCTTCATATTCTGCTAGACAGAAGAATTCTCAGTAACTTCCCTTGTGTTGTGTGTATTCAACTCACAGAGTTGAATGATCCTTTACACAGAACAGACTTGAAACACTCTTTTTGTGGAATTTGCAAGTGGAGATTTCAGCCGCTTTGAGGTCAATGGTAGAATAGGAAATATCTTCCTATAGAAACTAGACAGAATGATTCTCAGAAACTCCTTTGTGATGTGTGCGTTCAACTCACAGAGTTTAACCTTTGTTTTCATAGAGCAGTTAGGAAACACTCTGTTTGTAATGTCTGCAAGTGGATATTCAGACATCTTTGAGGCTTTCGTTGTAAACGGGATTTCTTCATATTCTGCTATACAGAAGAATTCCCAGTAACTTCCCTTGTGTTGTGTGTGTTCAACTCACAGAGTTGAACTTTCATTTACACAGAGCAGATTTGAAACACTCTTTTTGTGGAATTTGCAAGTGGAGATTTCAAGGGCTTTGAGGCCAAAGGCAGAAAAGGAAATGTCTTCGTTTCAAAACTAGACAGAATCATTCTCAGAAACTGCTCTGCGATGTGTGCGTTCAACTCTCAGAGTTTAACTTTTCTTTTCATTCAGCAGTTTGGAAACACTCTGGTTGTAAAGTCTGCACGTGGATATTTTGACCACTTAGAGGCCTTCGTTGGAAACGGGTTTTTTTCCTGTAAGGCTAGACAAAAGAATTCCCAGTAACTTCCTCGTGTTGTGTGCATTCAACTCACAGAGTTGAACGTTCCCTTAGACAGAGCAGATTTGAAACACTCTATTTGTGCAATTGGCAAGTGTAGATTTCAAGCGCTTTAAGGTCAATGGCAGAAAAGGAAATATCTTCGTTTCAAAACTAGACAGAATCATTCCCACAAACTGCGTTGTGATGTGTTCGTTCAACTCACAGAGTTTAACCTTTCCGTTCATAGAGCAGTTAGGAAACACTCTGTTTGTAAAGTCTGAAAGTGGATATTCTGACATCTTGTGGCCTTCGTTGGAAACGGGATTTCTTCATATTCTGCTAGACAGAATAATTCTCAGTAACTTCTTTGTGTTGTGTTTATTCAGCTGACAGAGTTGAACGATCCTTTACAGAGAGCAGACTTGAAACACTCTTTTTGTGGAATTTGCAAGTGGAGATTTCAGCCGCTTTGAGGTCAATGGTAGAATAGGAAATATCTTCCTATAGAAACTAGACAGAATGATTCTCAGAAACTCCTTTGTGATGTGTGCGTTCAACTCACAGAGTTTAACCTTTCTTTTCATAGAGCAGTTAGGAAACACTCTGTTTGTAAAGTCTGCAAGTGGATATTCAGACCTCTTTGAGGCCTTCGTTGGAAAAGGGTTTTTTTCATATAAGGCTAGACAGAAGAATTCTCAGTAACTTCCTTGTGTTGTGTGTATTCAACTGACAGAGTTTAACTTTCATTTAGAGAGAGCAGATTTGAAAACCTGTTTTTGTGGAATTTGCAAGTGGAGATTTCAAGCGCTTTGGGGCCAAAGGCAGAAAAGGAAATATCTTCGTATAAAAACTAAACGGAATTATTCTCAGAAACTCCTTTGTGATGTGTGCGTTCAACTCACAGAATTTAACCTTTCTTTTCATAGAGCAGTTAGGAAACACTCTGTTTGTAAAGACTGCAAGTGGATATTCAGACCTCTTTGAGGCCTTCGTTGGAAACGGGTTTTTTTCCTGTAAGGCTAGACAGAAGAATTCCCAGTAACTTCCTTGTGTTGTGTACATTCAACTCACAGAGTTGAACGTTCCCTTAGACAGAGCAGATTTGAAACACTCTTTTTGTGCAATTGGCAAGTGGAGATTTCAAGCGCTTTAAGGTCAATGGCAGAAAAGGAAATATCTTCGTTTCAAAACAAGACAGAATCATTCCCACAAACTGCGTTGTGATGTGTTCGTTCAACTCACAGAGTTTAACCTTTCTTTTCATAGAGCAGTTAGGAAACAGTCTGTTTGTAAATTTTGTAAGTGGATATTCTGACATCTTGTGGCCTTCGTTGGAAACGGGATTTCTTCATATTCTGCTAGACAGAAGAATTCTCAGTAACTTCCTTGTGTTGTGTGTATTCAACTCACAGAGTTGAAGGATCCTGTACACAGAGCAGTCTTGAAACACTCTTTTTGTGGAATTTGCAAGTGGAGATTTCAGCCGCTTTGAGGTCAATAGTAGAAAAGGAAATATCTTCGTAGAAAAACTACACAGAATGATTCTCAGAAACTCCTTTGTGATGTGTGCGTTCAACTCACAGAGTTTAACCTTTCTTTTCATAGAGCAGTTAGGAAACACTCTGTTTGTAAGGTCTGCAAGTGGATATTCAGACATCTTTGAGGCTTTCGTTGCAAACGGGTTTTCTTCATATTCTGCTACACAGAAGAATTCTCAGAAACTTCCTTGTGTTGTGTGATTTCAACTCACAGAGTTGAACGATGCTTTACACAGAGTAGACTTGAAACACTCTTTTTGTGGAATTTGCAAGTGGAGATTTCAGCCGCTTTGTGGTCAATGGTTGAAAAGGAAATATCTTCGTATAAAAACTAGACAGAATGATTCTCCGAAACTCCTTTGTGATGTGTGCGTACAACTCACAGAGTTTAACCTTTCTTTTCATAGAGCAGTTAGGAAACACTCTGTTTGTAAAGTCTGCAAGTGGATATTCAGACCTCTTTGAGGCCTTCGTTGGAAACGGGATTTCTTCATATTCTGCTAGACAGAAGAATTCCCAGTAACTTGCCTTGTGTTGTGTACATTCAACTCACAGAGTTGAACGTTCCCTTAGACAGAGCAGATTTGAAACACTCTTTTTGTGCAATTGGCAAATGGAGATTTCAAGCGCTTTAAGGTCAATGGCAGAAAAGGAAATTGTTCGTTTCAAAACTAGACAGAATCATTCCCACAAACTGCGTTGTGATGTGTTCGTTCAACTCACAGAGTTTAACATTTCTGTTCATAGAGCAGTTAGGAAACACTCTGTTTGTAAAGTCTGTATGTGGATATTCTGACATCTTGTGGCCTTCGTTGGAAACGGGATTTCTTCATATTCTGCTAGACAGAAGAATTCTCAGTAACATCTTTGTGTTGTGTGTATTCAACTCACAGAGTTGAACGATCCTTTACACAGAGCAGACTTGAAACACTCTTTTTGTGGAATTTGCAAGTGGAGATTTCAGCCGCTTTGAGGTCAATGGTAGAATAGGAAATATCTTCCTATAGAAACTAGACAGAATGATTCTCAGAAACTCCTTTGTGATGTGTGCGTTCAACTCACAGAGTTTAACCTTTCTTTTCATAGAGCAGTTAGGAAACACTCTGTTTCTAAAGTCTGCAAGTGGATATTCAGCCCTCTTTGAGGCCTTCGTTGGAAACGGGTTTTTTTCATATAAGGCTAGAGAGAAGAATTCCCAGTAACTTCCTTGTGTTGTGTGTGTTCAACTCACAGAGTTGAACTTTCATTTACACAGAGCAGATTTGAAACACTCTTTTTGTGGAATTTGCAAGTGGAGATTTCAAGCGCTTTGAGGCCAAAGGCAGAAAAGGAAATATCTTCGTAGAAAAACTAGGCAGAAATCATTCTCAGAAACTGCTCTGCGATGTGTGCGTTCAACTCTCAGGAGTTTAACTTTTCTTTTCATTCAGCAGTTTGGAAACACTCTGTTTGTAAAGTCTGCACGTGGATATTTTGACCACTTAGAGGCCTTCGTTGGAAACGGGTTTTTTTCCTGTAAGGCTAGACAGAAGAATTCCCAGTAACTTCCTTGTGTTGTGTACATTCAACTCACAGAGTTGAACGTTCCCTTAGACAGAGCAGATTTGAAACACTCTTTTTGTGCAATTGGCAAGTGGAGATTTCAAGCGCTTTAAGGTCAATGGCAGAAAAGGAAATATCTTCGTTTCAAAACTAGACAGTATCATTCCCACAAACTGCGTTGTGATGTGTTCGTTCAACTCACAGAGTTTAACCTTTCTGTTCATAGAGCAGTTAGGTAACACTCTGTTTGTAAAGTCTGCCAGTGGATATTCGGACCTCCTTGAGGCCTTCGTTGGAAACGGGATTTCTTCATATTCTGCTAGACAGAAGAGTTCTCAGTAACTTTTTTGTGTTGTGTGTATTCAACTCACAGAGTTGAACCTTGCTTTAGAGAGAGCAGATTTGAAACACTCTTTTTGTGGAATTTGCAAGTGGAGATTTCAGCCGCTTTGAGTTCAATGGTAGAATAGGAAATATCTTCCTATAGAAACTAGACAGAATGATTCTCAGAAACTCCTTTGTGATGTGTGCGTTCAACTCACAGAGTTTAACCTTTCTTTTCATAGAGCAGTTAGGAAACACTCTGTTTGTAAAGTCTGCAAGTGGATATTCAGACCTCTTTGAGGCCTTCGTTGGAAACGGGATTTCTTCATATTCTGCTAGACACAAGAATTCTCAGAAACTTCCTTGTGTTGTGTGTTTTCAACTCACAGAGTTGAACGATCCTTTACACAGAGCAGACTTGAAACACTCTTTTTGTGGAATTTGCAAGTGGAGATTTCAGCCGCTTTGAGGTCAATGGTAGAATAGGAAATATTTTCCTATAGAAACTAGACAGAATGATTCTCAGAAACTCCTTTGTGATGTGTGCGTTCAACTCACAGAGTTTAACCTTTCTTTTCATAGAGCAGTTAGGAAACACTCTGTTTGTAAAGACTGCAAGTGGATATTCAGACCTCCTTGAGGCCTTCGTTGGAAACAGGATTTCTTCATATTATGCTAGACAGAAGAATTCTCAGTAACTTCCTTGTGTTGTGTGTATTCAACTCACAGAGTTGAACAATCCTTTACACAGAGCAGACTTGAAACACTCTTTTTGTGGAATTTGCAAGTGGAGATTTCAGCCGCTTTGAGGTCAATGGTAGAATAGGAAATATCTTCCTATAGAAACTAGACAGAATCATTCTCAGAAACTGCTCTGCGATGTGTGCGTACAACTCTCAGACTTTAACTTTTCTTTTCATTCAGCAGTTTGGAAACACTCTGTTTGTAAAGTCTGCACGTGGATAATTTGACCACTTAGAGGCCTTCGTTGGAAACGGGTTTTTTTCATGTAAGGCTAGACAGAAGAATTCCCAGTAACTTCCTTGTGTTGTGTGCATTCAACTCACAGAGTTGAACGTTTCCTTAGACAGAGCAGAATTGAAACACTCTATTTGTGCAATTTGCAAGTGTAGATTTCAAGCGCTTTAAGGTCAATGGCAGAAAAGGAAATATCTTCGTTTCAAAACTAGACAGAATCATTCCCACAAACTGCGTTGTGATGTGTTCGTTCAACTCACAGAGTTTAACCTTTCTTTTCATAGAGCAGTTAGGAAACAGTCTGTTTGTCAATTCTGTAAGTGGATATTCTGACATCTTGTGGCCTTCGTTGGAAACGGGGTTTCTTCATATTCTCCTAGACAGAAGAATTCTCAGTAACTTCCTTGTGTTGTGTGTATTCAACTCACAGAGTTGAACGATCCTTTACACAGAGCAGATTAGAAACACTTCTTTTGTGGAATTTGCAAGTGGAGATTTCAGCCGCGTTGAGGTCAATGGTAGAAAAGGAAATATCTTCGTATAAAAACTAGACAGAATGATTCTGAGAAACTCCTTTGTGATGTGTGCGTTCAACTCACAGAGTTTAACCTTTCTTTTCATAGAGCAGTTAGGAAACACTCTGTTTGTAAAGTCTGCAAGTGGATATTCAGATCTCCTTGAGGCCTTCTTTGGAAACGGGATTTCTTCATATTATGCTAGACAGAAGAATTCCCAGTAACTTCCTTGTGTTGTGTGTGTAGAACTCACAGAGTTGAACTTTCATTTAGACAGAGCAGATTTGAAACACTCTTTTTGTGGAATTTGCAAATGGAGAATTCATGCACTTTGAGGCCAAAGGCAGAAAAGGAAATATCTTCGTATAAAAACTAGACAGAATCATTCTCAGAAACTGCGGCGTGATGTGTGCGTTCAACTCTCAGAGTTTAACTTTTCTTTTCATTCAGCGGTTTGGAAACACTCTGTTTGTAAAGTCTGCACGTGGATATTTTGACCACTTAGAGGCCTTCGTTGGAAACGGGTTTTTTTCATGTAAGGCTAGACAGAAGAATTCCCAGTAACTTCCTTGTGTTGTGTACATTCAACTCACAGAGTTGAACGTTCCCTTAGACAGAGCAGATTTGAAACACTCTTTTTGTGCAATTTGCAAGTGGTGATTTCAGCCGCTTTGAGGTCAATGGTAGAAAAGGAAATATCTTCGTATAAAAACTAGACAGAATCATTCCCACAAACTGCGTTGTGATGTGTTCGTTCAACTCACAGAGTTTAACCTTTCTTTTCATAGAGCAGTTAGGAAACAGTCTGTTTGTAAATTCTGTAAGTGGATATTCTGACATCTTGTGGCGTTCGTTGGAAACGGGATTTCTTCATATTCTGCTAGACAGAAGAATTCTCAGTAACTTCCTTGTGTTGTGTGTATTCAACTCACAGAGTTGGACGATCCTTTACACAGAGCAGACTTGAAACACTCTTTTTGTGGAATTTGCAAGTGGAGATTTCAGCCGCTTTGAGGTCAATAGTAGAAAAGGAAATATCTTCGTAGAAAAACTAGACAGAATGATTCTCAGAAACTTCTTTGTGATGTGTGTGTTCAACTCACAGAGTTTAACCTTTCTTTTCATAGAGCAGTTAGTAAACACTCTGTTTATAAAGTCTGCAAGTGGATATTCAGACCCCTTTGAGGCCTTCGTTGGAAACGGGATTTCTTCATATTATGCTAGACAGAACAATTCCCAGTAACTTCCTTGGGTTGTGTGTGTTCAACTCACAGAGTTGAACTTTCATTTACACAGAGCAGATTTGAAACACTCTTTTTGTGGAATTTGCAAGTGGAGATTTCAAGCGCTTTGAGGCCAAAGGCAGAAAAGGAAATATCTTCGTATAAAAACTAGACAGAATCATTCTCAGAAACTGCTCTGCGATGTGTGCGTTCAACTCTCAGAGTTTAACTTTTCTTTTCATTCAGCAGTTTGGAAACACTCTGTTTGTAAAGTCTGCACGTGGATAATTTGACAACTTAGAGGCCTTCTTTGGAAACGGGTTTTTTTCATGTAAGGCTAGACAGAAGAATTCCCAGTAACTTCCTTGTGTTGTGTACATTCAACTCACAGAGTTGAACGTTCCCTTAGACAGAGCAGATTTGAAACACTCTTTTTGTGCAATTGGCAAGTGGTGATTTCAGCCGCTTTGAGGTCAATGGTAGAAAAGGAAATATCTTCGTATAAAAACTAGACAGAATGATTCTCAGAAACTTCTTTGTGATGTGTGCGTTCAACTCACAGAGTTTAACCTTTCTTTTCACAGAGCAGTTAGGAAACACTCTGTTTGTAAACTCTGCAAGTGGATATTCAGACCTCTTTGAGGCCTTCGTTGGTAACGGGATTTCTTCATACTATGCTAGACAGAAGAATTCTCAGTAACTTCCTTGTGTTGTGTGTATTCAACTCACAGAGTTGAACGATCCTTTACACAGAGCAGACTTGTAACACTCTTTTTGTGGAATTTGCAAGTGGAGATTTCAGCCGCTTTGAAGTCAAAGGTAGAAAAGGAAATATCTTCCTATAAAAACTAGACAGAATGATTCTCAGAAACTTCATTGTGATGTGTGCGTTCAACTCACAGAGTTTAACCTTTCTTTTCATAGAGCAGTTAGGAAACACCGTTTGTAAACTCTGCAAGTGGATATTCAGACCTCTTTGAGGCCTTCGTTGGAAACGGGATTTCTTCATACTGTGCTAGACAGAAGAATTCTCAGTAACTTCTTTGTGTTGTGTGTATTCAACTGACAGAGTTGAACTTTCATTTAGAGAGAGCAGATTTGAAACACTGTTTTTGTGGAATTTGCAAGTGGAGATTTCAAGCGCTTTGGGGCCAAAGGCAGAAAAGGAAATATCTTCGTATAAAAACTAGACAGAATCATTCTCAGAAACTGCTGCGTGATGTGTGCGTTCAACTCTCAGAGTTTAACTTTTCTTTTCATTCAGCGGTTTGGAAACACTCTGTTTGTAAAGTCTGCACGTGGATATTTTGACCACTTAGAGGCCTTCTTTGGAAACGGGTTTTTTTCAAGTAAGGCTAGACAGAAGAATTCCCAGTAACTTCCTTGTGTTGTGTGCATTCAACTCACAGATTTGAACGTTCCCTAGACGGAGCAGATTTGAAACACTCTATTTGTGCAATTTGCAAGTGTAGATTTCAAGCGCTTTAAGGTCAATGGCAGAAAAGGGAATATCTTCGTTTCAAAACTAG
The DNA here is from genome assembly GCF_000001405.40 of Homo sapiens. NCBI lineage: Eukaryota > Metazoa > Chordata > Mammalia > Primates > Hominidae > Homo > Homo sapiens. The sequence goes on from NC_000019.10 coordinate 25,741,022, forward strand.
ACAGAATCATTCCCACAAACTGCGTTGTGATGTGTTCGTTCAACTCACAGAGTTTAACCTTTCTGTTCATAGAGCAGTGAGGAAACACTCTGTTTGTAAAGTCTGTAAGTGGGTATTCTGACATCTTGTGGCCTTCGTTGGAAACGGGATTTCTTCATATTCTGCTAGACAGAAGAATTCTGAGTAACTTCCTTGTGTTGTGTGTATTCAACTCACAGAGTTCAACGATCCTTTACACAGAGCAGACTAGAAACACCCTTTTGTGGAATTTGCAAGTGGAGATTTCAGCCGCTTTGAGGTCAATTGTAGAAAAGGAAATATCTTCGTATAAAAACTAGACAGAATGATTGTCAGAAACTCCTTTGTGCTGTGTGCGTTCAACTCACAGAGTTTAAACTTTCTTTTCATAGAGCAGTTAGGAAACACTCTGTTTGTAAAGTCTGCAGGTGGATATTCAGACATCATTGAGGCTTTCGTTGGAAACGGGATTTCTTCATATTCTGCTAGACAGAAGAATTCTCAGTAACTTCCTTGTGTTGTGTGTATTCAACTGACACAGTTGAACTTTCATTTAGAGAGAGCAGATTTGAAACACTGTTTTTGTGGAATTTGCAAGTGGAGATTTCAAGCGCTTTGGGGCCAAAGGCAGAAAAGGAAATATCTTCGTATAAAAACTAGACAGAATGATTCTCAGAAACTCCTTTGTGATGTGGGCGTTCAACTCACAGAGTTTAACCTTTCTTTTCATAGAGCCGTTAGGAAACACTCTGTTTGTAAATTCTGCACGTGGATATTTGGACTTCTTAGAGGCCTTCGTTGGAAACGGGTTTTTTTCATGTAAGGCTAGACGGAAGAATTCCCAGTAACTTCCTTGCGTTGTGTACATTCAACTCACAGAGTTGAACGTTCCCTTAGACAGAGCAGATTTGAAACACTCTTTTTGTGCAATTGGCAAGTGGAGATTTCAAGCGCTTTAAGGTCAATGGCAGAAAAGGAAATATCTTCGTTTCAAAACTAGACAGAATCACTCCCACAAACTGCGTTGTGATGTGTTCGTTCAACTCACAGAGTTTAACCTTTCTTTTCATAGAGCAGTTAGGAAACAGTCTGTTTGTAAATTCTGTAAGTGGATATTCTGACATCTTGTGGCCTTCGTTGGAAACGGGATTTCTTCATATTCTGCTAGACAGAAGAATTCTCAGTAACTTCCTTGTGTTGTGTGTATTCAACTCACAGTAGTTGAACGATCCTTTACACAGAGCAGACTTGAAACACTCTTTTTGTGGAATTTGCAAGGGGAGATTTCAGCCGCTTTGAGTTCAATGGTAGAATAGGAAATATCTTCCTATAGAAACTAGACAGAGTGATTCTCAGAAACTTCTTTGTGATGTCTGCGTTCAACTCACAGAGTTTAACCTTTCTTTTCATAGAGCAGTTAGGAAACACTCTGTTTGTAAAGTCTGCAAGTGGATAGTCAGACCTCCTTGAGGCCTTCGTTGGAAACGGGATTTCTTCATATTCTGCTATACAGAAGAATTCTCAGTAACTTCCTTGTGTTGTTTGTATTCAACTGACAGAGTTGAACTTTCATTTACAGAGAGCAGATTTGAAACACTGTTTTTGTGGAATTTGCAAGTGGAGATTTCAAGCGCTTTTTGGCCAAAGGCAGAAAACGAAATATCTTCGTATAAAAACTAGACAGAATCATTCTCAGAAACTGCTGCGTGATGTGTGCGTTCAACTCTCAGAGTTTAACTTTTCTTTTCATTCAGCGGTTCTGAAACACTCTGTTTGTAAAGTCTGCACGTGGATATTTTGACCACTTAGAGGCCTTCGTTGGAAACGGGTTTTTTTCATGTAAGGCTAGGCAGAAGAATTCCCAGTAACTTCCTTGTGTTGTGTGCATTCAACTCACAGAGTTGAACGTTCCTTAGACAGAGCAGATTTGAAACACTCTATTTGTGCAATTTGCAAGTGTAGATTTCAAGCGCTTTAAGGTCAATGGCAGAAAAGGAAATATCTTCGTTTCAAAACTAGACAGAATCATTCCCACAAACTGCGTTGTGATGTGTTCGTTCAACTCACAGTGTTTAACCTTTCCGTTCATAGAGCAGTTAGGAAACACTCTGTTTGTAAAGTCTATAAGTGGATATTCTGACATCTTGTGGCCTTCGTTGGAAACGGGATTTCTTCATATTCTGCTAGACAGAAGAATTCTCAGTAACTTCCTTGTGTTGTGTGTATTCAACTCACAGAGTTGAACGATCCTTTACACAGAGCAGACTTGAAACACTCTTTTTGTGGAATTTGCAAGTGGAGATTTCAGCCGCTGTGAGTTCAATGGTAGAATAGGAAATATCTTCCTATAGAAACTAGACAGAATGATTCTCAGAAACTCCTTTGTGATGTGTGTGTTCAACTCACAGAGTTTAACCTTTCTTTTCATAGAGCAGTTAGGAAACACTCTGTTTGTAAAGTCTGCAAGTGGATATTCAGACCTCTTTGAGGCCTTCGTTGGAAACGGGATTTCTTCATATTCTGCTAGACAGAAGAATTCCCAGTAACTTCCTTGTGTTGTGTGTGTTCAACTCACAGAGTTGAACTTTCATTTACACAGAGCAGATTTGAAATACTCTTTTTGTGGAATTTGCAAGTGGAGATTTCAAGCGCTTTGAGGCCAAAGGCAGAAAAGGAAATATCTTCGTATAAAAACTAGACAGAATCATTCTCAGAAACTGCTCTGCGATGTGTGCGTTCAACTCTCAGAGTTTAACTTTTCTTTTCATTCAGCAGTTTGTAAACACTCTGTTTGTAAAGTCTGCACGTGGATATTTTGACCACTTAGAGGCCTTTGTTGGAAACGGGTTTTTTTCCTGTAAGGCTAGACAGAAGAATTCCCAGGAACTTCCTTGCGTTGTGTACATTCAACTCACAGAGTTGAACGTTCCCTTAGACAGAGCAGATTTGAAACACTCTTTTTGTGCAATTGGCAAGTGGAGATTTCAAGCGCTTTAAGGTCAATGGCAGAAAAGGAAATATCTTCGTTTCAAAACTAGACAGAATCATTCTCAGAAACTGCTGCGTGATGTGTGCGTTCAACTCTCAGAGTTTAACTTTTCTTTTCATTCAGCGGTTTGGAAACACTCTGTTTGTAAAGTCTGTAAGTGGATATTCTGACATCTTGTGGCCTTCGTTGGAAACGGGATTTCTTCATATTCTGCTAGACAGAAGAATTCTCAGTACCTTCCTTGTTTTGTGTGTATTCAACTCACAGAGTTGAACGATCCTTTACGCAGAGCAGACTTGAAACACTCTTTTTGTGGAATTTGCAAGTGGAGATTTCAGCCGCTTTGAGGTCAATGGTAGAAAAGGAAATATCTTCGTATAAAGACTAGACAGAATGATTCTCAGAAACTCCTTTGTGATGTGTGCGTTTAACTCACAGAGTTTAACCTTTCTTTTCATAGAGCAGTTAGGAAACACTCTGTTTGTAAAGTCTGCAAGTGGATATTCAGACATCCTTGAGGCTTTCGTTGGAAACGGGATTTCTTCATATTCTGCCAGAAAGAAGAATTCCCAGTAACTTCCTTGTGTTGTGTGTGTTCAACTCACAGAGTTGAACTTTCATTTACACAGAGCAGATTTGAAACACTCTTTTTGTGGAATTTGCAAGTGGAGATTTCAAGCGCTTTGAGGCCAAAGCAGAAAAGGAAATATCTTCGTTTGAAAACTAGACAGAATCATTCTCAGAAACTGCTCTGCGATGTGTGCGTTCAACTCTCAGAGTTTAACTTTTCTTTTCATTCAGCAGTTTGGAAACACTCTGTTTGTAAAGTCTGCACGTGGATAACTTGACCACTTAGAGGCCTTCGTTGGAAACGGGTTTTTTTCATGTAAGGCTAGACAGAAGAATTCCCAGTGACATCCTTGTGTTGTGTGCATTCAACTCACAGAGTTGAACGTTCCCTTAGACAGAGCAGATTTGAAACACTCTATTTGTGCAATTTGCAAGTGTAGATTTCAAGCGCTTTAACGTCAATGGCAGAAAAGGAAATATCTTCGTTTTAAAACTAGACAGAATCATTCCCACAAACTGCATTGTGATGTGTTCGTTCAACTCACAGAGTTTAACCTTTCTGTTCATAGAGCAGTTAGGAAACACTCTGTTTGTAAAGTCTGCAAGTGGATATTCAGACCTCTTTGAGGCCTTCGTTGGAAACGGGATTTCTTCATATTCTGCTAGACAGAAGAATTCTCAGTAACTTCCTTGTGTTGTGTGTATTCAACTCACAGAGTTGAAGGATCCTTTACAGAGAGCAGGCTTGAAACACTCTTTTTGTCGAATTTGCAAGTGGAGATTTCAGCCGCTTTGAGGTCAATGGTAGAATAGGGAATATCTTCTTATAGAAACTAGACAGAATGATTCTCAGAAACTCCTTTGTGATGTGTGTGTTCAACTCACAGAGTTTAACCTTTCTTTTCATAGAGCAGTTAGTAAACACTCTGTTTATAAAGTCTGCAAGTGGATATTCAGACCCCTTTGAGGCCTTCGTTGGAAATGGGATTTCTTCATATTATGCTAGACAGAAGAATTCTCAGTAACTTTCCTTGTGTTGTGTGTATTCAACTGACAGAGTTGAACTTTCATTTAGAGAGAGCAGATTTGAAACACTCTTTTTGTGGAATTTGCAAGTGGAGATTTCAAGCGCTTTGGGGCCAAAGGCAGAAAAGGAAATATCTTCGTATAAAAACTAGACAGAATCATTCTCAGAAACTGCTCTGTGATGTGTGCGTTCAACTCTCAGAGTTTAACTTTTCTTTTCATTCAGCAGTTTGGAAACAATCTGTTTGTAAAGTCTGCACGTGGATATTTTGACCACTTAGAGGCCTTCGTTGGAAACGGGTTTCTTTCCTGTAAGGGTAGACAGAAGAATTCCCAGTAACTTCCTTGTGTTGTGTGCATTCAACTCACAGAGTTGAACGTTCCCTTAGACAGAGCAGATTTGAAACACTCTATTTGTGCAATTTGCAAGTGTAGTTTTCAAGCTCTTTAAGGTCAACGGCAGAAAAGGAAATATCTTGGTTTCAAAACTAGACAGAATCATTCCCACAAACTGCGTTGTGATGTGTTCGTTCAACTCACAGAGTTTAACCTTTCTGTTCATAGAGCAGTTAGGAAACAATCTGTTTGTAAAGTCTGCAAGTGGATATTCAGACCTCCTTGAGGCCTTCGTTGGAAACGGGATTTCATCATATTATGCTAGACAGAAGAATTCTCAGTAACTTCCTTGTGTTGTGTGAATTCACCTCACAGAGTTGAACGATCGTTTACACAGAGCAGACTTGAAACACTCTTTTTGTGGAATTTGCAAGTGGAGATTTCAGCCGCTTTGTGGTCAATAGTAGAATAGGAAATATCTTCCTATAGAAACTAGACAGAATGATTCTCAGAAAGTCCTTTGTGATGTGTGCGTTCAACTCACAGAGTTTAACCTTTCTGTTCATAGAGCAGTTAGGAAACACTCTGTTTGTAAAGTCTGCAAGTGGATATTCAGACCTCCTTGAGGCCTTCGTTGGAAACGGGATTTCTTCATATTCTGCTAGACAGAAGAATTCCCAGTAACTTCCTTGTGTTGTGTGTGTTCAACTCACAGAGTTGAACTTTCATTTACACAGAGCAGATTTGAAACACTCTTTCTGTGGAATTTGCAAGTGGAGATTTCAAGCGCTTTGAGGCCAAAGGCAGAAAAGGAAATATCTTCGTTTCAAAACTAGACAGAATCATTCTCAGAAACTGCTCTGCGATGTGTGCGTTCAACTCTCAGAGTTTAACTTTTCTTTTCATTCAGCAGTTTGGAAACACTCTGTTTGTAAAGTCTGCACGTGGATATTTTGACCATTTAGAGACCTTCGTTGGAAACGGGTTTTTTTCTTGTAAGGCTAGACAGAAGAATTCCCAGTAACTTCCTTGTGTTGTGTACATTCAACTCACAGAGTTGAACGTTCCCTTAGACAGAGCAGATTTGAAACACTCTTTTTGTGCAATTGGCAAATGGAGATTTCCAGCGCTTTAAGGTCAATGGCAGAAAAGGAAATATCTTCGTTTCAAAACTAGACAGAAAATCATTCCCACAAACTGCGTTGTGATGTGTTCGTTCAACTCACAGAGTTTAACCTTTCTGTTCATAGAGCAGTTAGGAAACACTCTGTTTGTAAAGTCTGTAAGTGGATATTCTGACATCTTGTGGCCTTCGTTGGAAACGGGATTTCTTCATATTCTGCTAGACAGAAGAATTCCCAGTAACTTCCCTTGTGTTGTGTGTGTTCAACTCACAGAGTTGAACTTTCATTTACACAGAGCAGATTTGAAACACTCTTTTTGTGGAATTTGCAAATGGAGATTTCAGCCGCGTTGAGGCCAATGGTAGAAAAGGAAATATCTTCGTTTCAAAACTAGACAGAATGATTCTCAGAAACTCCTTTGTGATGTGTGTGTTCAACTCACAGATTTTAACCTTTCTTTTCATAGAGCAGTTAGGAAACACTCTGTTTGTAAAGTCTGCAAGTGGATATTCAGACCTCTTTGAGGCCTTCGTTGGAAACGGGTTTTTTTCATATAAGGCTAGACAGAAGAATTCTCAGTAACTTCCTTGTGTTGTGTGTATTCAACTCACAGAATTGAACGATCCTTTACACAGAGCAGACTTGAAACACTCTTTTTGTGGAATTTGCATGTGGAGATTTCAGCCGCTTTGAGGTCAATGGTAGAAAAGGAAATATCTTCCTATAGAAACTAGACAGAATGATTCTGAGAAACTCCTTTGTGATGTGTGCGTTCAACTCACAGAGTTTAACCTTTCTTTTCACAGAGCAGTTAGGAAACACTCTGTTTGTAAAGTCTGCAAGTGGATATTCAGACCTCCTTGAGGCCTTCGTTGGAAACGGGATTTCTTCATATTATGCTAGACAGAAGAATTCCCAGTAACTTCTTTGTGTTGTGTGCATTCAACTCACAGAGTTGAACGTTCCCTTAGACAGAGCAGATTGGAAACACTCTATTTGTGCAATTTGCAAGTGTAGATTTCAAGCGCTTTAAGGTCAACGGCAGAAAAGGAAATATCTTCGTTTCAAAACTAGACAGAATCATTCCCACAAACTGCGTTGTGATGTGTTCGTTCAACTCACACAGTTTAACCTTTCTGTTCATAGAGCAGTTAGGAAACACTCTGTTTGTAAAGTCTCTAAGTGGATACTCTGACATCTTGTGGCCTTCGTTGGAAACGGGATTTCTTCATATTCTGCTAGACAGAAGAATTCTCAGAAACTTCCTTGTGTTGTGTGTTTTCAACTCACAGAGTTGAATGATCCTTTACACAGAGTAGACTTGAAACACTCTTTTTGTGGAATTTGCAAGTGGAGATTTCAGCCGCTTTGAAGTCAATGGTAGAAAAGGAAATATCTTCGTATAAAAACTAGACAGAATGATTCTCAGAAACTCCTTTGTGATGTGTGCGTTCAACTCACAGAGTTTAACCTTTCTTTTCTTAGAGCAGTTAGGAAACACTCTGTTTGTAAAGTCTGCAAGTGGATATTCAGACCTCTTTGAGGCCTTCGTTGGAAACGGGTTTTTTTCATATAAGGCTAGACAGAAGAATTCTCAGTAACTTCCTTGTGTTATGTGTATTCAACTGACAGAGTTGAACTTTCATTTAGAGAGAGCAGATTTGAAACACTGTTTTTGTGGAATTTGCAAGTGGAGATTTCAAGCGCTTTGGGGCCAAAGGCAGAAAAGGAAATATCTTCGTATGAAAACTAGACACAATCATTCTCAGAAACTGCTCTGCGATGTGTGCGTTCAACTCTCAGAGTTTAACTTTTCTTTTCATTCAGCAGTGTGGAAACACTCTGTTTGTAAAGTCTGCACGTGGATATTTTGACCACTTAGAGGCCTTCGTTGGAAACGGGTTTTTTTCCTGTCAGGCTAGACAGAAGAATTCCCAGTAACTTCCTTGTGTTGTGTGCATTCAACTCACAGAGTTGAACGTTCCCTTAGACAGAGCAGATTTGAAACACTCTATTTGTGCAATTTGCAAGTGTAGATTTGAAGCGCTTTCAGGTCAATGGCAGAAAAGGAAATATCTTCGTTTCAAAACTAGACAGAATGATTCCCACAAACTGCGTTGTGATGTGTTCGTTCAACTCACAGAGTTTAACCTTTCTGTTCATAGAGCAGTTAGGAAACACTCTGTTTGTAAAGTCTGTAAGTGGATATTCTGACATCTTGTGGCCTTCGTTGGAAACGGGATTTCTTCATATTCTGCTAGACAGAAGAATTCTCAGTAACTTACCTTGTGTTGTGTTTATTCAACTCACAGAGTTGAATGATCCTTTACACAGAGCAGACTTGAAACACTCTTTTTGTGGAATTTGCAAGTGGAGATTTCAGCCGCTTTGAAGTCAATGGTAGAAAAGTAAATATCTTCGTATAAAGACAAGACAGAATGATTTTCAGAAACTGCTTTGTGATGTGTGCGTTCAACTCACAGAGTTTCAACTTTCTTTTCATAGAGCAGTTAGGAAACACTCTGTTTGTAAAGTCTACAAGTGGATATTCAGACCTCTTTGAGGCCTTCGTTGGAAACGGGATTTCTTTATATTATGCTAGACAGAAGAATTCCCAGTAACTTCCTTGTGTTGTGTGTGTTCAACTCACAGAGTTGAACTTTCATTTACACAGAGCAGATTTGAAACACTCTTTTTGTGGAATTTGCAAGTGGAGATTTCAAGCGCTTTGAGGCCAAAGGCAGAAAAGGAAATATCTTCGTATAAAAAGTAGACAGAATCATTCTCAGAAACTGCTCTGCGATGTGTGCGTTCAACTCTCAGAGTTTAACTTTTCTTTTCATTCAGCAGTTTGGAAACAGTCTGTTTGTAAAGTCTGCACGTGGATATTTTGACCACTTAGAGGCCTTCGTTGGAAACGGTTTTCTTTCCTGTAAGGCTATACAGAAGAATTCCCAGTAACTTCCTTGTGTTGTGTGCATTCAACTCACAGAGTTGAACGTTCCCTTAAACAGAGCAGATTTGAAACACTCTTTTTGTGCAATTGGCAAGTGGAGATTTCAAGCGCTTTAAGGTCAATGGCAGAAAAGGAAATATCTTCGTTTCAAAACTAGACAGAATCATTCCCACAAACTGCGTTGTGATGTGTTCGTTCAACTCACAGAGTTTAACATTTCTTTTCATAGAGCAGTTAGGAAACAGTCTGTTTGTAAATTCTGTAAGTGGATATTCTGACATCTTGTGGCCTTCGTTGGAAACGGGATATCTTCACATTCTGCTAGACAGAAGAATTCTCAGTAACTTCCTTGTGTTGTGTGTATTCAACTCAGAGAGTTGAACGATCCTTTACACAGAGCAGACTTGTAACACTCTTTTTGTGGAATTTGCAAGTGGAGATTTCAGCCGCTTTGAAGTCAAAGGTAGAAAAGGAAATATCTTCCTATAAAAACTAGACAGAATGATTCTCAGAAACTCCTTTGTGATGTGTGTGTTCAACTCACAGAGTTTAACCATTCTTTTCATAGAGCAGTTAGTAAACACTCAGTTTATAAAGTCTGCAAATGGATATTCAGACCCCTTTGAGGCCTTCGTTGGAAACGGGATTTCTTCATATTATGCTAGAAAGAAGAATTCCCAGTAACTTCCTTGTGTTGTGTGTGTTCAACTCACAGAGTTGAACTTTCATTTACACAGAGCAGATTTGAAACACTCTTTGTGGAATTTGCAAGTGGAGATTTCAAGCGCTTTGAGGCCAAAGGCAGAAAAGGAAATATCTTCGTATAAAAACTAGACAGAATGATTCTCAGAAACTTCATTGTGATGTGTGCGTTCAACTCACAGAGTTTAACCTTTCTTTTCATAGAGCAGTTAGGAAACACTCTGTTTGTAAACTCTGCAAGTGGATATTCAGACCTCCTTTGAGGCCTTCGTTGGAAACGGGATTTCTTCATACTGTGCTAGACAGAAGAATTCGCAGTAACTTCCTTGTGTTGTGTGTATTCAACTGACAGAGTTGAACTTACATTTAGACAGAGCAGATTAGAAAAACTCTTTATGTGGAATTTTCAAGTGGAGATTTCAAGCGCGTTGAGGCCAAAGGCAGAAAAGGAAATATCTTCGTATAAAAACTAGACAGAATCATTCCCTCAAACTGCGTTGTGATGTGTTCGATCAACTCACGGAGTTTAACCTTTCTTTTCATACAGCAGTTAGGAAACACTCTGTTTGTAAAGTCTGTAAGTGGATATGCTGACATCTTGTGGCCTTCGTTGGAAACGAGATGTCTTCATATTCTGCTAGACAGAAGAATTCTCAGAATCTTCCTTGTGTTGTGTGTATTCAACTCACAGAGTTGAACGATCCCTTTACACAGAGCAGACTTGAAACACTCTTTTTGTGGAATTTGCAAGTGGAGATTTCAGCCGCTTTGAGGTCCATGGTAGAAAAGGAAATATCTTCGTATAAAAACTAGACAGAATGATTCTCAGAAACTCCTTTGTGATGTGTGCGTTCAACTCACAGAGTTTAACCTTTCTTTTCATAGAGCAGTTAGGAAACACTCTGTTTGTAAAGTCTGCAAGTGGATATTCAGACATCTTTGAGGCCTTCGTTGGAAACGGGATTTCTTCATGTTCTGCTAGACACAAGAATTCTCAGTATCTTCCTTGTGTTGTGTGTGTTCAACTCACAGAGTTGAACTTTGATTTACACAGAGCAGATTTGAAACACTCTTTTTGTGGAATTTGCAAGTGGAGATTTCAAGCGCTTTGAGGCCAAAGGCAGAAAAGGAAATATCTTCGTCTAAAAACTAGACAGAATCATTCTCAGAAACTGCTCTGCGATGTGTGCGTTCAACTCTCAGAGTTTAACTTTTCTTTTCATTCAGCAGTTTGGAAACACTCTGTTTGTAAAGTCTGCACGTGGATAATTTGACCACTTAGAGGCCTTCTTTGGAAAAGGGTTTTTTTCATATAAGGCTAGACAGAAGAATTCCCAGTAACTTCCTTGTGTTGTGGACATTCAACTCACAGAGTTGAACGTTCCCTTAGACAGAACAGATTTGAAACACTCTTTTTGAGCAATTGGCAAGTGGTGATTTCAGCCGCTTTGAGGTCAATGGTAGAAAAGGAAATATCTTCGTATAAAAACTAGACAGAATCATTCCCACAAACTGCGTTGTGATGTGTTCGTTCAACTCACAGAGTTTAACCTTTCTTTTCATAGAGTAGTTAGGAAACAGTCTGTTTGAAAATTCTGTAAGTAGATATTCTGACAGCTTGTGGCCTTCGTTGGAAACGGGATTTCTTTATATTCTGCTAGACAGAATAATTCTCAGTAACTTCCTTGTGTTGTGTGTATTCAACTCACAGAGTTGAAGGATCCTTTACAGAGAGCAGGCTTGAAACACTCTTTTTGTCGAATTTGCAAGTGGAGATTTCAGCCGCTTTGTGGTCAATGGTAGAATAGGAAATATCTTCTTATAGAAACTAGACAGAATGATTCTCATAAACTCCTTTGTGATGTGTGCGTTCAACTCACAGAGTTTAACTTTTCTTTTCACAGAGCAGTTAGGAAACACTCTGTTTGTAAAGTCTGCAAGTGGATATTCAGACCTCTTTGGGGCCTTCGTTGGAAACGGGATTTCTTCATATTCTGCTAGACAGAATAATTCTCAGTAACTTCCTTGTGTTGTGTGTATTCAACTCACAGAGTTGAACGATCCTTTACACAGAGCGGACTTGAAACATTCTTTTTGTGGAATTTGCAAGTGGAGATTTCAGCCGCTTTGAGGTCAATGGTAGAATAGGAAATATCTTCCTATAGAAACTAGACAGAATCATTCTCAGAAACTGCTCTGCGATGTGTGCGTTCAACTCTCAGAGTTTAACATTTCTTTTCATTCAGCAGTTTGGAAACACTCTGTTTGTAAAGTCTGCACGTGGATATTTTGACCACTTAGAGGCCTTCGTTGGAAACGGGTTTTTTTCCTGTAAGGCTAGACAGAAGCATTCCCAGTAACTTCCTTGTGTTGTGTGCATTCAACTCACAGAGATGAACGTTCCCTTAGACAGAGCAGATTTGAAACGCTCTATTTGCGCAATTTGCAAGTGTAGATTTCAAGCGCTTTAAGGTCAATGGCAGAAAAGGAAATATCTTCGTTTCAAAACTAGACAGAATGATTCTCAGAAACTCCTTTGTGATGTGTGCGTTCAACTCACAGAGTTTAACCTTTCTTTTCATAGAGCAGTTGGGAAACACTCTGTTTGTAAAGTCTGCAAGTGGATATTCAGACATCCTTGAGGCTTTCTTTGGAAAAGGGATTTCTTCATATTCTGCTAGAAAGAAGAATTCTCAGTAACTTCCTTGTGTTGTGTGTATTCAACTCACAGAGTTGAACGATCCTTTACACAGAGCGGACTTGAAACACACTTTTTGTGGAATTTGCAAGTGGAGATTTCAGCCGCGTTGAGGTCAATGGTAGAAAAGGAAATATCTTCGTATAAGAACTAGACAGAATGATTCTCAGAAACTCCTTTGTGATGTGTGCGTTCAACTCACAGAGTTTAACCTTTCTTTTCATAGAGCAGTTAGGAAACACTCTGTTTGTAAAGTCTGCAAGTGGATATTCAGACCTCCTTGAGGCCTTCGTTGGAAACGGTTTTTTTTCATATAAGGCTAGACAGAAGAATTCCCAGTAACTTCCTTGTGTTGTGTGTGTTCAACTCACAGAGTTGAACTTTCATTTACACAGAGCAGATTTGAGACACTCTTTTTGTGGAATTTGCTAATGGAGATTTCAAGCGCTTTGAGGCCAAAGGCTGAAAAGGAAATATCTTCGTATAAAAACTAGACAGAATCATTCTCAGAAACTGCTGCGTGATGAGTGCGTTCAACTCTCAGAGTTTAACTTTTCTTTTCATTCAGCGGTTTGGAAACACTCTGTTTGTAAAGTCTGCACGTGGATAATTTGACCACTTAGAGGCCTTCGTTGGAAACGGGATTTTTTCATGTAAGGCTAGACAGAAGAATTCCCAGTAACTTCCTTGTGTTGTGTGCATTCAACTCACAGATTTGAACGTTCCCTTAGACAGAGCAGATTTGAAACACTCTATTTGTGCAATTGGCAAGTGCAGATTTCAAGCGCTTTAAGGTCAATGGCAGAAAAGGAAATATCTTCGTTTCAAAACTAGACAGAATCATTCCCACAAACTGCGTTGTGATGTGTTCGCTCAACTCACAGAGTTTAACCTTTTTCTTCATAGAGCAGTTAGGAAACACTCTGTTTGTAAAGTCTGTAAGTGGATATTCTGTCATCTTTTGGCCTTCGTTGGAAACGGGATTTCTTCATATTCTGCTAGACAGAAGAATTCTCAGAATCTTCCTTGTGTTGTGTGTATTCAACTCACAGAGTTGAACGATCCTTTACACACAGCAGACTTGAAACACTCTTTTTGTGGAATTTGCAAGTGGAGATTTCAGCCGCTTTGAGGTCCATGGTAGAAAAGGAAATATCTTCGTATAAAAACTAGACAGAATGATTCTCAGAAAGTCCTTTGTGATGTGTGTTTTCAACTCACAGAGTTTAACCTTTCTTTTCATAGAGCAGTTAGTAAACACTCTGTTTATAAAGTCTGCAAGTGGATATTCAGACCCCTTTGAGGCCTTCGTTGGAAACGGGATTTCTTCATATTATGCTAGACAGAAGAATTCTCAGTAACTTCCTTGTGTTGTGTGTATTCAACTGACAGAGTTGAACTTTCATTTAGGGAGAGCAGATTTGAAACACTGTTTTTGTGGAATTTGCAAGTGGAGATTTCAAGCGCTTTGGGGCCAAAGGCAGAAAAGGAAATATCTTCGTAGAAAAACTAGACAGAATCATTCTCAGAAACTGCTCTGTGATGTGTGCGTTCAACTCTCAGAGTTTAACTTTTCTTTTCATTCAGCAGTTTGGAAACACTCTGTTTGTAAAGTCTGCACGTGGATATTTTGACCACTTAGAGGCCTTCGTTGGAAACGGGTTTTTTTCATGTAAGGATAGACAGAAGAATTCCCAGTAACTTCCTTGTGTTGTGTACATTCAACTCACAGAGTTGAACGTTCCCTTAGACAGAGCAGATTTGAAACACTCTTTTTGTGCAATTGGCAACTGGAGATTTCAAGCGCTTTAAGGTCAATGGCAGAAAAGGAAATATCTTCGTTTCAAAACTAGACAGAATCATTCTCAGAAACTGCTCTGCGATGTGTGCGTTCAACTCTCAGAGTTTAACTTTTCTTTTCATTCAGCAGTTTGGAAACACTCTGTTTGTAATGTCTGCACGTGGATATTTTGACCACTTAGAGGCCTTCGTTGGAAACGGGTTTCTTTCCTGTAAGGCTAGACAGAAGAATTCCCAGTAACTTCCTTGTGTTGTGTGCATTCAACTCACAGAGTTGAACGTTCCCTTAGACAGAGCAGATTTGAAACACTCTATTTGTGCAATTTGCAAGTGTAGATTTCAAGCGCTTTAAGGTCAATGGCAGAAAAGGAAATATCTTCGTATAAAAACTAGACAGGATGATTCTCATAAACTCCTTTGTGATGTGTGCGGTCAACTCACAGAGTTTAACCTTTCTTTTCATAGAGCAGTTAGGAAACACTCTGTTTGTAAAGTCTGCAAGAGGATATTCAGACCTCTTTGAGGCTTTCTTTGGAAACGGGATTTCTTCATATTCTGCTAGACAGAAGAATTCTCAGTAACTTCCTTGTGTTGTGTGTATTCAACTGACAGAGTTGAACTTTCATTTAGAGAGAGCAGATTTGAAACACTGTTTTTGTGGAATTTGCAATTGGAGATTTCAAGAGCTTTGGGGCCAAATGCAGAAAAGGAAATATCTTCGTATAAACACTAGACAGAATCATTCTCAGAAACTGCTCTGCGATGTGTACGTTCAACTCTCAGAGTTTAACTTTTCTTTTCATTCAGCAGTTTGGAAACACTCTGTTTGTAAAGTCTGCACGTGGATATTTTGACCACTTAGAGGCCTTCGTTGGAAACGGGTTTTTTTCCTGTAAGGCTAGACAGAAGAATTCCCACTAACTTCCTTGTGTTGTGTACATTCAACTCACAGAGTTGAACGTTCCCTTAGACAGAGCAGATTGGAAACACTCTTTTTGTGCAATTGGCAAATGGAGATTTCAAGCGCTTTAAGGTCAATGGCAGAAAAGGAAATATCTTCGTTTCAAAACTAGACAGAATCATTCCCAGAAACTGCGTTGTGATGTGTTCGTTCAACTCACAGAGTTTAACCTTTCTTTTCATAGAGCAGTTAGGAAACAGTCTGTTTGTCAATTCTGTAAGTGGATATTCTGACATCTTGTGGCCTTCCTTGGAAACGGGATTTCTTCATATTCTGCTAGACAGAAGAATTCTCAGTAACTTCCTTGTGTTGTGTGTATTCAACTCACAGAGTTGAAGGATCCTTTACAGAGAGCAGGCTTGAAACACTCTTTTTGTCGAATTTGCAAGTGGAGATTTCAGCCGCTTTGAGGTCAATGGTAGAATAGGAAATATCTTCTTATAGAAAATAGACAGAATGATTCTCATAAACTCCTTTGTGATGTGTGCGTTCAACTCACAGAGTTTAACCTTTCTTTTCATAGAGCAGTTAGGAAACACTCTGTTTCTAAAGTCTGCAAGTGGATATTCAGACCTCCTTGAGGCCTTCGTTGGAAACGGGATTTCTTCATATTCTGCTAGACAGAAGAATTCTCAGTAACTTCCTTGGGTTGTGTGTATTCAACTCACAGAGTTGAACGATCCTTTACACAGAGCAGACTTGTAACACTCTTTTTGTGGAATTTGCAAGTGGAGATTTCAGCCGCTTTGAAGTCAAAGGTAGAAAAGGAAATATCTTCCTATAAAAACTAGACAGAATGATTCTCAGAAACTCCTTTGTGATGTGTGCGTTCAACTCACAGAGTTTAACCTTTCTTTTCATAGAGCAGTTAGGAAACGCTCTGTTTGTAAAGTCTGCAAGTGGATATTCAGACATCTTTGAGGCTTTCGTTAGAAACGGGATTTCTTCATATTCTGCTAGACAGAAGAATTCTCAGTAACTTCCTTGTGTTGTGTGTATTCAACTGACAGAGTTGAACTTTCATTTAGAGAGAGCAGATTTGAAACACTGTTTTTGTGGAATTTGCAAGTGGAGATTTCAAGAGCTTTGGGGCCAAAGGCAGAAAAGGAAATATCTTCGTATAAAAACTAGACAGAATCATTCTCAGAAACTACTCTGCGATGTGTGCGTTCAACTCTCAGAGTTTAACTTTTCTTTTCATTCAGCAGTTTGGAAACACTCTGTTTGTAAAGTCTGCACGTGGATAATTTGACCACTTAGAGGCCTTCGTTGGAAACGGGTTTTTTTCATGTAAGGCTAGACAGAAGAATTCCCAGTAACTTCCTTGTGTTGTGTACATTCAACTCACAGAGTTGAACGTTCCCTTAGACAGAGCAGATTTGAAACACTCTTTTTGTGCAATTGGCAAGTGGACATTTCAAGCGCTTTGAGGTCAATGGCAGAAAAGGAAATATCTTCGTTTCAAAACTAGACAGAATCATTCCCACAAACTGCGTTGTGATGTGTTCGTTCAACTCACAGAGTTTAACCTTTCTGTTCATAGAGCAGTTAGGAAACACTCTGTTTGTAAAGTCTGTAAGTGGAGATTCTGACATCTTGTGGCCTTCGTTGGAAACGGGATTTCTTCATATTCTGCTAGACAGAAGAATTCTCAGTAACTTCCTTGTGTTGTGTGTATTCAACTCTCAGAGTTGAACGATCCTTTACTGAGAGCAGACTTGAAACACACTTTTTGTGCAATTTGCAAGTGGAGATTTCAGCCGCTTTGAGGTCAATGGTAGAATAGGAAATATCTTCCTATAGAAACTAGACAGAATGATTCTCAGAAACTCCTTTGTGATGTGTGCGTTCAACTCACAGAGTTTAACCTTTCTTTTCATAGAGCGGTTAGGAAACACTCTGTTTGTAAAGTCTGCAAGTGGATATTCAGACCTCTTTGAGGCCTTCGTTGGAAACGGGATTTCTTCATATTCTGCTAGAGAGAAGAATTCTCAGTAACTTCCTTGTGTTGTGTGTATTCAACTGACAGAGTTGAACTTTCATTTAGAGAGAGCAGATTTGAAACACTGTTTTTGTGGAATTTGCAAGTGGAGATTTCAAGCGCTTTGTGTCCAAAGGCAGAAAACGAAATATCTTCGTATAAAAACTAGACAGAATCATTCTCAGAAACTGCTGCGTGATGTGTGCGTTCAACTCTCAGAGTTTAACTTTTCTTTTCATTCAGCGGTTTGGAAACACTCTGTCTGTAAAGTCTGCACGTGGATATTTTGACCACTTAGAGGCCTTCGTTGGAAACGTGTTTTTTGCATGTAAGGCTAGACAGAAGAATTCCCAGTAACTTCATTGTGTTGTGTGCATTCAACTCACAGAGTTGAACGTTCCCTTAGACAGAGCAGATTTGAAACACTCTATTTGTGCAATTTGCAAGTGTAGATTTCAAGCGCTTTAAGGTCAATGGCAGAAAAGGAAATATCTTCGTTTCAAAACTAGACAGAATCATTCCCACAAACTGCGTTGTGATGTGTTCGTTCAACTCACAGAGTTTAACCTTTCTGTTCATAGAGCAGTTAGGAAACACTCTGTTTGTAAAGTCTGTAAGTGGATATTCTGACATCTTGTGGCCTTCGTTGGAAACGGGATTTCTTCATATTATGCTACACAGAATAATTCTCAGTAACTTCCTTGTGTTCTGTGTATTCAACTCACAGAGTTGAACGATCCTTTACAGAGAGCAGACTTGAAACACTCTTTTTGTGGAATTTGCAAGTGGAGATTTCAGCCGCTTTGAGGTCAATGGTAGAAAAGGAAATATCTTCGTATAAAGACTAGACAGAATGATTCTCAGAATCTCCTTTGTAATGTGTGCGTTCAACTCACAGAGTTTAACCTTTCTTTTCATAGAGCAGTTAGGAAACACTCTGTTTGTAAAGTCTGCAAGTGGATATTCAGACCTCTTTGAGGCCTTCGTTGGAAACGGGATTTCTTCATATTCTGCTAGACAGAAGAATTCCCAGTAACTTCCTTGTGTTGTGTGTGTTCTACCCCCAGAGTTGAACTTTGATTTACACAGAGCAGATTTGAAACACTCTTTTTGTGGAATTTGCAAGTGGAGATTTCAAGCGCTTTGAGGCCAAAGGCAGAAAAGGAAATATCTTCGTATAAAAACTAGACAGAATCATTCTCAGAAACTGCTCTGCGATGTGTGCGTTCAACTCTCAGAGTTTAACTTTGCTTTTCATTCAGCAGTTTGGAAACACTCTGTTTGTAAAGTCTGCTCGTGGATAATTTGACCATTTAGAGGCCTTCGTTGGAAACGGGTTTTTTTCATGTAAGGCTAGACAGAAGAATTCCCAGTAACTTCCTTGTGTTCTGTACATTCAACTCACAGAGTTGAACGTTCCCTTAGACAGAGCAGATTTGAAACACTCTTTTTGTGCAATTGGCAAATGGAGATTTCAAGCGCTTTAAGGTCAATGGCAGAAAAGGAAATATCTTCGTTTCAAAACTAGACAGAATCATTCCCACAAACTGCGTTGTGATGTGTTCGTTTAACTCACAGAGTTTAACCTTTCTTTTCATAGAGCAGTTAGGAAACACTCTGTTGGTAAATTCTGTAAGTGGATATTCTGACATCTTGTGGCCTTCGTTGGAAACGGGATTTCTTCATATTCTGCTAGATAGAAGAATTCTCAGAAACGTCCTTGTGTTGTGTGTATTCAACTCACAGAGTTGAACGATCCTTTACACAGAGCAGACTTGAAACACTCTTTTTGTGGAATTTGCAAGTGGAGATTTCAGCCGCTTTGAGGTCAATGGTAGAAAAGGAAATATCTTCGTATAGAAACAAGACAGAATGATTCTCAGAAACTCCTTTGTGATGTGTGCGTTCAACTCACAGAGTTTAACCTTTCTTTTCATAGAGCAGTTAGGAAACACTCTGTTTGTAAAGTCTGCAAGTGGATATTCAGACATCTTTGAGGCCTTCGTTGGAAACGGGATTTCTTCATATTATGCTAGACAGAAGAATTCCCAGTAACTTCCTTGTGTTGTGTGTGTTCAACTCATAGAGTTGAACTTTCATTTACACAGAGCAGATTTGAAACACTCTTTTTGTGGAATTTGCAAATGGAGATTTCAGCCGCGTTGAGGTCAATGGTAGAAAAGGAAATATCTTCGTTTCAAAACTAGACAGAATCATTCTCAGAAACTGCTCTGCGATGTGTGCGTTCAACTCTCAGAGTTTAACTTTTCTTTTCATTCAGCAGTTTGGAAACACTCTGTTTGTAAAGTCTGCACGTGGATAACTTGACCACTTAGAGGCCTTCGTTGGAAACGGGTTTTTTTCATGTAAGGCTAGACAGAAGAATTCCCAGTAACTTCCTTGTGTTGTGTGCGTTCAACTCACAGAGTTGAACGTTCCCTTAGACAGAGCAGATTTGAAACACTCTATTTGTGCAATTTGCAAGTGTAGTTTTCAAGCTCTTTAAGGTCAACGGCAGAAAAGGAAATATCTTCGTTTCAAAACTAGACAGAATGATTCTCAGAAACTCCTTTGTGATGTGTGCGTTCAACTCACAGAGTTTTACCTTTCTATTCATAGAGCAGTTAGGAAACACTCTGTTTGTAAAGTCTGCAAGTGGATATTCAGACCTCCTTGAGGCCTTCGTTGGAAACGGGATTTCTTCATATTCTGCTAGACAGAAGAATTCTCAGTAACTTCCTTGTGTTGTGTTTATTCAACTCACAGAGTTGAAGGATCCTTTACACAGAGCAGACTTGAAACACTCTTTTTGTGGAATTTGCAAGTGGAGATTTCAGCCGCTTTGAGGTCAATGGTAGAAAAGTAAATATCTTCGTATAAAGACTAGACAGAATGATTCTCAGAAACTCCTTTGTGATGTGTGCGTTCAACTCACAGAGTTTAACCTTTCTTTTCATAGAGCAGTTAGGAAACACTCTGTTTGTAAAGTCTGCAAGTGGATATTCACACCTCCTTGAGGCCTTCGTTGGAAACGGGATTTCTTCATATTCTGCTAGACAGAAGAATTCTCAGTAACTTCCTTGTGTTGTGTGTATTCAACTGACAGAGTTGAACTTTCATTTAGAGAGAGCAGATTTGAAACACTGTTTTTGTGGAATTTGCAAGTGGAGATTTCAAGCGCTTTGGGGCCAAAGGCAGAAAAGGGAATATCTTCGTATAAAAACTAGACAGAATCATTCTCAGAAACTGCTGCGTGATGTATGCGTTCAACTCTCAGAGTTTAACTTTTCTTTTCATTGAGCGGTTTGGAAACACTGTGTTTGTAAAGTCTGCACGTGGATATTTTGACCACTTAGAGGCCTTCGTTGGAAACGGAATTTTTTTTGTAAGGCTAGACAGAAGAATTCCCAGTAACTTCCTTGTGTTGTGTACATTCAACTCACAGAGTTGAACGTTCCCTTAGACAGAGCAGACTTGTAACACTCTTTTTGTGGAATTTGCAAGTGGAGATTTCAGCCGCTTTGAAGTGAAAGGTAGAAAAGGAAATATCTTCCTATAAAAACTAGACAGAATCATTCCCACAAACTGCGTTGTGATGTGTTCGTTCAACTCACAGAGTTTAACCTTTCTGTTCATAGAGCAGTTAGGAAACACTCTGTTTGTAAAGTCTGTAAGTGGATATTCTGACATCTTGTGGCCTTCGTTGGCAACGGGATTTCTTCATATTCTGCTAGACAGAAGAATTCTCAGTAACTTCCTTGTGTTGTGTGTATTCAACTCACAGAGTTGAACGATCCTTTACACAGAGCAGACTTGTAACACTCTTTTTGTGGAATTTGCAAGTGGAGATTTCAGCCGCTTTGAGGTCCATGGTAGAAAAGGAAATATCTTCGTATAAAAACTAGACAGAATGATTCTCAGAAACTCCTTTGTGATGTGTGCGTTCAACTCACACAGTTTAACCTTTCTTTTCATAGAGCAGTTGGGAAACACTCTGTTTGTAAAGTCTGCAAGTGGATATTCAGACCTCCTTGAGGCCTTCTTTGGAAACGGGATTTCTTCATATTATGCTAGACAGAAGAATTCTCAGTAACTTCCTTGTGTTGTGTGTATTCAACTCACAGAGTTGAACGATCCTTTACACAGAGCAGACTTGAAACACTCTTTTTGTGGAATTTGCAAGTGGATATTTCAGCCGCTTTGAAGTCAATGGTAGAATAGGAAATATCTTCCTATAGAAACTAGACAGAATCATTCTCAGAAACTGCTCTGCGATGTGTGCGTTCAACTCTCAGAGTTTAACTTTTCTTTTCATTCAGCAGTTTGGAAACACTCTGTTTGTAAAGTCTGCACGTGGATATTTTGACCACTTAGTGGCCTTCGTTGGAAACGGGTTTTTTTCCTGTAAGGCTAGACAGAAGAATTCCCAGTAACTTCCTTGTGTTGTGTGCATTCAACTCACAGAGTTGAACGTTCCCTTAGACAGAGCAGATTTGAAACACTCTATTTGTGCAATTTGCAAGTGTAGATTTCAAGCGCTTTAAAGTCAATGGCAGAAAAGGAAATATCTTTGTTTCAAAACTAGACAGAATCATTCCCACAAACTGCGTTGTGATGTGTTCGTTCAACTCACAGAGTTTAACCTTTCTTTTCATAGAGCAGTTAGGAAACAGTCTGTTTGAAAATTCTGTAAGGGGATATTCTGACATCTTGTGGCCTTCGTTGGAAACGGGATTTCTTCATATTCTGCTAGACAGAAGAATTCTCAGTAACTTCCTTGTGTTGTGTGTATTCAACTCACAGAGTTGAACGATCCTTTACACAGAGCAGACTTGAAACACTCTTTTTGTGGAATTTGCAAGTGGAGATTTCAGCCGCTTTGAGGTCCATGGTAGAAAAGGAAATATCTTCGTATAAAGACTAGACAGATAGATTCTCAGAAACTCCTTTGTGATGTGTGCGTTCAACTCACAGAGTTTAACCTTTCTTTTCATAGAGCAGTTAGGAAACACTCTGTTTGTAAAGTCTGCAAGTGTATATTCAGACCTCTTTGAGGCCTTCGTTGGAAACGGGTTTCTTTCATATAAGGCTAGACAGAAGGATTCCCAGTAACTTCCTTGTGTTGTGTGTGTTCAACTCACAGAGTTGAACTTTCATTTACAAAGAGCAGATTTGAAACACTCTTTTAGTGGAATTTGCAATTGGAGATTTCAAGCGCTTTGAGGCCAAAGGCAGAAAAGGAAATATCTTCGTATAAAAACTAGACAGAATCATTCTCAGAAACTGCTCTGCGATGTGTGCGTTCAACTCTCAGACTTTAACTTTTCTTTTCATTCAGCAGTTTGGAAACACTCTGTTTGTAAAGTCTGCACGTGGATAATTTGACCGCTTGGAGGCCTTCGTTGGAAACGGGTTTTTTTCCTGTAAGGCTAGACAGAAGAATTCCCAGTAACTTCCTTGTGTTGTGTGCATTCAACTCACAGAGTTGAACGTTCCCTTACACAGAGCAGATTTGAAACACTCTGTGCAATTTCCAAGTGTAGATTTCAAGCGCTTTAAGGTCAACGGCAGAAAAGGAAATATCTTCGTTTCAAAACTAGACAGAATCATTCCCACAAACTGCGTTGTGATGTGTTCGCTCAACTCACAGAGTTTAACCTTTCTGTTCATAGAGCAGTTAGGAAACACTCTGTTTGTAAAGTCTGTAAGTGGATATTCTGACATCTTGTGGCCTTCGTTGGAAACGGGATTTCTTCATATTCTGCTAGACAGAAGAATTCTCAGTAACTTCCTTGTGTTGTGTGTATTCAACTCACAGAGTTGAACGATCCTTTACACAGAGCAGACTTGAAACACTCTTTTTGTGGAATTTGCAAGTGGAGATATCAGCCGCTTTGAGGTCAATGGTAGAATAGGAAATATCTTCCTATAGAAACTAGACAGAATGATTCTCAGAAACTCCTTTGTGATGTGTGCGTTCAACTCACATAGTTTAACTTTTCTTTTCATAGAGCAGTTAGGAAACACTCTGTTTGTAAAGTCTGCAAGTGGATATTCAGACCTCTTTGAGGCCTTCGTTGGAAACGGGATTTCTTCATATTATGCTAGACAGAAGAATTCCCAGTAACATCCTTGTGTTGTGTGTGTTCAACTCACAGAGTTGAACTTTCATTTACACAGAGCAGATTTGAAACACTCTTTTTGTGGAATTTGCAAATGGAGATTTCAAGCGCTTTGAGGCCAAAGGCAGAAAAGGAAATATCTTCGTAAAAAAACTAGACAGAATCATTCTCAGAAACTGCTCTGCGATGCGTGCGTTCAACTCTCAGAGTTTAACTTTTCTTTTCATTCAGCAGTTTGGAAACACTCTGTTTGTAAAGTCTGCACGTGGATAATTTGACCACTTAGAGGCCTTTGTTGGAAACGGGTTTTTTTCCTGTAAGGCTAGACAGAAGAATTCCCAGTAACTTCCTTGTGTTGTGTACATTCAACTCACAGAGTTGAACGTTCCCTTAGACAGAGCAGATTTGAAACACTCTTTTTGTGCAATTGGCAAGTGGAGATTTCAAGCGCTTTATGGTCAATGGCAGAAAAGGAAATATCTTCGTTTCAAAACTAGAGAGAATGATTCTCAGAAACTTCTTTGTGATGTGTGCGTTCACCTCACAGAGTTTAACCTTTCTTTTCATAGAGCAGTTAGGAAACACTTTGTTTGTAAAGTCTGCAAGTGGATATTCAGACCTGTTTGAGGCCTTCGTTGGAAACGGGATTTCTTCATACTATGCTAGACAGAAGAATTCTCAGTAACTTCCTTGTGTTGTGTGTATTCAGCTCACAGGGTTGAACGATCCTTTATACAGAGCAGACTTGAAACACTCTTTTTGTGGGACTTGCAAGTGGAGATTTCAGCCGCTTTGAGGTCAATAATAGAAAAGGAAATATCTTCGTAGAAAAACTAGACAGAATGATTCTCAGAAACTCCTTTGAGATGTGTGTGTTCTACTCACAGAGTTTAACCTTTCTTTTCATAGAGCAGTTAGGAATCACTCTGTTTGTAAAGTCTGCAAGTGGATATTCAGACCTCTTTGAGGCCTTCGTTGGAAACGGGTTTTTTTCATATAAGGCTAGACAGAAGAATTCTCAGTAACTTCCTTGTGTTGTGTGTATTCAAGTGACAGAGGTGAACTTTCATTTAGAGAGAGCAGATTTGAAACACTGTTTTTGTGGAATTTGCAAGTGGAGATTTCAAGCGCTTTGGGGCCAAAGGCAGAAAAGGAAATATCTTCGTATAAAAACTAGACAGAATCATTCTCAGAAACTGCTCTGTGATGTGTGCGTTCAACTCTCAGAGTTTAACTTTTCTTTTCATTCAGCAGTTTGGAAACACTCTGTTTGTAAAGTCTGCACGTGGATATTTTGACCACTTAGAGGCCTTCGTTAGAAACGGGTTTTTTTCATGTAAGGCTAGACAGAAGAATTCCCAGTAACTTCCTTGTGTTGTGTGCATTCAACTCACAGAGTTGAACCGTTCCCTTAGACAGAGCAGATTTGAAACACTCTATTTGTGCAATTTGCAAGTGTAGTTTTCAAGCTCTTTAAGGTCAACGGCAGAAAAGGAAATATCTTCGTTTCAAAACTAGACAGAATCATTCCCACAAACTGCGTTGTGATGTGTTCGTTCAACTCACAGAGTTTAACCTTTCTTTTCATAGAGCAGTTAGGAAACACTCTGTTGGTAAATTCTGTAAGTGGATATTCTGACATCTTGTGGCCTCCGTTGGAAACGGGATTTCTTCATATTCTGCTAGACAGAAGAATTCTCAGAAACTTCCTTGTGTTCTGTTTATTTAACTCACAGAGTCGAACGATCCTTTACTCAGAGCAGACTTGAAACACTCCATTTGTGGAATTTGCAAGTGGAGATTTCAGCCGCTTTGAGGTCAATGGTAGAATAGGAAATATCTTCCTATGGAAACTAGACAGAATGATTCTCAGAAACTCCTTTGTGCTGTGTGCGTTCAGCTCACAGAGTTTAACCTTTCTTTTCATAGAGCAGTTAGGAAACACTCTGTTTGTAAAGTCTGCAAGTGGATATTCAGACATCTTTGAGGCTTTCGTTGGAAACGGGATTTCTTCATATTCTGCTAGACAGAAGAATTCTCAGAAACTTCCTTGTGTTGTGTGTTTTCAACTCACAGAGTTCAACGATCCATTACACAGAGAAGACTTGAAACACTCTTTTTGTGGAATTGGCAAGTGGAGATTTCAGCCGCTTTGAGGTCAATGGTAGAAAAGGAAATATCTTCGTATAAAAACTAGACAGAATCATTCTCAGAAACTGCTCTGCGATGTGTGCGTTCAACTCTCAGAGTTTAACTTTTCTTTTCATTCAGCAGTTTGGAAACACTCTGTTTGTAAAGTCTGCACGTAGATATTTTGACCACTTAGAGGCCTTCGTTGGAAACGGGTTTTTTTCCTGTAAGGCTAGACAGAAGAATTCCCAGTAACTTCCTTGTGTTGTGTACATTCAACTCACAGATTTGAACGTTCCCTTAGACAGAGCAGATTTGAAACACTCTTTTTGTGCAATTGGCAAGTGGAGATTTCAAGAGTTTTAAGGTCAATGGCCGAAAAGGAAATATCTTCGTTTCAAAACTAGACAGAATCATTCCCACAAACTGCGTTGTGATGTGTTCGTTCAAATCACAGAGTTTAACCTTTCTTTTCATAGAGCAGTTAGGAAACACTCTGTTTGTAAATTCTGTAAGTGGATATTCTGACATCTTGTGGCCTTCTTTGGAAACGGGATTTCTTCATATTCTGCTAGACAGAAGAATTCTCAGTAACTTCCTTGTGTTGTGTGTATTCAACTCACAGAGTTGAACGATCCTTTACACAGAGCAGACTTGAAACACTCTTTTTGTGGAATTTGCAAGTGGAGATTTCAGCCGCTTTGAGGTCAATGGTAGAAAAGGAAACTATCTTCATATAAAGACAAGACAGAATGATTCTCAGAAACTCCTTTTTGCTGTGTGCGTTCAGCTCACAGAGTTTAACCTTTCTTTTCATAGAGCAGTTAGGAAACACTCTGTTTGTAAAGTCTGCAAGTGGATATTCAGACATCTTTGAGGCTTTTGTTGGAAACGGGATTTCTTCATATTCTGCTAGACAGAAGAATTCCCAGTAACTTCCTTGTGTTGTGTGTGTTCGACTCACAGATTTGAACTTTCATTTACACAGAGCAGATTTGAAACACTCTTTTTGTGGGATTTGCAAATGGAGATTTCAAGCGCTTTGAGGCCAAAGGCAGAAAAGGAAATATCTTCGTATAAAAACTAGACAGAATCATTCTCAGAAACTGCTCTGCGATGTGTGCGTTCAACTCTCAGAGTTTAACTTTTCTTTTCATTCAGCAGTTTGGAAACACTCTGTTTGTAAAGTCTGCACGTGGATAACTTGACCACTTAGAGGCCTTCGTTGGAAACGGGTTTTTTTCATGTAAGGCTAGACAGAAGAATTCCCAGTAACTTCCTTGTGTTGTGTACATTCAACTCACAGAGTTGAACGTTCCCTTAGACAGAGCAGATTTGAAACACTCTTTTTGTGCAATTGGGAAGTGGAGATTTCAAGCGCTTTAAGGTCAATGGCAGTAAAGGAAATATCTTCGTTTCAAAACTAGACAGAATCATTCCCACAAACTGCGTTGTGATGTGTTCGTTCAACTCACAGATGTTTAACCTTTCTTTTCATAGAGCAGTTAGGAAACAGTCTGTTTGTAAATTCTGTAAGTGGATATTCTGACATCTTGTGGCCTTCGTTGGAAACGGGATTTCTTCATATTCTGCTAGACAGAAGAATTCTCAGTAACTTCCTTGTGTTGTGTGTATTCAACTCACAGAGTTGAACGATCGTTTACACAGAGCAGACTTGAAACACTCTTTTTGTGGAATTTGCAAGTGGAGATTTCAGCCGCTTTGAGGTCAATGGTAGAAAA
This sequence comes from Homo sapiens, assembly GCF_000001405.40. Classification (NCBI taxonomy): domain Eukaryota; kingdom Metazoa; phylum Chordata; class Mammalia; order Primates; family Hominidae; genus Homo; species Homo sapiens. The sequence continues at coordinate 25,768,177 of NC_000019.10, forward strand.
GGAAATATCTTCGTATAAAGACTAGACAGAATGATTCTCAGAAACTCCTTTGTGATGTGTGAATTCAACTCACAGAGTTTAACCTTTCTTTTCACAGAGCAGTTAGGAAACACTCTGTTTGTAAAATCTGCAAGTGGATATTCAGACCTCCTTGAGGCCTTCGTTGGAAACGGGATTTCTTCATATTATGCTAGACAGAAGAATTCCCAGTAACTTCCTTGTGTTGTGTGTGTTCAACTCACGGAGTTGAACTTTCATTTACACAGAGCAGATTTGAAACACTCTTTTTGTGGAATTTGCAAGTGGAGATTTCAAGCGCTTTGAGGCCAAAGGCAGAAAAGGAAATATCTTCGTTTGAAAACTACACAGAAATCATTCTCAGAAACTGCTGCGTGATGTGTGCGTTCAACACTCAGAGTTTAACTTTTCTTTTCATTCAGCGGTTTGGAAACACTCTGTTTGTAAAGTCTGCACGTGGATAATTTGACCACTTAGAGGCCTTCGTTGGAAACGGGATTTTTTCATGTAAGGCTAGACAGAAGAATTCCCAGTAACTTCCTTGTGTTGTGTGCATTCAACTCAAAGAGTTGAACGTTCCCTTAGACAGAGCAGATTTGAAACACTCTATTTGTGCAATTTGCAAGTGTAGATTTCAAGCGCTTTAAGGTCAATGGCAGAAAAGGAAATATCTTCGTTTCAAAACTAGACAGAATCATTCCCACAAACTGCGTTGTGATGTGTTCGTTCAACTCACAGAGTTTAACCTTTCTGTTCATAGAGCAGTTAGGAAACACTCTGTTTGTAAAGTCTGTAAGTGGATATTCTGACATCTTGTGGCCTTCGTTGGAAATGGGATTTCATCATATTCTGCTAGACAGAAGAATTCTCAGTAACTTCCTTGTGTTGTGTTTATTCAACTCACAGAGTTGAATGATCCTTTACACAGAGCAGACTTTAAACACTCTTTTTGTGGAATTTGCAAGTGGAGATTTCAGCCGCTTTGAGGTCAATGGTAGAAAAGGAAATATCTTCGTATAAAGACTAGACAGAATGATTGTCAGAAACTCCTTTGTGATGTGTGCGTTCAACTCACAGAGTTTAACCTTTCTTTTCATAGAGCAGTTAGGAAACACTGTGTTGTTAAAGTCTGCAAGTGGATATTCAGACCTCCTTGAGGCCTTCGTTGGAAATGGGATTTCTTCATATTCTGCTAGACAGAAGAATTCTCAGTAACTTCCTTGTGTTGTGTGTATTCAACTCACAGAGTTGAACTTTCATTTAGAGAGAGCAGATTTGAAACACTGTTTTTGTGGAATTTGCAAGAGGACATTTCACGCGCTTTGGGGCCAAGGGCAGAAAAGGAAATATCTTCGTATAAAAACTAGACAGAATCATTTTCAGAAACTGCTGCGTGATGTGTGCGTTCAACTCTCAGAGTTTAACTTTTCTTTTCATTCAGCGGTTTGGAAACAGTCTGTTTGTAAAGTCTGCACGTGGATATTTTGACCACTTAGAGGCCTTCGTTGGAAACGGGTTTTTTGCATGAAAGGTTAGACAGAAGAATTCTCAGTAACTTCCTTGTGTTGTGTGTATTCAACTCACAGAGTTGAACGATACTTTACACAGAGCAGATTTGAAACACTCTATTTGTGCAATTTGCAAGTGTAGTTTTCAAGCTCTTTAAGGTCAACGGCAGAAAAGGAAATATCTTGGTTTCAAAACTAGACAGAATCATTCCCACAAACTGCGTTGTGATGTGTTCGTTCAAATCACAGAGTTTAACTTTTCTTTTCATAGAGCTGTTAGGAAACAGTCTGTTTGTAAATTCTGTAAGTGGATATTCTGACATCTTGTGGCCTTCGTTGGAAACGGGATTTCTTCATATTCTGCTAGACAGAATAATTCTCAGTAACTTCCTTATGTTGTGTGTATTCAACTCACAGAGTTGAACGATCCTTTACACAGAGCAGACTTGAAACACTCTTTTTGTGGAATTTGCAAGTGGAGATTTCAGCCGCTTTGAGGTCAATGGTAGAATAGGAAATATCTTCCTATAGAAACTAGACAGAATGATTCTCACAAACTCCTTTGTGATGTGTGCGTTCAACTCACAGAGTTAAACCTTTCTTTTCATAGAGCAGTTAGGAAACACTCTGTTTGTAAAGTCTGCAAGTGGATATTCAGACCTCCTTGAGGCCTTCGTTGGAAAGGGGATTTCTTCATATTATGCTAGACAGAATAATTCTCAGTAACTTCCTTGTGTTGTGTGTATTCAACTGACAGAGTTGAACTATCATTTAGAGAGTGCAGATTTGAAACACTGTTTTTGTGGAATTTGTAAGTGGAGATTTCAAGCGCTTTGGGGCCAAAGGCAGAAAAGGAAATATCTTCGTATAAAAACTAGACAGAATCATTCTCAGAAACTGCTGCGTGATGTGTGCGTTCAACTCTCAGAGTTTAACTTTTCTTTTCATTCAGCGGTTTGGAAACACTCTGTTTGTAAAGTCTGCACGTGGATATATTGACCACTTAGAGGCCTTCGTTGGAAACGGGTTTTTTGCATGTAAGGCTAGACAGAAGAATTCCCAGTAATTTCCTTGTGTTGTGTGCATTCAACTCACAGAGTTGAACGTTCCCTTAGACAGAGCAGATTTGAAACACTCTATTTGTGCAATTTGGAAGTGTAGATTTCAAGCGCTTTAAGGTCAATGGCAGAAAAGGAAATATCTTCGTTTCAAAACTAGACAGAATCATTCCCACAAACTGCGTTGTGATGTGTTCGTTCAACCCACAGAGTTTAACCTTTCTGTTCATAGAGCAGTTAGGAAACACTCTGTTTGTAAAGTATGAAAGTGGATATTCTGACATCCTTGTGGCCTTCGTTGGAAACGGGATTTCTTCATATTCTGCTAGACAGAAGAATTCTCAGTAACTTCCTTGTGTTGTGTGTATTCAACTGACAGAGTTGAACTTTCATTTACACAGAGCGGACTTGAAACACTCTTTTTGTGGAATTTGCAATTGGAGATTTCAGCCGCGTTGAGGTCAATGGTAGAAAAGGAAATCTCTTCGTATAAAAACTAGACAGAATGATTCACAGAAAATCTTTTGTGATGTGTGCGTTCAACTCACAGAGTTTAACTTTTCTTCTCATGGAGCAGTTAGGAAACACTCTGTTTGTAAAGTCTGCAAGTGGATATTCAGACCCCTTTGAGGCCTTCGTTGGAAACGGGATTTCTTCATATTCTGCTAGACAGAAGAATTCTCAGTAACTTCCTTGTGTTGTGTGTATTCAACTGACAGAGTTGAACTTTCATTTAGACAGAGCAGATTTGAAACACTCTTTTTGTGGAATTTGCAAAGGTAGATTTCATGCGCTTTGAGGCCAAAGGCAGAAAAGGAAATATCTTCGTATAAAAACTAGACAGAATCATGCTCAGAAACTGCTCTGCGATGTGTGCGTTCAACTCTCAGAGTTTAACTTTTCTTTTCATTCAGCAGTTTGGAAACACTCTGTTTGTCAAGTCTGCACGTGCATAATTTGACCGCTTAGAGGCCTTCGTTGGAAACGGGTTTTTTTCATGTAAGGCTAGACAGAAGAATTCCCAGTAACTTCCTTGTGTTGTGTGCATTCAACTCACAGAGTTGAACGTTCCCTTAGACAGAGCAGATTTGAAACAGCCTATTTGTGCAATTTGCAAGTGTAGATTTCAAGCGCTTTAAGGTCAACGGCAGAAAAGGAAATATCTTCCTTTCAAAACTAGACAGAATGATTCTCAGAAACTCCTTTGTGATGTGTGCGTTCAACTCACAGAGTTTAACTTTTCTTTTCATAGAGCAGTTAGGAAACACTCTGTTTGTAAAGTCTGCAAGTGGATATTGAGACCTCTTTGAGGCCTTCGTTGGAAACGGGATTTCTTCATATTATGCTAGACAGAATAATTCTCAGTAACTTTCCTTGTGTTGTGTGTATTCAACTCACAGAGTTGAACGATCCTTTACAGAGAGCAGACTTGAAACACTCTTTTTGTGGAATTCGCAAGTGGAGATTTCAGCCGCTTTGAGGTCAATGGTAGAAAAGGAAATGTCTTCGTATAAAGACTAGACAGAATGATTCCCATAAACTCCTTTGTGATGTGTGCGTTCAACTCACAGAGTCTAACCTTTCTGTTCATAGAGCAGTTAGGAAACACTCTGTTTGTAAAGTCTGCAAGTGGATATTCAGACCTCCTTGAGGCCTTCGTTGGAAACGGGATTTCTTCATATTCTGCTAGACAGAAGAATTCCCAGTAACTTCCTTGTGTTGTGTGTGTTCAACTCACAGAATTGAACTTTCATTTACACAGAGCAGATTTGAAACACTCTTTTTGTGGAATTTGCAAATGGAGATTTCAAGCGCTTTGAGGCCAAAGGCAGAAAAGGAAATATCTTCGTTTCAAAACTAGACAGAATCATTCTCAGAAACTGCTGCGTGATGTGTGCGTTCAACTCTCAGAGTTTAACTTTTCTTTTCATTCAGCGGTTTGGAAACACTCTGTTTGTGAAGTCTGCCCGTGGATATTTTGACCCCTTAGAGGCCTTCGTTGGAAACGGGTTTTTTTCATGTAAGGCTAGACAGAAGAATTCCCAGTAACTTCCTTGTGTTGTGTGCATTCAACTCACAGAGATGAAAGATCCCTTAGACAGAGCAGATTTGAAACACTCTATTTGTGCCATTTGCAAGTGTAGATTTCAAGCGCTTTAAGGTCAATGGCAGAAAAGGAAATATCTTCGTTTCAAAACTAGACAGAATCATTCCCACAAACTGCGTTGTGATGTGTTCGTTCAACTCACAGAGTTTAACCTTTCTGTTCATAGAGCAGTTAGGAAACACTCTGTTTGTAAAGTCTGTAAGTGGATATTCTGACATCTTGTGGCCTTCGTTGGAAACGGGATTTCTTCATATTGTGCTAGACAGAAGAATTCTCAGTAACTTCCTTGTGTTGTGTGTATTCAACTCACAGAGTTGAACGATCCTTTACACAGAGTAGACTTGAAACACTCTTTTTGTGGAATTTGCAAGTGGAGATTTCAGCCGCTTTGAGGTCAATGGTAGAATAGGAAATATCTTCCTATAGAAACTAGACAGAATGATTCTCAGAAACTCCTTTGTGATGTGTGCGTTCAACTCACAGAGTTTAACTTTTCTTTTCATAGAGCCGTTAGGAAACACTCTGTTTGTAAAGTCTGCAAGTGGATATTCAGACCTCTTTGAGGCCTTCGTTGGAAACGGGATTTCTTCATATTATGCGTAGACAGAAGAATTCTCAGTAACTTCCTTGTGTTGTGTGTATTCAGCTGACAGAGTTGAACTTTCATTTAGAGAGAGCAGATTTGAAACACTGTTTTTGTGTAATTTGCAATTGGAGATTTCAAGCGCTTTGGGGCCAAACGCAGAAAAGGAAATATCTTCGTATAAAAACTAGACAGAATCATTCTCAGAAACTGCTGTGCGATGTATGCGTTCAACTCTCAGAGTTTAACTTTTCTTTTCATTCAGCAGTTTGGAAACACTCTGTTTGTAAAGTCTGCACGTGGATATTTTGACCACTTAGAGGCCTTCGTTGGAAACGGGTTTTTTTCATGTAAGGCTAGACAGAAGAATTCCCAGTAACTTCCTTGTGTTGTGTACATTCAACTCACAGAGTTGAACGTTCCCTTAGACAGAGCAGATTTGAAACACTCTTTTTGTGAAATTGGCAAGTGGAGATTTCAAGCGCTTTAAGGTCAATGGCAGAAAAGGAAATACCTTCGTTTCAAAACTAGACAGAATGATTCTCAGAAACTCGTTTGTGATGTGTGCGTTCAACTCACAGAGTTTAACCTTTCTTTTCATAGAGCAGTTAGGAAACACTCTCTAAAGTCTGCAAGTGGATATTCAGACCTCCTTGAGGTCTTCGTTGGAAACGGGATTTCTTCATATTCTGCTAGACAGAAGAATTCTCAGTAACTTCCTTGTGTTGTGTTTATTCAACTCACAGAGTTGAATGATCCTTTACACAGAGCAGACTTGAAACACTCTTTTTGTGGAATTTGCAAGTGGAGATTTCAGCCGATTTGAGGTCAATGGTATAAAAGTAAATATCTTCGTATAAAGACTAGACAGAATGATTCTCAGAAACTCCTTTGTGATGTGTGCGTTCAACTCACAGAGTTTAACCTTTCTTTTCATCGAGCAGTTAGGAAACACTCTGTTTGTAAAGTCTGCAAGTGGATATTCAGACCTCTTTGAGGCCATCGTTGGAAACGGGATTTCTTCATATTCTGCTAGAGAGAGGAATTCTCAGTAACTTCCTTGTGTTGTGTGTATTCAACTGACAGAGTTGAACTTTCTTTTAGAGAGAGCAGATTTGAAACACTGTTTTTGTGGAATTTGCAACTGGAGATTTCAAGCGCTTTGGGGCCAAAGGCAGAAAAGGAAATATCTTCGTATAAAAACTAGACAGAATCATTCTCAGAAACTGCTCTGCGATGTGTGCGTTCAACTCTCAGAGTTTAACTTTTCTTTTCATTCAGCAGTTTGGAAACACTCTGTTTGTAAGGTCTGCAAGTGGATATTCAGACCTCTTTGTGGCCTTCTTTGGAAACGGGTTTTTTTCATATAAGGCTAGACAGAAGAATTCCCAGTAACTTCCTTGTGTTGTGTGCATTCAACTCACAGAGTTGAACGTTCCCTTAGACAGAGCAGATTTGAAACACTCTATTTGCGCAATTTGCAAGTGTAGATTTCAAGCGCTTTAAGGTCAATGGCAGAAAAGGAAATATCTTCGTTTCAAAACTAGACAGAATCATTCCCACAAACTGCGTTGTGATGTGTTCGTTCAACTCACAGAGTTTAACCTTTCTTTTCATAGAGCAGTTAGGAAACACTCTGTTTATAAACTCTGCAAGTGGATATTCAGACCTCTTTGAGGCCTTTGTTGGAAACGGGATTTCTTCATACTATGCTAGACAGAAGAATTCTCAGAAACCTCCTTGTGTTGTGTGTATTCAACTCACAGAGTTCAATGACGCTTTACACAGAGCAGACTTGAAACACTCTTTTTGTGGAATTTGCAAGTGGAGATTTCAGCCGCTTTGAGGTCAATGGTAGAATAGGAAATATCTTCCTATAGAAACTAGACAGAATGATTCTCAGAAACTCCTTTGTGATGTGTGCGTTCAACTCACAGAGTTTAACCTTTCTTTTCATAGAGCTGTTAGGAAACACTCTGTTTGTAATGTCTGCAAGTGGATATTCAGACATCCTTGAGGCTTTCGTTGGAAACGGGATTTCTTCATATTCTGCTAGAAAGAAGAATTCTCAGGAACTTCCTTGTGTTGTGTGTATTCAACTCAGAGAGTTCAACGATCCTTTACACAGAGCAGACTTGAAACACTCTTTTTGTGGAATTTGCAAGTGGAGATTTCAGCCGCTTTGAGGTCAATTGTAGAAAAGGAAATATCTTCGTATAAAAACTAGACAGAATGATTCTCAGAAACTCCTTTGTGATGTGTGCGTTCAACTCACAGAGTTTACCCTTTCTTTTCATAGAGCAGTTAGGAAACACTCTGTTTGTAAAGTCTGCAAGTGGATATTCAGACCTCCTTGATGCCTTCGTTGGAAACGGGATTTCTTCATATTATTGTAGACAGAAGAATTCTCAATAACTTCCTTGTGTTGTGTGTATTCAACTCACAGAGTTGAACGATCCTTTACACAGAGCAGACTTGAAACACTCTTTTTGTGGAATTTGCAAGTGGAGATTTCAGCCGCTTTGAGGTCAATGGTAGAATAGGAAATATCTTCCTATAGAAACTAGACAGAATCATTCTCAGAAACTGCTGCGTGATGTGTGCGTTCAACTCTCAGAGTTTAACTTTTCTTTTCATTCAGCGGTTTGGAAACACTCTGTTTGTAAAGTCTGCACGTGGATATTTTGACCACTTAGAGGCCTTCGTTGGAAACGGGATTTTTTCATGTAAGGCTAGACAGAAGAATTCCCAGTAACTTCCTTGTGTTGTGTGCATTCAACTCACAGAGTTGAACGTTCCCTTAGACAGAGCAGATTTGAAACACTCTATTTGTGCAATTTGCAAGTGTAGATTTCAAGCGCTTTAAGGTCAACGGCAGAAAAGGAAATATCTTCGTTTCAAAACTATACAGAATCATTCCCACAAACTGCGTTGTGATGTGTTCGTTCAACTCACAGAGTTTAACCTTTCAGTTCATAGAGCAGTTAGGAAACACTCTGTTTGTAAAGTCTGTAAGTGGATATTCTGACATCTTGTGGCCTTCGTTGGAAACGGGATTTCTTCATATTCTGCAAGACAGAAGAATTCTCAGTAACTTCCTTGTGTTGTGTGTATTCAACTCACAGAGTTGAACGATCCTTTACACAGAGCAGACTTGAAACACTCTTTTTGTGGAATTTGCAATTGGAGATTTCAGCCGCTTTGAGGTCAATAGTAGAAAAGGAAATATCTTCGTAGAAAAACTAGACAGAATGATTCTCAGAAACTCCTTTGTGATGTGTGTGTTCACCTCACAGAGTTTAACCTTTCTTTTCATAGAGCAGTTAGTAAACACTCTGTTTATAAAGTCTGCAACTGGATATTCAGACCCCTTTGAGGCCTTCATTGGAAACGGGATTTCTTCATATTATGCTAGACAGAAGAATTCTCAGTAATTTCCTTGTGTTGTGTGTATTCAACTCACAGAGTTGAACGATCCTTTACACAGAGCAGACTTGAAACACTCTTTTTGTGGAATTTGCAAGTGGAGATTTCAGCCGCATTGGGTTCAATGGTAGAATAGGAAATATCTTCCTATAGAAACTAGACAGAATGATTCTCAGAAACTCCTTTGTGATGTGTGCGTTCAACTCACAGAGTTTAACCTTTCTTTTCATAGAGCAGTTAGGAAACACTCTGTTTGTAAAGTCAGCAAGTGGATATTCAGACCTCTTTGAGGCCTTCGTTGGAAACGGGATTTCTTCATATTCTGCTAGACAGAAGAATTCCCAGTAACTTCCTTGTGTTGTGTGTGTTCAACTCACAGAGTTGAACTTTCATTTACACAGAGCAGATTGGAAACACTCTTTTTGTGGAATTTGCAAGTGGAGATTTCAAGCGCTTTGAGGCCAAAGGCAGAAAAGGAAATATCTTCGTATAAAAACTAGACAGAATCATTCTCAGAAACTGCTGTGCGATGTGTGCGTTTAACTCTCAGAGTTTAACTTTTCTTTTCATTCAGCAGTTTGGAAACTCTCTCTTTGTAAAGTCTGCACGTGGATAACTTGACCACTTAGAGGCCTTCGTTGGAAACGGGTTTTTTTCATGTAAGGCTAGACAGAAGAATTCCCAGTAACTTCCTTGTGTTGTGGACATTCAACTCACAGAGTTGAACGTTCCCTTAGACAGAACAGATTTGAAACACTCTTTTTGTGCAATTGGCAAGTGGTTATTTCAGCCGCTTTGGGGTCAATGGTAGAAAAGGAAATATCTTCGTATAAAAACTAGACAGAATCATTACCACAAACTGCGTTGTGATGTGTTCGTTCAACTCACAGAGTTTAACCTTTCTCTTCATAGAGCAGTTAGGAAACACTCTGTTTGTGAAGTCTGTAAGTGGATATTCTGACATCTTGTGGCCTTCGTTGGAAACGGGATTTCTTCATATTCTGCTACACAGAAGAATTCCCAGTAACTTCCTTGTGTTGTGTGTATTCAACTCACAGAGTTGAACGATCCTTTACACAGAGCAGACTTGAAACACTCTTTTTGTGGAATTTGCAAGTGGAGATTTCAGCCGCTTTGAGGTCAATGGTAGAATAGGAAATATCTTCCTATAGAAACTAGACAGAATGATTCTCAGAAACTCCTTTGTGATGTGTGCGTTCAACTCACAGAGTTTAACCTTTCTTTTCATAGAGCAGTTGGGAAACACTCTGTTTGTAAAGTCTGCAAGTGGATATTCAGACCTCCTTGAGGCTTTCGTTGGAAACGGGATTTCTTCATATTCTGCTAGAAAGAAGAATTCCCAGTAACTTCCCTTGTGTTGTGTGTGTTCAACTCACAGAGTTGAACTTTCATTTAGTCAGAGCAGATTTGAAACACTCTTTTTGTGGAATTTGCAAATGGAGATTTCAAGCGCTTTGAGGCCAAAGGCAGAAAAGGAAATATCTTCGTATAAAAACTAGACAGAATCATTCTCAGAAACTGCTCTGCGATGTGTGCGTTCAACTCTCAGAGTTTAACTTTGCTTTTCATTCAGCAGTTTGGAAACACTCTGTTTGTAAAGTCTGCACGTGGATATTTTGACCGCTTAGAGGCCTTCGTTGGAAACGGGTTTCTTTCCTGTAAGGCTAGACAGAAGAATTCCCAGTAACTTCCTTGTGTTGTGTACATTCAACTCACAGAGTTGAACGTTCCCTTAGACAGAGCAGATTTGAAACACTCTTTTTGTGCAATTAGCAAGTGGAGATTTCAAGCGCTTTAAGGTCAATGGCAGAAAAGGAAATATCTTACTTTCAAAACTAGACAGAATCATTCCCACAAACTGCGTTGTGATGTGTTCGTTCAACTCACAGAGTTTAACCTTTCTTTTCATAGAGCAGTTAGGAAACACTCTGTTGGTAAATTCTGTAAGTGGATATTCTGACATCTTGTGGCCTTCGTTGTAAACGGGATTTCTACATATTCTGCCAGACAGAAGAATTCTCAGAAACTTCCTTGTGTTGTGTGTTTTCAACTCACAGAGTTGAACGATCCTTTACACAGAGCAGACTTGAAACACTCCTTTTGTGGAATTTGCAAGTGGAGATTTTAGCCGCTTTGAGGTCAATGGTAGAATAGGAAATATCTTCCTATAGAAAGTAGACAGAATGATTCTCAGAAACTCCTTTAGTGATGTGTGCATTCAACTCACAGAGTTTAACCTTTCTTTTCATAGAGCAGTTAGGAAACACTCTGTTTGTAAAGTCTGCAAGTGGATATTCAGACCTCCTTGAGGCCTTCGTTGGAAACGGGACTTCTTCATATTATGCTACACAGAGGAATTCCCAGTAACTTCCTTGTGTTGTGTGTGTTCAACTCACAGAGTTGAACTTTCATTTACACAGAGCAGATTTGAAACACTCTTTTTGTGGAATTTGCAAATGAAGATTTCAAGCGCTTTGAGGCCAAAGGCAGAAAAGGAAATATCTTCGTTTCAAAACTAGACAGAATCATTCTCAGAAACTGCTCTGCGATGTGTGCGTTCAACTCTCAGAGTTTAACTTTTCTTTTCATTCAGCAGTTTGGAAACACTCTGGTTGTAAAGTCTGCACGTGGATAACTTGACCACTTAGAGGACTTCGTTGGAAACGGGTTTTTTTCCTGTAAGGCTAGACAGAAGAATTCCCAGTAACTTCCTTGTGTTGTGTGCATTCAACTCACAGAGTTGAACGTTCCCTTAGACAGAGCAGATTTGAAACACTCTATTTGTGCAATTTGCAAGTGTAGTTTTCAAGCTCTTTAAGGTCAACGGCAGAAAAGGAAATATCTTGGTTTCAAAACTAGACAGAATGATTCTCAGACACTTCTTTGTGATGTGTGCGTTCAACTCACAGAGTTTAACCTTTCTTTTCATAGAGCAGTTAGGAAACAGTCTGTTTGTCAATTCTGTAAGTGGATATTCTGACATCTTGTGGCCTTCGTTGGAAACGGGATTTCTTCATATTCTGCTAGACAGAAGAATTCTCAGTAACTTTCTTGTGTTGTGTGTATTCAACTCACAGAGTTGAACGATCCTTTACACAGAGCAGACTTGAAACACTCTATTTGTAGAATTTGCAAGTGGAGATTTCAGCCGCTTTGAGGTCAGTAGTAGAAAAGGAAATATCTTCGTGGAAAAACTAGACAGAATGATTCTCAGAAACTCTTTTGTGATGTGTGCGTTCAACTCACAGAGTTTAACCTTTCTTTTCATAGAGCAGTTAGGAAACACTCTGTTTGTAAAGTCTGCAAGTGGATATTCAGACCTCTTTGAGGCCTTCGTTGGAAACGGGATTTCTTCATATTCTGCTAGAGAGAAGAATTCCCAGTAACTTCCTTGTGTTGTGTGTGTTCAACTCACAGAGTTGAACTTTCATTTACACAGAGCAGATTTGAAACACTCTTTTTGTGGAATTTGCAAGTGGAGATTTCAAGCGCTTTGAGGCCAAAGTTAGAAAAGGAAATATCTTCGTATAAAAACTAGACAGAATCATTCTCAGAAACTGCTTTGCAATGTGTGCGTTCAACTCTCAGAGTTTAACTTTTCTTTTCATTCAGCAGTTTGGAAACACTCTGTTTGTAAAGTCTGCACGTGGATATTTTGACCACTTAGAGGCCTTCTTTGGAAACGGGTTTTTTTCCTGTAAGGCTAGACAGAAGAATTCCCAGTAACTTCCTTGTGTTGTGTACATTCAACTCACAGAGTTGAACGTTCCCTTAGACAGAGCAGATTTGAAACACTCTTTTTGTGCAATTGGCAAGTGGGGATTTCAAGCGCGTTGAGGTCAATGGCCGAAAAGGAAATATCTTCGTTTCAAAACTAGACAGAAAATGATTCTCAGAAACTCCTTTGTGATGTGTGCGTTCAACTCACAGAGTTTAACCGTTCTTTTCATAGAGTAGTTAGGAAACACTCTGTTTGTAAAGTCTGCAAGTGGATATTCAGACCTCTTTGAGGCCTTCGTTGGAAACGGGATTTCTTCATATTCTGCTAGACAGAAGAACTCTCAGTAACTTCCTTGTGTTGTGTGTATTCAACTCACAGGGTTGAACGATCCTTTACACAGAGCATACTTGAAACACTCTTCTTGTGGAATTTGCAAGTGGAGATTTCAGCCGCTTTGAGGTCAATGGTAGAATAGGAAATATCTTCCTATAGAAACTAGACAGAATGATTCTCAGAAACTCCTTTGTGATGTGTGCGTTCAACTCACAGAGTTTAACCTTTCTGTTCATAGAGCAGTTAGGAAACACTGTGTTTGTAAAGTCTGCAAGTGGATATTCAGACCTCCTTGAGGCCTTCGTTGGAAACGGGATTTCTTCATATTCTGCTAGACAGAAGAATTCCCGGTAACTTCCTTGTGTTGTGTGTGTTCAACTCACAGAGTTGAACTTTCATTTACACAGAGCAGATTTGCAACACTCTTTTGTGGAATTTGCAAGTGGAGATTTCAAGCGCTTTGAGGCCAAAGGCAGAAAAGGAAATATCTTCGTTTCAAAACTAGACAGAATCATTCTCAGAAACTGCTCTGCGATGTGTGCGTTCAACTCTCAGAGTTTAACTTTTCTTTTCATTTAGCAGTTTGGAAACACTCTGTTTGTAAAGTCTGCACGTGGATAATTTGACCACTTAGAGGCCTTCGTTGGAAACGGGTTTTTTTCATGTAAGGCTAGACAGAAGAATTCCCAGTAACTTCCTTGTGTTGTGTGCATTCAACTCACAGAGTTGAACGTACCCTTAGACAGAGCAGATTTGAAACACTCTATTTGTGCAATTTGCAAGTGTAGTTTTCAAGCTCTTTTAGGTCAACGGCAGAAAAGGAAATATCTTGGTTTCAAAACTAGACAGAATCATTCCCACAAACTGCGTTGTGATGTGTTCGTTCAACTCACAGAGTTTAACCTTTCTGTTCATAGAGCAGTTAGGAAACACTCTGTTTGTAAAGTCTGTAAGTGGATATTCTGACATCTTGTGGCCTTCGTTGGGAACGGGATTTCTTCATATTCTGCTAGACAGAAGAATTCTCAGAATCTTCCTTGTGTTGTGTGTATTCAACTCACAGAGTTGAACGATCCTTTACACAGAGCAGACTTGATACAGTCTTTTTGTGGAATTTGCAAGTGGAGATTTCAGCCGCTTTGAGGTCCATGGTAGAAAAGGAAATATCTTCGTATAAAAACTAGACAGAATGATTCTCAGAAACTCCTTTGTGATGTGTGCGTTCAACTCACAGAGTTTAACCTTTCTTTTCATAGAGCAGTTAGGAAACACTCTGTTTGTAAAGTCTGCAAGTGGATATTCAGACATCCTTGAGGCTTTCGTTGGGAACGGGTTTTCTTCATATTCTGCTAGAAAGAAGAATTCTCAGTAACTTCCTTGTGTTGTGTGTATTCAACTCACAGAGTTGAACTTTCATTTACACAGAGCAGATTTGAAACACTCTTTTTGTGGAATTTGCAAATGGAGATTTCAAGGGCTTTGAGGCCAAAGGCAGAAAAGGAAATATCTTCGTTTCAAAACTAGACAGAATCATTCTCAGAAACTGCTCTGTGATGTGTGCGTTCAACTCTCAGAGCTTAACTTTTCTGTTCATTCAGCAGTTTGGAAACACTCTGTTTGTAAAGTCTGCACGTGGATAATTTGACCACTTAGAGGCCTTCGTTGGAAACGGGTTTTTTTCATGTAAGGCTAGACAGAAGAATTCCCAGTAACTTCCTTGTGTTGTGTGCATTCAACTCACAGAGTTGAACGTTCCCTTAGACAGAGCAGATTTGAAACACTCTATTTGTGCAATTTGCAAGTGTAGATTTCAAGCGCTTTAAAGTCAATGGCAGAAAAGGAAATATCTTCGTTTCAAAACTAGACAGAATGATTCTCATAAACTCCTTTGTGATGTGTGCGTTCAAATCACAGAGTTTAACTTTTCTTTTCATAGAGCAGTTAGGAAACACTCTGTTTGTAAAGTCTGCAAGTGGATATTCAGACCTCTTTGAGGCCTTCTTTGGAAACGGGATTTCTTCATATTATGCTAGACAGAATAATTCTCAGTAACTTCCTTGTGTTGTGTGTATTCAACTCACAGAGTTGAACGATCCTTTACACAGAGCAGACTTGAAACACTCTTTTTGTGCAATTTGCAAGTGGAGATTTCAGCCGATTTGAGGTCAATGGTAGAATAGGAAATATCTTCCTATAGAAACTAGACAGAATGATTCTCAGAAACTCCTTTGTGATGTGTGCGTTCAACTCACAGAATTTAACATTTCTTTTCATAGAGCAGTTAGGAAACACTCTGTTTGTAAAGTCTGCAAGTGGATATTCAGACCTCTTTGAGGCCTTCGTTGGAAACGGGATTTCTTCATATTCTGCTAGACAGAAGAATTCCCAGTAACTTCCTTGTGTTGTGTGTGTTCAACTCACAGAGTTGAACTTTGATGTACACAGAGCAGATTTGAAACACTCTTTTTGTGGAATTTGCAAGTGGAGATTTCAAGCGCTTTGAGGCCAAAGGCAGAAAAGGAAATATCTTCGTATAAAAACTAGACAGAATCATTCTCAGAAACTGCTCTGCGATGTGTGCGTTCAACTCTCAGAGTTTAACTTTTCTTTTCATTCAGCAGTTTGGAAACACTCTGTTTGTATAGTCTGCACGTGGATATTTTGACCACTTAGAGGCCTTCGTTGGAAACGGGTTTTTTTCCTGTAAGGCTAGACAGAAGAATTCCCAGAAACTTCCTTGTGTTGTGTGCATTCAACTCACAGAGTTGAACGTTCCCTTAGACAGAGCAGATTTGAAACACTCTATTTGTGCAATTTGCAAGTGTAGATTTCAAGCGCTTTAAGGTCAATGGCAGAAAAGGAAATATCTTCGTTTCAAAACTAGACAGAATCATTCCCACAAACTGCGTTGTGAAGTGTTCGTTCAACTCACAGAGTTTAACCTTTCTGTTCATAGAGCAGTTAGGAAACACTCTGTTTGTAAAGTCTGTAAGTGGATATTCTGACATCTTGTGGCCTTCGTTGGAAACGGGATTTCTGCATATTCTGCTAGACAGAAGAATTCTCAGAAACTTCCTTGTGTTGTGTGTTTTCAACTCACAGAGTTGAACGATCCTTTACGCAGAGCAGACTTGAAACACTCTTTTTGTGGAATTTGCAAGTGGAGATTTCAGCCGCTTTGAGGTCAATGGTATAAAAGGAAATATCTTCGTATAAAAACTAGACAGAATGATTCACAGAAACTCCTTTGTGATGTGTGCGTTCAACTCACAGAGTTTAACCATTCTTTTCATAGAGCAGTTAGGAAACACTCTGTTTGTAAAGTCTGCAAGTGGATATTCAGACCTCTTTGAGGCCTTCGTTGGAAACGGGATTTCTTCATATTCTGCTAGACAGAAGAATTCCCAGTAACTTCCTTGTGTTGTGTGTGTTCAACTCACAGAGTTGAACTCTCATTTACACAGAGCAGATTTGAAACACTCTTTTTGTGGAATTTGCAAGTGGAGATTTCAAGCGCTTTGAAGCCAAAGGCAGAAAAGGAAATATCTTCGTATAAAAACTAGACAGAATCATTCTCAGAAACTGCTCTGCGATGTGTGCATTCAACTCTCAGAGTTTAACTTATCTTTTCATTCAGCAGTTTGGAAACACTCTGTTTGTAAAGTCTGCACGTGGATAATTTGACCACTTAGAGGTCTTCGTTGGAAACGGGTTTTTATCATGTAAGGCTAGACAGAAGAATTCCCAGTAACTACCTTGTGTTGTGTGCATTCAACTCACAGAGTTGAACGTTCCCTTAGACAGAGCAGATTTGAAACACTCTATTTGTGCAATTTGCAAGTGTAGTTTTCAAGCTCTTTAAGGTCAACGGCAGAAAAGGAAATATCTTGGTTTCAAAACTAGACAGAATCATTCCCACAAACTGCGTTGTGATGTGTTCGTTCAACTCACAGAGTTTAACCTTTCTTTTCATTGAGCAGTTAGGAAACAGTCTGTTTGTAAATTCTGTAAGTGGATATTCTGACATCTTGTGGCCTTCGTTGGAAACGGGATTTCTTCATATTCTGCTAGACAGAAGAATTCTCAGTAACTTCCTTGTGTTGTGTGTATTCAACTCACAGAGTTGAACGATCCTTTACACAGAGCAGACTTGAAACACTCTTTTTGTGGAATTTGCAAGTGGAGATTTCAGCCGCTTTGAAGTCAAAGGTAGAAAAGGAAATATCTTCGTATAAAAACTAGACAGAATGATTCTCAGTAAGTTCTTTGTGATGTGTGCGTTAAACTCACAGGGATTAACCTTTCTTTTCATAGAGCAGTTAGGAAACACTCTGTTTGTAAAGTCTGCAAGTGGATATTCAGACCTCCTTGAGGCCCTCGTTGGAAACGGGATTTATTCAAATTATGCTAGACAGAAGAATTCTCAGTAACTTCCTTGTGTTGTGTGTATTCAACTCACAGAGTTGAACGATCCTTTACACAGAGCAGATTAGAAACACTCTTTTTCTCGAATTTGCAGGTAGAGATTTCAGCCGCTTTGCGGTCAATAGTAGAAAAGGGAATATCTTCGTATAAAAACTAGACAGAATGATTCTCAGAAACTCCTTTGTGATGTGTGCGTTCAACTCACAGAGTTCAACCTTTCTTTTCATAGAGCAGTTAGGAAACACTCTGTTTGTAAAGTCTGCAAGTGGATATTCAGACCTCTTTGAGGCCTTCGTTGGAAACGGGTTTTCTTCATATTATGCTAGACAGAAGAATTCTCAGTAGCTTCCTTGTGTTGTGTGTATTCAACTCACAGAGTTGAACGATCCTTTACACAGAGCAGACTTGAAACACTCTTTTTGTGGAATTTGCAATTGGAGATTTCAGCCGCTTTGAGGTCAATGGTAGAATAGGAAATATCTTCGTATAAAAACTAGACAGAATGATTCTGAGAAACTCCTTTGTGATGTGTGCGTTCAACTCACAGAGTTTAACCTTTCTTTTCATAGAGCAGTTAGGAAACACTCTGTTTGTTAAGTCTGCAAGTGGATATTCAGACCTCTTTGAGGCCTTCGTTGGAAACGGGATTTCTTCATATTCTGCTAGACTGAAGAATTCTCAGTAACTTCCTTGTGTTGTGTGTATTCAACTCACAGAGTTGAACGATCCTTTACACAGAGCAGACTTGAAACACTCTTTTTCTGGAATTTGCAAGTGGAGATTTCAGCCGCTTTGAGGTCAATGGTAGAATAGGAAATATCTTCCTATAGAAACTAGACAGAATGATTCTCAGAAACTCCTTTGAGATGTGTGTGTTCAACTCACAGAGTTTAACCTTTCTTTTCATAGAGCAATTAGGAATCACTCTGTTTGTAAAGTCTGCAAGTGGATATTCAGACCTCTTTGAGGCCTTCGTTGGAAACGGGTTTTTTTCATATAAGGCTAGAGAGAAGAATTCTCAGTAACTTCCTTGTGTTGTGTGTATTCAACTGACATAGTTGAACTTTCATTTAGAGAGAGCAGATTTGAAACACTGTTTTTGTGGAATTTGCAAGTGGAGATTTCAAGCGCTTTGGGGCCAAAGGCAGAAAACGAAATATCTTCGTATAAAAACTAGACAGAATCATTCTAAGAAACTGCTCTGCGATGTGTGCGTTCAACTCTCAGAGTTTAACTTTTCTTTTCATTCAGCAGTTTGGAAACACTCTGTTTGTAAAGTCTGCACGTGGATATTTTGACCACTTAGAGGCCTTCGTTGGAAACGGGTTTTTTTCCTGTAAGGCTAGACAGAAGAATTCCCAGTAACTTCCTTGTGTTGTGTACATTCAACTCACAGAGTTGAACGTTCCCTTAGACAGAGCAGATTTGAAACACTCTTTTTGTGCACTTGGCAAGTGGAGATTTCAAGCGCTTTAAGGTCAATGGCAGAAAAGGAAATATCTTCGTTTCAAAACTAGACAGAATGATTCTCAGAAACTCCTTTGTGATGTGTGTGTTCAACTCACAGAGTTTAACCTTTCTTTTCATAGAGCAGTTAGGAAACAATCTGTTTGTAAAGTCTGCAAGTGGATATTCAGACCTCTTTGAGGCCTTCGTTGGAAACGGGTTTTTTTCATATAAGGCTAGACAGAAGAATTCCCAGTAACTTCCTTGTGTTGTGTGTGTTCGACTCACAGAGTTGAACTTTCATTTACACAGAGCAGATTTGAAACACTCTTTTTGTGGAATTTGCAAGTGGAGATTTCAGCCGCTTTGAAGTCAAAGGTAGAAAAGGAAATATCTTCCTATAAAAACTAGACAGAATGATTCTCATAAACTCCTTTGTGATGTGTGCGTTCAAGTCACAAAGTTTAACTTTTCTTTTCATAGAGCAGTTAGGAAACACTCTGTTTTTAAAGTCTGCAAGTGGATAATCAGACCTCTTTGAGGCCTTCGTTGGAAACGGGATTTCTTCATATTATGCTAGACAGAAGAATTCTCAGTAACTTCCTTGTGTTGTGTGTATTCAACTCACAGAGTTGAACGATCGTTTACACAGAGCAGACTTGAAACATTCTTTTTGTGGAATTTGCAAGTGGAGATTTCAGCCGCTTTGAGGTCAATGGTAGAATAGGAAATATCTTCTTATAGAAACTAGACAGAATCATTCTCAGAAACTGCTCTGCGATGTGTGCGTTCAACTCTCAGAGTTTAACTTTTCTTTTCATTTAGCAGTTTGGAAACACTCTGTTTGTAAAGTCTGCACGTGGATATTTTGACCACTTAGAGGCCTACGTTGGAAACGGGTTTTTTTCCTGTAAGGCTAGACAGAAGAATTCCCAGTAACTTCCTTGTGTTGTGTGCATTCAACTCACAGAGTTGAACGTTCCCTTAGACAGAGCAGATTTGAAACACTCTATTTGTGCAATTTGCAAGTGTAGATTTCAAGCGCTTTAAGGTCAACGGCAGAAAAGGAAATATCTTCGTTTCAAAACTAGGCAGAATGATTCTCATAAACTCCTTTATGATGTGTGCATTCAACTCACAGAGTTTCACCTTTCTTTTCATAGAGCAGTTAGGAAACACTCTGTTTGTAAAGTCTGCAAGTAGATATTCAGACCTCCTTGAGGCCTTCGTTGGAAACGGGATTTCTTCATATTCTGCTAGACAGAAGAATTCTCAGTAACTTCCTTGTGTTGTGTGTATTCAACTCATAGAGTTGAACGATCCTTTACACAGAGCAGACTTGTAACACTCTTTTTGTGGAATTTGCAAGTGGAGATTTCAGCCGCTTTGAAGTCAAAGGTAGAAAAGGAAATATCTTCCTATAAAAACTAGACAGAATGATTCTCAGAATCTCCTTTGTGATGTGTGCGTTCAACTCACAGAGTTTAACCTTTCTTTTCATAGAGCAGTTAGGAAACACTCTGTTTGTAAAGTCTGCAAGTGGATATTCAGACCTCTTTGAGGTCTTCGTTGGAAACGGGTTTTTTTCATATAAGGCTAGACAGAGGAATTCCCAGTAACTTCCTTGTGTTGTGTGTGTTCAACTCACAGAGTTGAACTTTCATTTACACAGAGCAGATTTGAAACACTCTTTTTGTGGAATTTGCAAGTGGAGATTTCAAGCGCTTTGAGGCCAAAGGCAGAAAAGGAAATATCTTCGTATAAAAACTAGACAGAATCATTCTCAGAAACTGCTCTGCGATGTGTGCGTTGAACTCTCAGAGTTTAACTTTTCTTTTCATTCAGCAGTTTGAAAACACTCTGTTTGTAAAGTCTGCACGTGGATAACTTGACCACGTAGAGGCCTTCGTTGGAAACGGGTTTTTTTCATGTAAGGCTAGACAGAAGAATTCCCAGTAACTTCCTTGTGTTGTGTGCATTCAATTCACAGAATTGAACGTTCCCTTAGACAGAGCAGATTTGAAACACTCTATTTGTGCAATTTGCAAGTGTAGATTTCAAGCGCTTTAAGGTCAATGGCAGAAAAGGAAATATCTTCGTTTCAAAACTAGACAGAATCATTCCCACAAACTGCGTTGTGATGTGTTCGTTCAACTCACAGAGTTTAACCTTTCTGTTCATAGAGCAGTTAGGAAACACTCTGTTTGTTAAGTCTGTAAGTGGATATTCTTACATCTTGTGGCCTTCGTTGGAAACGGGATTTCTTCATATTCTGCTAGACAGAAGAATTCTCAGTAACTTCCTTGTGTTGTGTGTATTCAACTCACAGAGTTGAAAGATCCTTTACAGAGAGCAGACTTGAAACACTCTTTTTGTGGAATTTGTAAGTGGAGATTTCAGCCGCTTTGAGGTCAATGGTAGAATAGGAAATATCTTAATATAGAAACTAGACAGAATGATTCTCAGAAACTACTTTGCGATGTGTGCGTTCAACTCACAGAGTTTAACCTTTCTTTTCATAGAGCAGTTAGGAAACACTCTGTTTGTAAAGTCTGCAAGTGGATATTCAGACCTCCTTGAGGCCTTCGTTGGAAACGGGATTTCTTCATATTATGCTAGACAGAAGATTTCCCAGTAACTTCCATGTGTTGTGTGTGTTCAACTCACAGAGTTGAACTTTCATTTACACAGAGCAGATTTGACACACTCTTTTTGTGGAATTTGCAAATGGAGATTTCAAGCGCTTTGAGGCCAAAGGCAGAAAAGGAAATATCTTCGTATAAAAACTAGACAGAATCATTCTCAGAAACTGCTCTGCGATGTGTGCGTTCAACTCTCAGAGTTTAACTTTTCTTTTCATTCAGCAGTTTGGAAACACTCTGTTTGTAAAGTCTGCACGTGGATATTTTGACCACTTAGAGGCCTTCGTTGGAAACGGGCTTTTTTCCTGTAAGGCTAGACAGAAGAATTCCCAGGAACTTCCTTGTGTTGTGTACATTCAACTCACAGAGTTGAACGTTCCCTTAGACAGAGCAGATTTGAAACACTCTTTTTGTGCAATTGGCAAGTGGTGATTTCAGCAGCTTTGAGGTCAATGGTAGAAAAGGAAATATCTTCGTATAAAAACTAGACAGAATGATTCTCAGAAACTCCTTTGTGATGTGGGTGTTCAACTCACAGAGTTTAACTTTCTTTTCATAGAGCTGTTAGGAAACACTCTGTAAAGTCTGCAAGTGGGTATTTTAACCTCTTTGAGGCCTTCGTTGGAAACGGGTTTTTTTCATGTAAGGCTAGAGAGAAGAATTCTCAGTAACTTCCTTTTGTTGTGTGTATTAAACTGACAGAGTTGAACTTTCATTTACACAGAGCAGATTTGAAACACTCTTTTTGTGGTATTTGCAAGTGGAGATTTCAGCCGCTTTGATGTCAATGATAGAAAAGGAAATATCTTCATATAAAAATTAGACAGAATGATTCTCAGAAACTCCTTTGTGATATGGGTGTTCAACTCACAGAGTTTAACCTTTCCTTTCATAGAGCAGTTAGGAAACACTCTGTTTGTAAAGTCTGCAAGTGGATATTTTCACCTCTTTGAGGCCTTCGTTGGAAACGGGTTTTTTTTCATGTAATTCTAGACAGAAGAATTCTCAGTAACTTTCTTGTGTTGTGTGTATTCAACTGACAGAGTTGAACTATCATTTAGAGAGTGCAGATTTGAAACACTGTTTTTGTGGAATTTGTAAGTGGAGATTTCAAGCGCTTTGGGGCCAAAGGCAGAAAAGGAAATATCTTCGTATAAAAACTAGACAGAATCATTCTCAGAAACTGCTGCGTGATGTGTGCGTTCAACTCTCAGAGTTTAACTTTTCCTTTCATTCAGCGGTTTGGAAACACTCTGTTTGTAAAGTCTGCACGTGGAAATTTTGACCACTTAGTGGCCTTCGTTGGAAACGGGTTTTTTTCATGTAAGGCTAGACAGAATAATTCCCAGTAACTTCCTTGTGTTGTGTACATTCAACTCACAGAGTTGAACGTTCCCTTAGACAGAGCAGATTTGAAACACTCTTTTTGTGCAATTGGAAAGTGGAGATTTCAAGCGCTTAAGGTCAATGGCAGAAAAGGAAATATCTTCGTTTCAAAACTAGACAGAATCATTCCCACAAACTGCGTTGTGATGTGTTAGTTCAACTCACAGAGTTTAACCTTTCTTTTCATAGAGCAGTTAGGAAACACTCTGTTTGTAAATTCTGTAAGTGGATATTCTGACATCTTGTGGCCTTCGTTGGAAACGGGATTTCTTCATATTCTGCTAGACAGAAGAATTCTCAGTAACTTCCTTGTGTTGTGTGTATTCAACTCACAGAGTTGAACGATCCTTTACACAGAGCAGACTTGAAACACTCTTTTTGTGGAATTTGCAAGTGGAGATTTCAGCCGCTTTGAGTTCAATGTTAGAATAGGAAATATCTTCCTATAGAAACTAGACAGAATGATTCTCAGAAACTCCTTTGTGATGTGTGCGTTCAACTCACAGAGTTTAATCTTTCTTTTCATAGAGCAGTTAGGAAACACTCTCTAAAGTCTGCAAGTGGATATTCAGACCTCCTTGAGGTCTTCGATGGAAACGGGATTTCTTCATATTCTGCTAGACAGAAGAATTCCCAGTAACTTCCTTGTGTTGTGTGTGTTCAACTCACAGAGTTGAACTTTCATTTACACAGAGCAGATTTGAAACACTCTTTTTGTGGAATTTGCAAGTGGAGATTTCAAGCGCTTTGAGGCCAAGGCAGAAAAGGATATATCTTCGTATAAAAACTAGACAGAATCATTCTCAGAAACTGCTCTGCGATGTGTGCGTTCAACTCTCAGAGTTTAACTTTTCTTTTCATTCAGCTGTTTGGAAACACTCTGTTTGTAAAGTCTGCACGTGGATATTTTGACCACTTAGAGGCCTTCGTTGGAAACGGGTTTTTTTACCTGTAAGGCTAGACAGAAGAATTCCCAGTAACTTCCTTGTGTTGTGTGCATTCAACTCACAGAGTTGAACGTTCCCTTAGACAGAGCAGATTTGAAACACTCTATTTGTGCAATTTGCAAGTGTAGTTTTCAAGCTCTTTAAGGTCAACGGCAGAAAAGGAAATATCTTGGTTTCAAAACTAGACAGAATGATTCTCAGAAACGCCTTTGTGATGTGTGTGTTCAACTCACAGAGTTTAACCTTTCTTTTCATAGAGCAGTTAGGAAACACTCTGTTGGTAATGTCTGCAAGTGGATATTCAGACCTCTTTGAGGCCTTCGTTGGAAACGGGATTTCTTCATACTGTGCTAGACAGAAGAATTCTCAGAATCTTCCTTGTGTTGTGTGTATTCAACTCACAGAGTTGAACGATCCTTTACACAGAGCGGAATTGAAACACTCTTTTTGTGAAATTTGCAAGTGGAGATTTCAGCCGCGTTGAGGTCAATGGTAGAAAAGGAAATCTCTTCGTATAAAAACTAGACAGAATGATTCTCAGAAACTCCTTTGTGATGTGTGCGTTCAACTCACAGAGTTTAACCTTTCTTTTCATAGAGCAGTTAGGAAACACTCTGTTTGTAAAGTCTGCAAGTGGATATTCACACCTCCTTGAGGCCTTCGTTGGAAACGGGATTTCTTCATATTATGCTAGACAGAAGAATTCTCAGTAACTTCCTTGTGTTGTGTGTATTCAACTCACAGATTTCAACGATCCTTTACACAGAGCAGACTTGAAACACTCTTTTTGTGGAATTTGCAAGTGGAGATTTCAGCCGCTTTGAGGTCAATGGTAGAATAGGAAATATCTTCCTATAGAAACTAGACAGAATCATTCTCAGAAACTGCTCTGCGATGTGTGCGTTCAACTCTCAGAGTTTAACTTTTCTTTTCATTCAGCAGTTTGGAAACACTCTGTTTGTAAAGTCTGCACGTGGATATTTTGACCACTTAGAGGCCTTCGTTGGAAACGGGTTTTTTTCCTGTAAGGCTAGACAGTAGAATTCCCAGTAACTTCCTTGTGTTGTGTACATTCAACTCACAGAGTTGAACGTTCCCTTAGACAGAGCAGATTTGAAACACTCTTTTTGTGCAATTGGCAAATGGAGATTTCAAGGGCTTTAAGGTCAATGGCAGAAAAGGAAATATCTTCGTTTCAAAACTAGACAGAATCATTCCCACAAACTGCGTTGTGATGTGTTCGTTCAACTCACAGGGTTTAACCTTTCTTTTCATAGAGCAGTTAGGAAACAGTCTGTTTGTCAATTCTGTAAGTGGATATTCTGACATCTTGTGGCCTTCGTTGGAAACGGGATTTCTTCATATTCTGCTAGACAGAAGAATTCTCAGTAACTTCCTTGTGTTGTGTGTATTCAACTCACAGAGTTGAACGATCCTTTACACAGAGCAGACTTGTAACACTCTTTTTGTGGAATTTGCAAGTGGAGATTTCAGCCGCTTTGAAGTCAAAGGCAGAAAAGGAAATATCTTCGTATAAAAACTAGACAGAATGATTCTCAGAAACTCCTTTGTGATGTGTGCGTTCAACCCACAGAGTTTAACCTTTCTTTTCATAGAGCAATTAGGAAACACTCTGTTTGTAAAGTCTGCACGTGGATATTTGGACTTCTTTGAGGCCTTCGTTGGAAACGGGTTTTTTTCATGTAAGGCTAGACAGAAGAATTCCCAGTAACTTCCTTGTGTTGTGTGTGTTCAACTCACAGAGTTGAACTTTCATTTACACAGAGCAGATTTGAAATACTCTTTTTGTGGAATTTGCAGGTGGAGATTTCAAGCGCTTTGAGGCCAAAGGCAGAAAAGGAAATATCTTCGTATAAAAACTAGACAGAATCATTCTCAGAAACTGCTCTGTGATGTGTGCGTTCAACTCTCAGAGTTTAACTTTTCTTTTCATTCAGCAGTTTGGAAACACTCTGTAAAGTCTGCACGTAGATATTTTGACCACTTAGAGGCCTTCGTTGGAAACGGGTTTTTTTCATGTAAGGCTAGACAGAATAATTCCCAGTAACTTCCTTGTGTTGTGTACATTCAACTCACAGAGTTGAACGTTCCCTTAGACAGAGCAGATTTGAAACACTCTTTTTGTGCAATTGGCAAGTGGAGATTTGAAGCGCTTTAAGGTCAATGGCAGAAAAGGAAATATCTTCGTTTCAAAACTAGACAGAATGATTCTCAGAAAATCTTTTGTGATGTGTGCGTTCAACTCACAGAGTTTAACTTTTCTTCTCATAGAGCAGTTAGGAAACACTCTGTTTGTAAAGTGTGCAAGTGGATATTCAGACCTCCTTGAGGCCTTCGTTGGAAACGGGATTTCTTCATATTCTGCTAGACAGAAGAATTCTCAGTAACTTCCTTGTGTTGTGTTTATTCAACTCACAGGGTTGAATGATCCTTTACACAGAGCAGACTTGAAACACTCTTTTTGTGGAATTTGCAAGTGGAGATTTCAGCCGCTTTGAGGTCAATGGTAGAAAAGTAAATATCTTCGTATAAAGACTAGACAGAATGATTCTCAGAAACTCCTTTGTGATGTGTGCGTTCAACTCACAGAGTTTAACCTTTCTTTTCATAGAGCAGTTAGGAAACACTCTGTTTGTAAAGTCTGCAAGTGGATATTCAGACCTCTTTGAGGCCATCGTTGGAAACGGGATTTCTTCATATTCTGCTAGAGAGAAGAATTCTCAGTAACTTCCTTGTGTTGTGTGTATTCAACTGAGAGAGTTGATCTTTCATTTAGAGAGATCAGATTTGAAACACTGTTTTTGTGGAATTTGCAAGTGGAGATTTCAAGCGCTTTGGGGCCAAAGGCAGAAAAGGAAATATCTTCGTATAAAAACTTGACAGAATCATTCTCAGAAACTGCTGCGTGATCTGTGCGTTCAACTCTCAGAGTTTAACTTTTCTTTTCATTCAGCGGTTTGGAAACACTCTGTTTGTAAAGTCTGCACGTGGATATTTTGACCACTTAGAGGCCTTCGTTGGAAACGGGTTTTTTTCATGTAAGGCTAGACAGAAGAATTCCCAGTAACTTCCTTGTGTTGTGTGCATTCAACTCACAGAGTTGAACGTTCCCTTAGACAGAGCAGATTTGAAACACTCTATTTGTGCAATTTGCAAGTGTAGATTTCAAGCGCTTTAAGGTCAACGGCAGAAAAAGGAAATATCTTCGTTTCAAAACTAGACAGAATCATTCCCACAAACTGCGTTGTGATGTGTTCGTTCAACTCACAGAGTTTAACCTTTCTGTTCATAGAGCAGTTAGGAAACACTCTGTTTGTAAAGTCTGTAAGTGGATATTCTGACATCTTGTGGCCTTCGTTGGAAAAGGGATTTCTTCATATTTTGCTAGACAGAAGAATTCCCAGTAACTTCCTTGTGTTGTGTACATTCCACTCACAGAGTTGAACGTTCCCTTAGACAGAGCAGACTTGTAACACTCTTTTTGTGGAATTTGCAAGTGGAGATTTCAGCCGCTTTCAAGTCAAAGGTAGAAAAGGAAATATCTTCCTATAAAAACTAGACAGAATGATTCTCAGAAACTCCTTTGTGATGTGTGCGTTCAACTCACAGAGTTTAACCTTTCTTTTCATAGAGCAGTTGGGAAACACTCTGTTTGTAAAGTCTGCAAGTGGATATTCAGACATCTTTGAGGCTTTCGTTGGAAACGGGATTTCTTCATATTCTGCTAGAAAGAAGAATTCCCAGTAACTTCCTTGTGTTGTGTGTGTTCAAGTCACAGAGTTGAACTTTCATTTACACAGAGCAGATTTGAAACACTCTTTTTGTGGAATTTGCAAGTGGAGATTTCAAGCGCTTTGAGGCCAAAGGCAGAAAAGGAAATATCTTCGTTTCAAAACTAGACAGAATCATTCTCAGAAACTGCTCTGTGATGTGTGCGTTCAACTCACAGAGTTTAACTTTTCTTTTCATTCAGCAGTTTGGAAACACTCTGCTTGTAAAGTCTGCAAGTGGATATATTGACCTCTTTGAGTCCTTCATTGGATACGGGCTTTTTCCATGTAAGGCTAGACAGAAGAATTCCCAGTAACTTCTTTGTGTTGGGTGCATTCAACTCACAGAGTTGAACGTTCCTTTAGACAGAGCAGATTTGAAACACTCTTTTTGTGCAATTTGCAAGTGGAGATTTCAAGAGCTTTAAGGTCAATGGCAGAAAAGGAAATATCTTCGTTTCAAAACTAGACAGAATGATTCTCAGAAACTCCTTTGTGATGTGTGCGTTCAACTCACAGAGTTTAACCTTTCTTTTCATAGAGCAGTTAGGAAACACTCTGTTTGTAAAGTCTGCATGTGGATATTCAGACCTCTTTGAGGCCATCGTTGGAAACGGGATTTCTTCATATTCTGCTAGAGAGAAGAATTCTCAGTAACTTCCTTGTGTTGTGTGTATTCAACTCACAGAGTTCAACGATGCTTTACACAGAGGAGACTTGAAACACACTTTTTGTTGAATTTGCAAGTGGAGATTTCAGCCGATTTGAGGTCAATGGTAGAATAGGAAATATCTTCGTATAAAAACTAGACAGAATGATTCTGAGAAACTCCTTTGTGATGTGTGCGTTCAACTCACAGAGTTTAACCTTTCTTTTCATAGAGCAGTTAGGAAACACTCTGTTTGTAAAGTGTGCAAGTGGATATTCAGACCTCCTTGAGGCCTTCGTTGGAAAGGGGATTTCTTCATATTATGCTAGACAGAAGAATTCCCAGTACCTTCCTTGTGTTGTGTGTGTTCAACTCACAGAGTTGAACTTTCATTTACACAGAGCAGATTTGAAACACTCTTTTTGTGGAATTTGCAAGTGGAGATTTCAAGCGCTTTGAGGCCAAAGGCAGAGAAGGAAATATCTTCGTTTCAAAACTAGACAGAATCATTCTCAGAAACTGCTCTGCGATGTGTGCCGTTCAACTCTCAGAGTTTAACTTTGCTTTTCATTCAGCAGTTTGGAAACACTCTGTTTGTAAAGTCTGCACGTGGATAATTTGACCACTTAGAGGCCTTCGTTGGAAACGGGTTTTTTTCATGTAAGGCTAGACAGAAGAATTCCCAGTAACTTCCTTCTGTTGTGTGCATTCCACTCACAGAGTTGAACGTTCCCTTAGACAGAGCAGATTTGAAACACTCTATTTGTGCAATTTGCAAGTGTAGATTTCAAGCGCTTTAAGGTCAATGGCAGAAAAGGAAATATCTTCGTTTCAAAACTAGACAGAATAATTCCCACAACCTGCGTTGTGATGTGTTCGTTCAACTCACAGAGTTTAACCTTTCTTTTCATAGAGCAGTTAGGAAACAGTCTGTTTGTCAATTCTGTAAGTGGATATTCTGACATCTTGTGGCCTTCGTTGGAAACGGGATTTCTTCATATTCTGCTAGACAGAATAATTCTCAGAAACTTCCTTGTGTTGTGTGTATTCAACTCACAGAGTTGAACGATCCTTTACAGAGAGCAGACTTGAAACACTCTTTTTGTGGAATTTGCAAGTGGAGATTTCAGCCGCTTTGAGGTCAGTGGTAGAATAGGAAATATCTTCCTATAGAAACTAGACAGAATGATTCTCAGAAACTCCTTTGTGATGTGTGCGTTCAACTCACAGAGTTTAACCTTTCTTTTCATAGAGCAGTTAGGAAACACTCTGTTTCTAAAGTCTGCAAGTGGATATTCAGACCTGTTTGAGGCCTTCGTTGGAAACGGGTTTTTTTCATATAAGGCTAGACAGAAGAATTCTCAGTAACTTCTTTGTGTTGTGTGTATTCAACTGACAGAGTTGAACTTTCATTTATAGAGAGCAGATTTGAAACACTGTTTTTGTGGAATTTGCAAGTGGAGATTTCAAGCGCTTTGGGGCCAAAGGCGGAAAAGGAAATATCTTCGTATAAAAACTAGACAGAATCATTCTCAGAAACTGCTGCGTG
Source organism: Homo sapiens (assembly GCF_000001405.40). Lineage (NCBI taxonomy): Eukaryota > Metazoa > Chordata > Mammalia > Primates > Hominidae > Homo > Homo sapiens. The sequence continues at coordinate 25,797,787 of NC_000019.10, forward strand.
ATGTGTGCGTTGAACTCTCAGAGTTTAACTTTTCTTTTCATTCAGCGGTTTGGAAACACTCTGTTTGTAAAGTCTGCACGAGGATATTTTGACCCCTTAGAGGCCTTCGTTGGAAACGGGTTTTTTTCATGTAAGGCTAGACAGAAGAATTCCCAGTAACTTCCTTGTTTTGTGTGCATTCAACTCACAGAGTTGAACGTTCCCTTAGACAGAGCAGATTTGAAACACTCTATTTGTGCAATTTGCAAGTGTAGATTTCAAGCGCTTTAAGGTCAACGGCAGAAAAGGAAATATCTTCGTTTCAAAACTAGACAGAATCATTCCCACAAACTGCGTTCTGATGTGTTCGTTCAACTCACAGAGTTTAACCTTTCTGTTCATAGAGCAGTTAGGAAACACTCTGTTTGTAAAGTCTGTAAGTGGATATTCTGACATCTTGTGGCCTTCGTTGGAAACGGGATTTCTTCATATTCTGCTAGACAGAAGAATTCTCAGTAACTTTCCTTGTGTTGTGTGTATTCAACTCACAGAGTTGAACGATCCTTTACACAGAGCAGACTTGTAACACTCTTTTTGTGGAATTTGCAATTGGAGATTTCAGCCGCGTTGAGGTCAATGGTAGAAAAGGAAATATCTTCGTATAAAAACTAGACAGAATGATTCTCAGAAACTCCTTTGTGATGTGTGCGCTCAACTCACAGAGTTCAACCTTTCTTTTCATAGAGCAGTTAGGAAACACTCTGTTTGTAAAGTCTGCAAGTGGATATTCAGACCTCTTTGAGGCCTTCGTAGGAAACGGGATTTCTTCATATTATGCTAGACAGAAGAATTCCCAGTAACTTCCTTGTATTGTGTGTGTTCGACTCACAGAGTTGAACTTTCATTTACACAGAGCAGATTTGAAACACTCTTTTTGTGGAATTTGCAAGTGGAGATTTCAAGCGCTTTGAGGCCAAAGGCAGAAAAAGAAATATCTTCGTTTCAAAACTAGACAGAATCTTTCTCAGAAACTGCTCTGGGATGTGTGCGTTCAACTCACAGAGTTTAACTTTTCTTTCCATTCAGCAGTTTGGAAACACTCTGTTTGGAAAGTCTGCACGTGGATATTTTGACCTCTTTGAGGCCTTCGTTGGAAACGGGTTTTTTTCATGTAAGGCTAGACAGAAGAATTCTCAGTAACTTCCTTGTGTTGTGTGTATTCGGCTCACAGAGTTGAACAATCCTTTACACAGAGCAGACTTGAAACACTCTTTTTGTGGAATTTGCAAGTGGAGATTACAGCCGCTTTGAGGTCAATGGTAGAAAAGGAAATATCTTCGTATAAAGACTAGACAGAATGATTCTCATAAACTCCTTTGTGATGTGTGCGTTCAACTCACAGAGTTTAACTTTTCTTTTCATAGAGCAGTTAGGAAACACTCTGTTTGTAAAGTCTGTAAGTGGATATTCTGACATCTTGTGGCCTTCGTTGGAAACGGGATTTCTTCATATTCTGCTAGACAGAAGAATTCTCAGAAACTTCCTTGTGTTGTGTGTATTCAACTCACAGAGTTGAACGATCCTTTACATAGAGCAGACTTGAAACACTCTTTTTGTGGAATTTGCAAGTGGAGATTTCAGCCGCTTTGAGGTCAACGGTAGAATAGGAAATATCTTCCTATAGAAACTAGACAGAATGATTCTCAGAAACTCCTTTGTGATGTGTGCGTTCAACTCACAGAGTTTAACCTTTCTTTTCATAGAGCAGTTAGGAAACACTCTGTGTGTAAAGTCTGCAAGTGGATAATTCAGACATCCTTGAGGCCTTCGTTGGAAACTGGATTTCTTCATATTATGCTAGACAGAAGAATTCTCAGTAACTTCCTTGTGTTGTGTGTATTCAACTGACAGAGTTGAACTTTCATTTAGAGAGATCACATTTGAAACACTGTTTTTGTGGAATTTGCAAGTGGAGATTTCAAGCGCTTTGGGGCCAAAGGCAGAAAAGGAAATATCTTCGTATAAAAACTAGACAGAATCATTCTCAGAAACTGCTGCGTGATGTGTGCATTCAACTCTCAGAGTTTAACTTTTCTTTTCATTCAGCGGTTTGGAAACACTCTGTTTGTAAAGTCCGCACGTGGATATTTTCACCACTTAGAGGCCTTCTTTTGAAACGGTTTTTTGCATGTAAGGCTAGACAGAAGAATTCCCAGTAACTTCCTTGTGTTGTGTACATTCAACTCACAGAGTTGAACGTTCCTTTAGACAGAGCAGATTTGAAACACTCTTTTTGTGCAATTGGCAAGTGGAGATTTCAAGCGCTTTAAGGTCAATGGCAGAAAAGGAAATATTTTCGTTTCAAAACTAGACAGAATGATTCTCAGAAACTTCATTTGTGAAGTGTGCGTTCAACTCACAGAGTTTAACCTTTCTTTTCATAGAGCAGTTAGGAAACACTCTGTTTGTAAACTCTGCAAGTGGATATTCAGACCTCTTTGAGGCCTTCGTTGGAAACGGGATTTCTTCATACTGTGCTAGACAGAAGAATTCTCAGTAACTTCCTTGTGTTGTGTGTATTCAACTCACAGAGTTGAACGATCCTTTACACAGAGCAGACTTGTAACACTCTTTTTGTGGAATTTGCAAGTGGAGATTTCAGCCGCTTTGAAGTCAAAGGTAGAAAAGGAAATATCTTCCTATAAAAATTAGACAGAATGATTCTCAGAAACTCCTTTGTGATGTGTGCGTTCAACTCACAGAGTTTAACTTTTCTTTTCATAGAGCAGTTAGGAAACACTCTTTTTGTAAAGTCTGCAAGTGGATATTCAGACCTCTTTGAGGCCTTCGTTGGAAACGGGTTTTTTTCATATAAGGCTAGACAGAAGAATTCCCAGTAACTTCCTTGTGTTGTGTGTGTTCAACTCACAGAGTTGAACTTTGATTTACACAGAGCAGATTTGAAACACTCTTTTTGTGGAATTTGCAAATGGAGATTTCAAGCGCTTTGAGGCCAAAGGAAGAAAAGGAAATATCTTCGTATAAAAACTGGACAGAATGATTCTCAGAAACTGCTCTGTGATGTGTGCGTTCAACTCTCAGAGTTTAACTTTCCTTTTCATTCAGCAGTTTGGAAACACTCTGTTTGAAAAGTCTGCACGTGGATAATTTGACCACATAGAGGCCTTCGTTGGAAACGGGTTTTTGTCATGTAGGGCTAGACAGAAGAATTCCCAGTAACTTCCTTGTGTTGTGTACATTCAACTCACAGAGTTGAACGTTCCCTTAGACAGAGCAGATTTGGAACACTCTTTTTGTGCAATTGGCAAGTGGAGATTTCAAGCGCTTTGAGGTCAATGGCAGAAAAGGAAATATCTTCGTTTCAAAACTAGACAGAATCATTCCCACAAACTGCGTTGTGATGTGTTCGTTCATCTCACAGAGTTTAACCTTTCTTTTCATAGAGCAGTTAGGAAACACTCTGTTTGTTAATTCTGTAAGTGGATATTCTGACATCTTGTGGCCTTCGTTGGAAACGGGATTTCTTCATATTCTGCTAGACAGAAGAATTCTCAGTAACTTCCTTGTGTTGTGTGTATTCAACTCACAGAGTTGAATGATCCTTTACACAGAACAGTCTTGAAACACTCTTTTTGTGGAATTTGCAAGTGGAGATTTCAGCCGCTTTGAGGTCAATGGTAGAATAGGAAATATCTACCTATAGAAATTAGACAGAATGATTCTCAGAAACTTCTTTGTGATGTGTGCGTTCAACTCACAGAGTTTAACCTTTCTTTTCATAGAGCAGTTAGGAAACACTGTGTTTTTAAACTGTGCAAGTGGATATTCAGACCTCTTTGAGGCCTTCGTTGGAAACGGGATTTCTTCATACTGTGCTGGAGAGAAGAATTCTCAGTAACTTCCTTGTGTTGTGTGTATTCAACTGACAGAGTTGAACTTTCATTTAGAGAGAGCACATTTGAAACACTGTTTTTGTGGAATTTGCAAGTGGAGATTTCAAGAGCTTTGGGGCCAAAGGCAGAAAAGGAAATATCTTCGTATAAAAACTAGACAGAAATCATTCTCAGAAAACTGCTGCGTGATGTGTGCGTTCAACTCTCAGAGTTTAACTTTTCCTTTCATTCAGCGGTTTGGAAACACTCTGTTTGTAAAGTCTGCACGTGGATATTTTGAACACTTAGAGGCCTTCGTTGGAAACGGGTTTTTTTCATGTAAGGCTAGACAGAAGAATTCCCAGTAACTTCCTTGTGTTGTGTACATTCAACTCACAGAGTTGAACGTTCCCTTAGACAGAGCAGATTTGAAACACTCTTTTTGTGCATTTGGCAAGTGGTGATTTCAGCCGCTTTGAGGTCAATGGTAGAAAAGGAAATATCTTCGTATAAAAACTAGACAGAATCATTCCCACAAACTGCGTTGTGATGTGTTCGTTCAACTCACAGAGTTTAACCTTTCTTTTCATAGAGCAGTTAGGAAACAGTCTGTTTGTCAATTCTGTAAGTGGATATTCTGACATCTTGTGGCCTTCGTTGGAAACGGGATTTCTTCATATTCCTGCTAGACAGAAGAATTCTCAGTAACTTCCTTGTGTTGTGTGTATTCAACTCACAGAGTTGAACGATCCTTTACACAGAGCAGACTTGAAACACTCTTTTTGTGGAATTTGCAAATGGAGATTTCAGCCGCTTTGATGTCAATGGTAGAAAAGGTAATATCTTCGTATAAAGACTAGACAGAATGATTCTCAGAAACTCCTTTGTGATGTGTGTGTTCAACTCACAGAGTTCAACCTTTCTTTTCATAGAGCAGTTGGGAAACACTCTGTTTGTAAAGTCTGCAAGTGGATATTCAGACTTCTTTGAGGCCTTCTTTGGAAGCGGGATTTCTTCATGTTCTGCTAGACAGAAGTAATTCTCAGTAACTTCCTTGTGTTGTGTGTATTCAACTCACAGAGTTGAACGATCCTTTACACAGAGCAGACTTGTAACACTCTTTTTGTGGAATTTGCAAGTGGAGATTTCAAGCGCTTTGAGGCCAAAGGCAGAAAAGGAAATATCTTCGTTTCAAAACTAGACAGAATCATTCTCAGAAACTGCTCTGCGATGTGTGCGTTCAACTCTCAGAGTTTAACTTTTCTTTTCATTCAGCAGTTTGGAAACACTCTGTTTGTAAAGTCTGCACGTGGATATTTTGACCACTTAGAGGCCTTCGTTGGAAACGGGTTTTTTTCCTGTAAGGCTAGACAGTAGAATTCTCAGTAACTTCCTTGTGTTGTGTGTATTCAACTCACAGAGTTGAACGATCCTTTACAGAGAGCAGACTTGAAACACTCTTTTTGTGGAATTTGCAAGTGGAGATTTCAGCCGCTTTGAGGTCAATGGTAGAATAGGAAATATCTTTCTATAGAAACTAGACAGAATGATTCTCAGAAACTCCTTTGTGATGTGTGCGTTCAACTCACAGAGTTTAACCTTTCTTTTCATAGAGCAGTTAGGAAACACTCTGTTTGTAAAGTCTGCAAGTGGATATTCAGACCTCTTTGAGGCCTTCGTTGGAAACGGGATTTCTTCATATTCTGTTACACAGAAGAATTCTCAGTAACTTCCTTGTGTTGTGTGTATTCAACTCACAGAGTTGAACGATCCTTTACACAGAGCAGACTTGAAACACTCTTTTTGTAGAATTTGCAAGTGGAGATTTCAGCCGCTTTGAGGTCAATAGTGGAAAAGGAAATATCTTCGTAGAAAAACTAGACAGAATGATTCTCAGAAACTCCTTTGTGATGTGTGCGTTCAACTCACAGAGTTTAACCTTTCTTTTCATAGAGCAGTTAGGAAACACTCTGTTTGTAAAGTCTGCAAGTGGATATTCAGACATCATTGAGGCTTTCGTTGGAAACGGGATTTCTTCATATTCTGCTAGAAAGAAGAATTCCCAGTAACTTCCTTGTGTTGTGTGTGTTCAACTCACAGTAGGTGAACGGTCCTTTACACAGGAGCAGATTTGAGACACTCTTTTTGTGGAATTTGCTAATGGAGATTTCAAGCGCTTTGAGGCCAAAGGCAGAAAAGGAAATATCTTCGTATAAAAACTAGACAGAATCATTCTCAGAAACTGCTCTGCGATGTCTGCGTACAACTCTCAGAGTTTAACTTTTCTTTTCATTCAGCAGTTTGGAAACACTCTGTTTGTAAAGTCTGCACGTGGATAATTTGACCACTTAGAGGCCTTCGTTGGAAACGGGTTTTTTTCATGTAAGGCTAGACAGAAGAATTCCCAGTAACTTCCTTGTGTTGTGTACATTCAACTCACAGAGTTGAACGTTCCCTTAGACAGAGCATATTTGAAACACTCTTTTTGTGCAATTGGCAAGTGGAGATTTCAAGTGCTTTAAGGTCAATGGCAGAAAAGGAAATATCTTCGTTTCAAAACTAGACAGAATCATTCCCACAAACTGCGTTGTGATGTGTTCGTTCAACTCACAGAGTTTAACCTTTCTTTTCATAGAGCAGTTAGGAAACAGTCTGTTTGTAAATTCTGTAAGTGGATATTCTGACATTTGTGGCCTTCGTTGGAAACGGGATTTCTTCATATTTTGCTAGACAGAAGAATTCTCAGAAACTTTGTTGTGTTGTGTGTTTTCAACTCACAGAGTTCAACGATCCTTTACACAGAGTAGACTTGAAACACTCTTTTTGTGGAATTGGCAGGGTGGAGATTTCAGCCGCTTTGAGGTCAATGGTAGAAAAGGAAATATCTTCGTATAAAAACTAGACAGAGTGATTCTCAGAAACTCCTTTGTGATGTCTGCGTTCAACTCACAGAGTTTAACCTTTCTTTTCATAGAGCAGTTTGGAAACACTCTGTTTGTAAAGTCTGCAAGTGGATATTCAGACCTCCTTGAGGCCTTCGTTGGAAACGGGATTTCTTCATATTCTGCTATACAGAAGAATTCTCACTAACTTCCTTGTGTTGTGTGTATTCAACTGACAGAGTTGAACATTCATTTAGAGAGAGCAGATTTGAAACACTGTTTTTGTGGAATTTGCAAGTGGAGATTTCAAGCGCTTTGGGGCCAAAGGCAGAAAAGGAAATATCTTCGTATAAAAACTAGACAGAATCATTCTCAGAAACTGCTGCGTGATGTGTGCGTTCAACTCTCAGAGTTTAACTTTTCTTTTCATTCAGCGGTTTGGAAACACTCTGTTTGTAAAGTCTGCACGTGGATATTTTGACCACTTAGAGGCCTTCGTTGGAAACGGGTTTTCTTCATGTAAGGCTAGACAGAAGAATTCCCAGTAACTTCCTTGTGTTGTGTGCATTCAACTCACAGAGTTGAACGTTCCCTTAGACAGAGCAGATTTGAAACACTCTATTTGTCCAATTTGCAAGTGTAGATTTCAAGCGCTTTAAGGTCAACGGCAGAAAAGGAAATATCTTCGTTTCAAAACTAGACAGAATGATTCTCATAAACTCCTTTGTCATGTGTGCGTTCAACTCACAGAGTTTAACTTTTCTTTTCATAGAGCAGTTAGGAAACACTCTGTTTGTAAAGTCTGCAAGTGGATATTCAGACCTCTTTGAGGCCTTTGTTGGAAACGGGATTTCTTCATATTATGCTAGACAGAAGAATTCTCAGTAACTTCCTTGTGTTGTGTGTATTCAACTCACAGAGTTGAACGATCCTTTACACAGAGCAGACTTGAAACATTCTTTTTGTGGAATTTGTAAGTGGAGATTTCAGCCGCTTTGAGGTCAATGGTAGAATAGGAAATATCTTCCTATAGAAATTAGACAGAATGATTCTCAGAAACTCCTTTGTGATGTGTGCTTTCAACGCACAGAGTTTAACCTTTCTTTTCATAGAGCAGTTAGGAAACACTCTGTTTGTAAAGTCTGCAAGTGGATATTCAGACCTCCTTGAGGCCTTCGTTGGAAACGGGAGTTTCTTCCTATTATGCTAGACAGAAGAATTCTCAGTAACTTCCTTGTGTTGTGTGTATTCAACTCACAGAGTTGAACTATCCTTTACACAGAGCAGACTTGAAACACTCTTTTTGTGGAATTTGCAAGTGGAGATTTCAGCCGCTTTGAGTTCAATGGTAGAATAGGAAATATCTTCCTATAGAAACTAGACAGATAATCATTCTCAGAAACTGCTGCGTGATGTGTGCGTTCAACTCTCAGAGTTTAACTTTTCTTTTCATTCAGCGGTTTGGAAACACTCTGTTTGTAAAGTCTGCACGTGGATATTTTGACCACTTAGAGGCCTTCGTTGGAAACGGGTTTTTTTCATGTAAGGCTAGACAGAAGAATTCCCAGTAACTTCCTTGTGTTGTGTGCATTCAACTCACAGAGTTCAACGTTCCCTTAGACAGAGCAGATTTGAAACACTCTATTTGTGCAATTTGCAAGTGTAGATTTCAAGCGCTTTAATGTCAATGGCAGAAAAGGAAATATCTTCGTTTCAAAACTAGACAGAATCATTCCCACAAACTGCGTTGTGATGTGTTCGTTCAACTCACAGAGTTTAACCTTTCTTTTCATAGAGTAGTTAGGAAACAGTCTGTTTGTAAATTCTGTACGTGGATATTCTGACATCTTGTGGCCTTCGTTGGAAACGGGATTTCTTGATATTCTGCTAGACAGAAGAATTCTCACTAACTTCCTTGTGTTGTGTGTATTCAACTCACAGAGTTGAACGATCCTTTACACAGAGGAGACTTGAAACACTCTTTTTGTGGAATTTGCAAGTGGAGATTTCAGCCGCTTTGAGGTCAATGGTAGAAAAGGAAATATCTTCGTATAAAGACTAGACAGAATGATTCTCAGAAACTCCTTTGTGATGTGTACGTTCAACTCACAGAGTTTAACCTTTCTTTTCATAGAGCAGTTAGGAAACACTCTGTTTGTAAAGTCTGCAAGTGGATATTGAGACCTCTTTGAGGCCTTCGTTGGAAACGGGTTTTTTTCATATAAGGCTAGACAGAAGAATTCTAAGTAACTTCCTTGTGTTGTGTGTATTCAACTGACAGAGTTGAACTTTCATTTAGAGAGAGCAGATTTGAAACACTGTTTTGGTGGAATTTGCAAGTGGAGATTTCAAGCGATTTGGGGCCAAAGGCAGAAAAGGAAATATCTTCGTATAAAAACTAGACAGAATCATTCTCAAAAACTGCTGCGTGATGTTTGCGTTCAACTCTCAGAGTTTAACTTTTCTTTTCATTCAGCGGTTTGGAAACACTCTGTTTGTAAAGTCTGCACGTGGATATTTTGACCACTTAGAGGCCTTCGTTGGAAACGGGTTTTTTTCATGTAAGGCTAGACAGAAGAATTCGCAGTAACTTCCTTGTGTTGTGTACATTCAACTCACAGAGTTGAACGTTCCCTTAGACAGAGCAGATTTGAAACACTCTTTTTGTGCAATTGGCAAATGGAGATTTCAAGCGCTTTAAGGTCAATGGCAGAAAAGGAAATATCTTCGTTTCAAAACTAGACAGAATGATTCTCATAAACTCCTTTGTGATGTATGCGTTCAACTCACAGAGTTTAACCTTTCTTTTCATAGAGCAGTTAGGAAACACTCTGTTTGTAAAGTCTGCAAGTGGATATTCAGACCTCCTTGAGGCCTTCGTTGGAAACGGGATTTCTTCATATTATGCTAGACAGAATAATTCTCAGTAACTTCCTTGTGTTGTGTGTATTCAACTCACAGAGTTGAATGATCCTTTACACAGAGCAGACTTGAAACACTCTTTTTGTGGAATTTGCAAGTGGAGATTTCAGCCGCTTTGAGGTCAATGGTAGAAAAGTAAATATCTTCGTATGAAGACTAGACAGAATGATTCTCAGAAACTCCTTTGTGATGTGTGCGTTCAACTCACAGAGTTTAACCTTTCTTCTCATAGAGCAGTTAGGAAACACTCTGTTTGTAAAGTCTGCAAGTGGATATTCAGACCTCTTTGAAGCCTTCGTTGGAAACGGGATTTCTTCATATTATGCTAGACAGAAGATTTCCCAGTAACTTCCTTGTGTTGTGTGTGTTCAACTCACAGAGTTGAACTTTCATTTACACAGAGCAGATTTGAAACACTCTTTTTGTGGAATTTGCAAATGGAGATTTCAAGCGCTTTGAGGCCAAAGGCAGAAAAGGAAATATCTTCGTATAAAAACTAGACAGAATCATTCTCAGAAACTGCTCTGCGATGTGTGCGTTCAACTCTCAGAGTTTAACTTTTCTTTTCATTCAGCAGTTTGGAAACACTCTGTTTGTAATGTCTGCACGTGGATATTTTGACCACTTAGAGGCCTTCGTTGGAAACGGGTTTTTTTCCTGTAAGGCTAGACAGAAGAATTCCCAGTAACTTCCTTGTGTTGTGTACATTCAACTCACAGAGTTGAACGTTCCCTTAGACAGAGCAGATTTGAAACACTCTTTTTGTGCAATTAGCAAGTGGAGATTTCAAGCGCTTTAAGGTCAATGGCAGAAAAGGAAATATCTTACTTTCAAAACTAGACAGAATCATTCCCACAAACTGCGTTGTGATGTGTTCGTTCAACTCACAGAGTTTAACCTTTCTTTTCATAGAGCAGTTAGGAAACACTCTGTTTGTAAATTCTGTAAGTGGATATTCTGACATCTTGTGGCCTTCGTTGGAAACGGGATTTCTTCATATTCTGCTAGACAGAAGAATTCCTCAGTAACTTCCCTTGTGTTGTGTGTATTCAACTCACAGAGTTGAACGATCCTTTACACAGAGCAGACTTGAAACACTCGTTTTGTGGAATTTGCAAGTGGAGATTTCAGCCGCGTTGAGGTCAATGGTAGAAAAGGAAATATCTTCGTATAAAAACTAGACAGAATGATTCTCAGAAAATCCTTTGTGATGTGTGCGTTCAACTCACAGAGTTTAACTTTTCTTTTCATGGAGCAGTTAGGAAACACTCTGTTTGTAAAGTCTGCAAGTGAATATTCAGACCTCTTTGAGGCCTTCGTTGGAAACGGGATTTCTTCATATTATGCTAGACAGAATAATTCTCAGTAACTTCCTTGTGTTGTGTGTATTCAACTCACAGAGTTGAACGATCCTTTACAGAGAGCAGACTTGAAACACTCTTTTTGTGGAATTTGCAAGTGGAGATTTCAGCCGCTTTGAGGTCAATGGTAGAATAGGAAATTTCTTCCTATAGAAACTAGACAGAATCATTCTCAGAAACTGCTCTGCGATGTGTGCGTTCAACTCTCACAGTTTAACTTTTCTTTTCATTCAGCAGTTTGGAAACACTCTGTTTGTAAAGTCTGCACGTGGATAATTTGACCACTTAGAGGCCTTCGTTGGAAACGGGTTTTTTTCATGTAAGGCTACACAGAAGAATTCCCAGTAACTTCCTTGCGTTGTGTACATTCAACTCACAGAGTTGAACGTTCCCTTAGACAGAGCAGATTTGAAACACTCTTTTTGTGCAATTGGCAAGTGGAGATTTCAAGCGCTTTAAGGTCAATGGCAGAAAAGGAAATATCTTCGTTTCAAAACTAGACAGAATCATTCCCACAAACTGCGTTGTGATGTGTTCGTTCAACTCACAGAGTTTAACCATTCTTTTCATAGAGCAGTTAGGAAACAGTCTATTTGAAAATTCTGTAAGTGGATATTCTGACATCTTGTGGCCTTCGTTGGAAACGGGATTTCTTCATATTCTGCTAGACAGAGGAATTCTCAGGAACTTCCTTGTGTTGTGTGTATTCAACTCACAGAGTTGAACGACCCTTTACACAGAGCAGACTTGAAACACTCTTTTTGTGGAATTTGCAAGTGGAGATTTCAGCCGCTTTGAGTTCAAATGTAGAATAGGAAATATCTTCCTATAGAAAGTACACAGAATGATTCTCAGAAAATCCTTTGTGATGTGTGCCTTCAACTCACAGAGTTTAACTTTTCTTTTCATCGAGCAGTTAGGAAACACTCTGTTTGTAAAGTCTGCAAGTGGATATTCAGACGTCTTTGAGGCCTTCGTTGGAAACGGGATTTCTTCATATTATGCTAGACAGAAGAATTCCCAGTAACTTCCTTGTGTTGTGTGTGTTCAACTCACAGAGTTGAACTTTCATTTACACAGAGCAGATTTGAAACCCTCTTTTTGTGGAATTTGCAAATGGAGATTTCAAGCGCTTTGAGGCCAAAGGCAGAAAAGGAAATATCTTCGTATAAAAACTAGACAGAATCATTCTCAGAAACTGCTCTGCGATGTGTGCATTCAACTCTCAGAGTTTAATTTTTCTTTTCATTCAGCAGTTTGGAAACATTCTCTTTGTAAAGTCTGCACGTGGATATTTTGACAACTTAGAGGCCTTCGTTGGAAACGGGTTTTATTCTTGTAAGGCTAGACAGAAGAATTCCCAGTAACTTCCTTGTGTTGTGTGCATTCAACTCACAGAGCTGAACGTTCCCTTAGACAGAGCAGATTTGAAACACTCTATTTGTGCAATTTGCAAGTGTAGATTTCAAGCGCTTTAAGGTCAATGGCAGAAAAGGAAATATCTTCGTTTCAAAACTAGACAGAATCATTCCCACAAACTGCTTTGTGATGTGTTCGTTCAACTCACAGAGTTTAAACTTTCTTTTCATAGAGCAGTTAGGAAACAGTCTGTTTGTCAATTCTGTAAGTGGATATTCTGACATCTTGTGGCCTTCGTTGGAAACGGGATTTCTTCATATTCTGCTAGACAGAAGAATTCTCAGTAACTTCCTTGTGTTGTGTTTATTCAACTCACAGAGTTGAATGATCCTTTACACAGAGCAGACTTGAAACACTCTTTTTGTGGAATTTGCAAGTGGAGATTTCAGCCGCTTTGAGGTCAATGTTAGAAAAGGAAATATCTTCGTATAAAGACTAGACAGAATGATTCTCAGAAACTCCTTTGTGATGTGTGCGTTCAACTCACAGAGTTTAACTTTTCTTTTCATAGAGCAGTTAGGAAACACTCTGTTTGTAAAGTCTGCAAGTGGATATTCAGACCTCTTTGAGTCCTTCATTGGAAACGGGATTTCTTCATATTATGCTAGACAGAAGAATTCTCAGTAACTTCCTTGTGTTGTGTGTATTCAACTCACAGAGTTGAACGATCCTTTACACTGAGCAGACTTGAAACATTCTTTTTGTGGAATTTGCAAGTGGAGATTTCAGCCGCTTTGGGGTCAATGGTAGAATAGGAAATATCTTCGTAGAAGAACTAGACAGAATCATTCTCAGAACCTGCTGCGCGATGTGTGCGTTCAACTCTCAGAGTTTAACTTTTCTTTTCATTCAGCGGTTTGGAAACACTCTGTTTGTAAAGTCTGCACGTGGATATTTTGACCACTTAGAGTCCTTCGTTGGAAACGGGTTTTTTTCATGTAAGGCTAGACAGAAGAATTCCCAGTAACTTCCTTGTGTTGTGTACATTCAACTCACAGAGTTGAACGTTCCCTTAGACAGAGCAGATTTGAAACACTCTTTTTGTGCAATTGGCAAGTGGAGATTTCAAGCGCTTTAAGGTCAATGGCAGAAAAGGAAATATCTTCGTTTCAAAACTAGACAGAATCATTCCCAGAAACTGCGTTGTGATGTGTTCGTTCAACTCACAGAGTTTAACCTTTCTTTTCATAGAGCAGTTAGGAAACACTCTGTTTGTAAAGTCTGTAAGTGGATATTCTGACGTCTTGTGGCCTTCGTTGGAAACGGGATTTCTTCATATTCTGCTAGACAGAAGAATTCTCAGTAACTTCCTTGTGTTGTGTGTATTCAACTCACAGAGTTGAATGATCCTTTACACAGAACAGACTTGAAACACTCTTTTTGTGGAATTTGCAAGTGGAGATTTCAGCCGCTTTGAGGTCAACGGTAGAATAGGAAATATCTTCCTATAGAAACTAGACAGAATGATTCTCAGAAACTGCTTTGTGATGTGTGCGTTCAACTCACAGAGTTTAACCTTCCTTTTCATAGAGCAGTTAGGAAACACTCTGTTTGTAAAATCTGCAATTGGATATTCAGACCTCTTTGAGGCCTTCGTTGCAAACGGGATTTCTTTATGTTATGCTACACAGAAGAATTCTCAGTAACTTCCTTGTGTTGTGTGTATTCAACTCACAGAGTTGAACTTTCATTTACACAGAGCAGATTGGAAACACTCTTTTGTGGAATTTGCAAGTGGAGATTTCAAGCGCTTTGAGGCCAAAGGCAGAAAAGGAAATATCTTCGTATAAAAACTAGACAGAATCATTCTCAGAAACTGCTCTGCGATGTGTGCGTTCAACTCTCAGAGTTTAACTTTTCCTTTCATTCAGCAGTTTGGAAACACTCTGTTTGTAAAGTCTGCACGTGCATAATTTGACCACTTAGATGCCTTCGTTGGAAACGGGTTTTTTCCATGTAAGGCTAGACAGAAGAATTCTCAGTAACTTCCTTGTGTTGTGTGTATTCAACTCACAGAGTTGAACGATCCTTTACACAGAGCAGACTTGGAACACTCTTTTTGTGGAATTTGCAAGTGGAGATTTCAGCCGCTTTGAGGTCCATGGTAGAAAAGGAAATATCTTCGTATAAAAACCAGACAGAATCATTCCCACAAACTTGGGTTGTGATGTGTTCGTTCAACTCACAGAGTTTAACCTTTCTTTTCATAGAGCAGTTAGGAAACAGTCTGTTTGTCAATTCTGTAAGTGGATATTCTGACATCTTGTGGCCTTCGTTGGAAACGGGATTTCTTCATATTCTGCTAGACAGAATAATTCTCAGTAACTTCCTTGTGTTGTGTGTATTCAGCTCACAGAGTTGAACGATCCTTTACACAGAGCAGACTTGAAACACTCTTTTTGTGGAATTTGCAAGTGGAGATTTCAGCCGCTTTGAGGTCAATAGTAGAAAAGGAAATATCTTCGTAGAAAAACAAGACAGAATGATTCTCAGAAACTCCTTTGTGATGTGGGCGTTCAACTCACAGAGTTTAACCTTTCTTTTCATAGAGCAGTTAGGAAACACTCTGTTTGCAAAGTCTGCAAGTGGATATTCAGACCTCTTTGACGCCTTCGTTGGAAACGGGATTTCTTCATATTCTGCTAGACAGAAGAATTCTCAGTAACTTCTTTGTGTTGTGTGTATTCAACTGACAGAGTTGAACTTTCATTTAGAGAGAGCAGATTTGAAACACTGTTTTTGTGGAATTTGCAAGTGGAGATTTCAAGCGCTTTGGGGCCAAAGGCAGAAAAGGAAATATCTTCTTATAAAAACTAGACAGAATCATTCTCAGAAACCGCTCTGTGATGTGTGCGTTCAACTCGCAGAGTTTAACTTTTCTTTTCATTCAGCAGTTTGGAAACACTCTGTTTGTAAAGTCTGCACGTGGATATTTTGACCACTTAGAGGCCTTCGTTGGAAACGGGTTTTTTTTCATGTAAGGCTAGACAGAAGAATTCCCAGTAACTTCCTTGTGTTGTGTGCATTCAACTCACATAGTTGAACGTTCCCTTAGACAGAGCAGATTTGAAACACTCTATTTGTGCAATTTGCAAGTGTAGATTTCAAGCGCTTTAAGGTCAATGGCAGAAAAGGAAATATCTTCGTTTCAAAACTAGACAGAATCATTCCCACAAACTGCGTTGTGATGTGTTCGTTCAACTCACAGAGTTTAACCTTTCTGTTCATAGAGCAGTGAGGAAACACTCTGTTTGTAAAGTCTCTAAGTGGATATTCTGACATCTTGTGGCCTTCGTTGGAAACGGGATTTCTTCATATTCTGCTAGACAGAAGAATTCTCAGTAACTTCCTTGTGTTGTGTGTATTCAACTCACAGAGTTGAACGATCCTTTACACAGAGCAGAATTGAAACATTCTTTTTGTGGAATTTGCAAGTGGAGATTTCAGCCGCTTTGAGGTCAATGGTAGAATAGGAAATATGTTCCTATAGAAACTAGACAGAATGATTCTCAGAAACTCCTTTGTGATGTGTGTGTTCAACTCACAGAGTTTAACCTTTCTTTTCCTAGAGCAGTTAGTAAACACTCTGTTTATAAAGTCTGCAAGTGGATATTGAGACCCCTTTGAGGCCTTCGTTGGAAACGGGATTTCTTCATATTATGCTAGACAGAAGAATTCCCAGTAACTTCCTTGTGTTGTGTGTGTTCTACTCACAGAGTTGAACTTTCATTTACACAGAGCAGATTTGAAACACTCTTTTTGTGGAATTTGCAAATGGAGATTTCAAGCGCTTTGAGGCCAAAGGCAGAAAAGGAAATATCTTCGTATAAAAACTAGACAGAATCATTCTCAGAAACTGCTCTGCGATGTGTGCGTTCAACTCTCAGAGTTTAACTTTTCTTTTCATTCAGCAGTTTGGAAACACTCTGTTTGTAAAGTCTGCACGTGGATAATTTGACCACTTAGAAGCCTTCGTTGGAAACGGGTTTTTTTCATGTAAGGCTAGACAGAAGAATTCTCAGTAACTTCCCTTGTGTTGTGTGTATTCAACTCACAGAGTTGAACGATCCTTTACACAGAGCAGACTTGTAACACTCTTTTTGTGGAATTTGCAAGTGGAGATTTCAGCCGCTTTGATGTCAAAGGTAGAAAAGGAAATATCTTCCTATAAAAACTAGACAGAATGATTCTCAGAAACTCCTTTGTGATGTGTGCGTTCAACTCACAGTTTAACCTTTCTTTTCATAGAGCAGTTAGGAAACACTCTGTTTGTAAAGTCTGCAAGTGGATATTCAGACCTCTTTGAGGCTTTCCTTGGAAACGGGATTTCTTCCTATTCTGCTAGACAGAATAATTCTCAGTAACTTCCTTGTGTTGTGTGTATTCAACTCACAGAGTTGAACGATCCTTTACACAGAGCAGACTTGAAACATTCTTTTTGTGGAATTTGCAACTGGAGATTTCAGCCGCTTTGAGGTCAATGGTAGAATAGGAAATATCTTCCTATAGAAACTAGACAGAATGATTCTCAGAAACTCCTTTGTGATGTGTGCGTTCAACTCACAAAGTTTAACCTTTCTTTTCATAGAGCAGTTAGGAAACACTCTGTTTGTAAAGTCTGCAAGTGGATATTCAGACCTCTTTGAGGCCTTCGTTGGAAACGGGATTTGTTCATACTATGCTAGACAGAAGAATTCTCAGTAACTTCCTTGTGTTGTGTGTATTCAACTTACAGAGTTGAACTTTCATTTAGAGAGAGCAGATTTGAAACACTGTTTTTGTGGAATTTGCAATTGGAGATTTCAAGCGCTTTGGGGCCAAAGGCAGAAAAGGAAATATCTTCGTATAAAAACTAGACAGAATCATTCTCAGAAACTGCTGCGTGATGTGTGCGTTCAACTCTCAGAGTTTAACTTTTCTTTTCATTCAGCGGTTTCGAAACACTCTGGTTGTAAAGTCTGCACGTGGATATTTTGACCACTTAGAGTCCTTCGTTGGAAACGGGTTTTTTGCATGTAAGGCTAGACAGAAGAATTCCCAGTAACTTCCTTGTGTTGTGTGCATTCAACTCACAGAGTTGAACGTTCCCTTAGACAGAGCAGATTTGAAACACTCTATTTGTGCAGTTTGCAAGTGTAGATTTCAAGCGCTTTAAGGTCAATGGCAGAAAAGGAAATATCTTCGTTTCAAAACTAGACAGAATGATTCTCAGAAACTCCTTTGTGATGTGTGCGTTCAACTCACAGAGTTTAACCTTTCTTTTCATAGAGCAGTTAGGAAACACTCTGTTTGTAAAGTCTGCAAGTGGATATTCAGACATCCTTGAGGCTTTCTTTGGAAACGGGATTTCTTCATATTCTGCTAGAAAGAAGAATTCTCAGTAACTTCCTTGTGTTGTGTGTATTCAACTCACAGAGTTCAACGATCCTTTACACAGAGTAGACTTGAAACTCTTTTTGTGGAATTGGCAGGGTGGAGATTTCAGCCGCTTTGAGGTCAATGGTAGAAAAGGAAATATCTTCGTATAAAAACTAGACAGAATGATTCTCAGAAACTGCTTTGTGATGTGTGCGTTCAACTCACAGAGTTCAACCTTTCTTTTCATAGAGCAGTTAGGGAACACTCTGTTTGTAAAGTCTGCAAGTGGATATCCAGACCTCTTTGAGGCCTTCGTTGGAAACGGGTTTTCTTCATATTATGCTAGACAGAAGAATTCTCAGTAACTTCCTTGTGTTGTGTGTATTCAACTGACAGAGTTGAACTTTCATTTAGAGAGAGCAGATTTGAAACACTGTTTTTGTGGTATTTGCAAGTGGAGATTTCAAGCGCTTTGGGGCCAAAGGCAGAAAAGGAAATATCTTCGTATAAAAACTAGACAGAATCATTCTCAGAAACTGCTGCGTGATGTGTGCGTTCAACTCTCAGAGTTTAACTTTTCTTTTCATTCAGCGGTTTGGAAACACTCTGTTTGTAAAGTCTGCACGTGGATATTTTGACCACTTAGAGGCCTTCGTTGGAAACGGGTTTTATGCATGTAAGCCTAGACAGAAGAATTCCCAGTAACTTCCTTGTGTTGTGTGCATTCAACTCACAGAGTTGAACGTTCCCTTAGACAGTGCAGATTTGAAACACTCTATTTGTGCAATTTGCAAGTGTAGATTTCAAGCGCTTTAAGGTCAATGGCAGAAAAGGAAATATCTTCGTTTCAAAACTAGACAGAATCATTCCCACAAACTGCGTTGTGATGTGTTCGTTCAACTCACAGAGTTTAACCTTTCTTTTCATAGAGCAGTTAGGAAACAGTCTGTCAATTCTGTAAGTGGATATTCTGACATCTTGTGGCCTTCGTTGGAAACGGGATTTCTTCATATTCTGCTAGACAGAAGAATTCTCAGTAACTTCCTTGTGTTGTGTGTATTCAACTCACAGATTTGAACGATCCTTTACACAGAGCGGAGTTGAAACACTCTTTTTGTGGAATTTGCAAGTGGAGATTTCAGCCGCGTTGAGGTCAATGGTAGAAAAGGAAATATCTTCGTATAAAAACTAGACAGAATGATTCTCAGAAACTTCTTTGTGATGTGTGCGTTCAACTCACAGAGTTTAACCTTTCTTTTCATAGAGCAGTTAGGAAACACTCTGTTTGTAAACTCTGCAAGTGGATATTCAGACCTCTTTGAGGCCTTGGTTGGAAACGGGATTTCTTCATACTATGCTAGACAGAAGATTTCTAAGTAACTTCCTTGTGTTGTGTGTATTCAACTGACAGAGTTTAACTTTCATTTAGAGAGAGCAGATTTGAAACACTGTTTTCGTGGAATTTGCAAGTGGAGATTTCAAGCGCTTTGGGGCCAAAGGCAGTAAAGGAAATATCTTCGTATAAAAACTAGACAGAATCATTCTCAGAAACTGCTCTGTGATGTGTGCGTTCAACTCTCAGAGTTTAACTTTTGTTTTCATTCAGCAGTTTGGAAACACTCTGTTTGTAAAGTCTGCACGTGGATATTTTGACCACTTAGAGGCCTTCGTTGGAAACTGGTTTTTTTCAAGTAAGGCTAGACAGAAGAATTCCCAGTAACTTCCTTGTGTTGTGTGCATTCAACTCAAAGAGTTGAACGTTCCCTTAGACAGAGCAGATTTGAAACACTCTATTTGTGCAATTTGCAAGTGTAGATTTCAAGCGCTTTAAGGTCAATGGCAGAAAAGGAAATATCTTCGTTTCAACACAAGACAGAATCATTCCCACAAACTGCGTTGTGATGTGTTCGTTCAACTCACAGAGTTTAACCTTTCTGTTCATAGAGCAGTTAGGAAACACTCTGTTTGTAAAGTCTGTAAGTGGATATTCTGACATCTTGTGGCCTTCGTTGGAAAAGGGATTTCTTCATATTCTGCTAGACAGAAGAATTCTCAGTAACTTCCTTGTGTTGTGTTTATTCAACTCACAGAGTTGAACGATCCTTTACACAGAGCAGACTTGAAACACTCTTTTTGTGGAATTTGCAAGTGGAGATTTCAGCCGCTTTGAGGTCAATGGTAGAAAAGTAAATATCTTCGTATAAAGACTAGACAGAACGATTCTCAGAAACTCCTTTGTGATGTGTGCGTTCAACTCACAGAGTTTAACCTTTCTTTTCATAGAGCAGTTAGGAAACACTCTGTTTGTAAAGTCTGTAAGTGGATATTCTGACATTTTCTGGCCTTCATTGGAAAAGGGATTTCTTCATATTCTGCTAGACAGAAGAATTCTCAGTAACTTCCTTGTGTTGTGTGTATTCAACTCACAGAGTTGAATGATCCTTTACAGAGATCAGACTTGAAACACTCTTTTTGTGGAATTTGCAAGTGGAGATTTCAGCCGCTTTGAGGTCAATGGTAGAATAGAAATATCTTCCTATAGAAACTAGACAGAATCATTCTCAGAAAGTGCTCTGCGATGTGTGCGTTCAACTCTCAGAGTTTAACTTTTCTTTTCATTCAGCAGTTTGGAAACACTCTGTTTGTAAAGTCTGCACGTGGATATTTTGACCACTTAGAGGCCTTCGTTGGAAACGGGTTTTTTTCCTGTAAGGCTAGACAGAAGACTTCCCAGTAACTTCCTTGCGTTGTGTACATTCAACTCACAGAGTTGAACGTTCCCTTAGACAGAGCAGATTTGAAACACTCTTTTTGTGCAATTGGCAAGTGGAGATTTCAAGCGCTTTGAGGTCAATGGCAGAAAAGGAAATATCTTCGTTTCAAAACTAGACAGAATCATTCCCACAAACTGCGTTGTAATGTGTGCGTTCAACTCACAGAGTTTAACCTTTCTTTTCATAGAGCAGTTAGGAAACACTCTGTTTGTGAAGTCTGCAAGTGGATATTCAGACCTCTTTGAGGCCTTCGTTGGAAACGGGATTTCTTCATATTCTGCTAGACAGAAGAATTCTCAGTAACTTCCTTGTGTTGTGTGTATTCAACTCACAGAGTTGAACGATCCTTTACACAGAGCAGACATGAAACACTCTTTTTGTGGAATTTGCAGGTGGAGATTTCAGCCGCTTTGAGGTCAATGGTAGAATAGGAAATATCTTCCTATAGAAACTAGACAGAATGATTCTCGGAAACTCCTTTGTGATGTGTGCGTTCAACTCACAGAGTTTAACCTTTCTTTTCATAGAGCAGTTAGGAAACACTCTGTTTGTAAAGTCTGCAAGTGGATATTCAGACCTCTTTGAGGCCTTCGTTGGAAACGGGTTTTTTTCATATAAGGCTAGACAGAAGAATTCTCAGTAACTTCCTTGTGTTGTGTGTATTCAACTGACAGAGTTGAACTTTCATTTAGAGAGAGCAGATTTGAAACACTCTTTTTGTGGAATTTGCAAGTGGAGATTTCAAGCGCTTTGGGGCCAAAGGCAGAAAACGAAATATCTTCGTATAAAAACTAGACAGAATCATTCTCAGAAACTGCTCTGCGATGTGTGCGTTCAACTCTCAGAGTTTAACTTTTCTTTTCATTCAGCAGTTTGGAAACACTCTGTTTGTAAAGTCTGCACGTGGATAATTTGACCACTTAGAGGCCTTCTTTGGAAACGGGTTTTTTTTCATATAAGGCTAGACAGAAGAATTCCCAGTAACTTCCTTGCGTTGTGTACATTCAACTCACAGAGTTGAACGTTCCCTTAGACAGAGCAGATTTGAAACACTCTTTTTGTGCAATTGGCAAGTGGAGATTTCAAGCGCTTTAAGGTCAATGGCAGAAAAGGAAATATCTTCGTTTCAAAACTAGACAGAATCATTCCCACAAACTGCGTTGTAATGTGTGCGTTCAACTCACAGAGTTTAACCTTTCTTTTCATAGAGCAGTTAGGAAACACTCTGTTTGTAAAGTCTGCAAGTGGATATTCAGACCTCTTTGAGGCCTTCGTTGGAAACGGGATTTCTTCGTATTCTGCTAGACAGAGGAATTCTCAGTAACTTCCTTGTGTTGTGTGTATTCAACTCACAGAGTTGAACGATCCTTTACACAGAGCAGACTTGAAACACTCTTTTTGTGGAATTTGCAAGTGGAGATTTCAGCCGCTTTGAGGTCAATGGTAGAATAGGAAATATCTTCCTATAGAAACTAGACGGAAATGATTCTCAGAAACTCCTTTGTGATGTGTGTGTTCAACTCACAGAGTTTAACCTTTCTTTTCATAGAGCCGTTAGGAATCACTCTGTTTGTAAAGTCTGCAAGTGGATATTCAGACCTCTTTGAGGCCTTCGTTGGAAACGGGTTTTTTTCATATAAGGCTAGACAGAAGAATTCTCAGTAACTTCCTTGTGTTGTGTGTGTTCAACTCACAGAGTTGAACTTTCATTTACACAGAGCAGATTTGAAACACTCTTTTTGTGGAATTTGCAAGTGGAGATTTCAAGCGCTTTGAGGCCAAAGGCAGAAAAGGAAATATCTTCGTATAAAAACTAGACAGAATCATTCTCAGAAACTGCTGCGTGATGTGTGAGTTCAACTCTCAGAGTTTAACTTTTCTTTTCATTCAGCGGTTTGGAAACAGTCTGTTTGTAAAGTCTGCACGTGGATATTTTGACCACTTAGAGGCCTTCGTTGGAAACGGGATTTTTTCATGTAAGGCTAGACAGAAGAATTCCCAGTAACTTCCTTGTGTTGTGTGCATTCAACTCACAGAGTTGAACGTTCCCTTAGACAGAGCAGATTTGAAACACTCTATTTGTGCAATTTGCAAGTGTAGATCTCAAGCGCTTTAAGGTCAATGGGAGAAAAGGAAATATCTTCGTTTCAAAACTAGACAGAATCATTCCCACAAACTGCGTTGTGATGTGTTCGTTCAACTCACAGAGTTTAAACTTTCTGTTCATAGAGCAGTTAGGAAACACTCTGTTTGTAAAGTCTGTAAGTGGATATTCTGACATCTTGTGGCCTTCGTTGGAAACGGGATTTCTTCATATTCTGCTGGACAGAAGAATTCTCAGTAACTTCCTTGTGTTGTGTGTATTCAACTCACAGAGTTGAACGATCCTTTACACAGAGCAGACTTGAAACACTCTTTTTGTGGAATTTGCAAGTGGAGATTTCAGCCGCTTTGAGTTCAATGGTAGAATAGGAAATATCTTCCTATAGAAAGTACACAGAATGATTCTCAGAAACTCCTTTGTGATGTGTGCATTCAACTCACAGAGTTTAACCTTTCTTTTCATAGAGCAGTTAGGAAACACTGTTTGTAAAGTCTGCAAGTGGATATTCAGACCTCCTTGAGGCCTTCGTTGGAAACGGGATTTCTTCATATTATGCTAGACAGAAGAATTCTCAGTAACTTCCTTGTGTTGTGTGTATTCAACTGACAGAGTTGAACTTTCATTTAGAGAGAGCAGATTTGAAACACTGTTTTTGTGGAATTTGCAAGTGGAGATTTCAAGCGCTTTGGGGCCAAAGGCAGAAAAGAAAATATCTTCGTATAAAAACTAGACAGAATCATTCTCAGAAACTGCTCTGCGATGTGTGCGTTCAACTCTCAGAGTTTAACTTTTCTTTTCATTCAGCAGTTTGGAAACACTCTGTTTGTAAAGTCTGCACGTGGATAATTTCACCACTTAGAGGTCTTCGTTGGAAACGGGTTTTTTTCATGTAAGGATAGACAGAAGAATTCTCAGTAACTTCCTTGTGTTGTGTGTATTCAACTCACAGAGTTGAACGATCCTTTACACAGAGCAGACTTGTAACACTCTTTTTGTGGAATTTGCAAGTGGAGATTTCAGCCGCTTTGAAGTCACAGGTAGAAAGGGAAATATCTTCCTATAAACACTAGACAGAGTGATTCTCAGAAACTTCTTTGTGATGTCTGCGTTCAACTGACAGAGTTTAACCTTTCTTTTCATAGAGCAGTTAGGAAACACTCTGTTTGAAAAGTCTGCAAGTGGATACTCAGACCTCCTTGAGGCCTTCGTTGGAAACGGGATTTCTTCATATTATGCTAGACAGAGGAATTCTCAGTAACTTCCTTGTGTTGTGTGTATTCAACTCACAGAGTTGAACGATCCTTTACACAGAGCAGACTTGAAACACTCTTTTTGTGGAATTTGCAAGTGGAGATTTCAGCCGCTTTGAGGTCAATGGTAGAATAGGAAATATCTTCCTACAGAAACTAGACAGAATGATTCTCAGAAACTCCTTTGCGATGTGTGCGTTCAACTCACAGAGTTTAACCTTTCTTTTCATAGAGCAGTTAGGAAACACTCTGTTTGTAAAGTCTGCAAGTGGATATTCAGACATCTTTGAGGCTTTCGTTGGAAACGGGATTTCTTCATATTCTGCTAGACAGAAGAATTCTCAGTAACTTCCTTGTGTTGTGTGTATTCAAGCTGACAGAGTTGAACTTTCATTTAGAGAGAGCAGATTTGAAACACTGTTTTTGTGGAATTTGCAAATGGAGATTTCAAGCGCTTTGGGACCAAAGGCAGAAAAGGAAATATCTTCGTATAAAAACTAGACAGAATCATTCTCAGAAACTGCTGCGTGATGTGTGCGTTCAACTCTCAGAGTTTAACTTTTCTTTTCATTCAGCGGTTTGGAAACACTCTGTTTGTAAAGTCTGCACGTGGAAATTTTGACCACTTAGAGGCCTTCGTTGGAAACGTGTTTTTTTCATGTAAGGCTAGACAGAAGAATTCCCAGTAACTTCCTTGTGTTGTGTGCATTCAACTCACAGAGTTGAACGTTCCCTTAGACAGAGCAGATTTGAAACACTCTATTTGTGCAATTTGCAAGTGTAGTTTTCAAGCTCTTTAAGGTCAACGGCAGAAAAGGAAATATCTTCGTTTCAAAACTAGACAGACTCATTCCCAAAAACTGCGTTGTGATGTGTTCGTTAAACTCACAGAGTTTAACCTTTCTGTTCATAGAGCAGTTAGGAAACACTCTGTTTGTAAAGTCTGTAAGTGGAAATTCTGACATCTTGTGGCCTTCGTTGGAAACGGGATTTCTTCATATTATGCTAGACAGAAGAATTCTCAGTAACTTCCTTGTGTTGTGTGTATTCAACTCACAGAGTTGAACGATCCTTTACACAGAGCAGACTTGAAACACTCTTTTTGTGGAATTTGCAAGTGGAGATTTCAGCTGCTTTGAGGTCAATGGTAGAATAGGAAATATCTTCCTATAGAAACTAGACAGAATGATTCTCATAAACTCCTTTGTGATGTGTGCGTTCAACTCACAGAGTTTAACCTTTCTTTTCATAGAGCAGTTAGGAAACACTCTGTTTGTAAAGTCTGCAAGTGGATATTCAGACATCCTTGAGGCTTTCGTTGGAAACGGGATTTCTTCATATTCTGCTAGAAAGAAGAATTCTCGGTAACTTCCTTGTGTTGTGTGTATTCAACTGACAGAGTTGAACTTTCATTTAGAGAGAGCAGATTTGAAACACTGTTTTTGCGGAATATGCAAGTGGAGATTTCAAGCGCTTTGGGGCCAAGGGCAGAAAAGGAAATATCTTCGTTTAAAAACTAGACAGAATCATTCTCAGAAACTGCTGCGTGATGTGTGCGTTCAACTCTCAGAGTTTAACTTTTCTTTTCATTCAGTGGTTTGGAAACACTCTGTTTGTAAAGTCTGCACGTGGATATTTTGACCACTTAGAGGCTTTCGTTGGAAACGGGTTTTTTTCATGTAAGGCTAGACAGAATAATTCCCAGTAACTTCTTTGTGTTGTGTACATTCAACTCACAGAGTTGAACGTTCCCTTAGACAGAGCAGATTTGAAACACTCTTTTTGTGGAATTGGCAAGTGGAGATTTCAAGCGCTTTAAGGTCAGTGGCAGAAAAGGAAATATCTTCGTTTCAAAACTAGACAGAATCATTCCCAAAAACTGCGTTGTGATGTGTTCCTTCATCTCAGAGAGTTTAACCTTTCTTTTCAGAGAGCAGTTAGGAAACAGTCTGTTTGTAAATTCTGTAAGTGGATATTCTGACATCTTGTGGCCTTCGTTGGAAACGGGATTTCTTCATATTCTGCTAGACAGAAGAATTCTCAGAATCTTCCTTGTGTTGTGTGTATTCAACTCACAGAGTTGAACGATGGTTTACTCAGAGCAGATTTGAAACACTCTTTTTGTGGAATTTGCAAGTGGAGATTTCAGCCGCTTTGAGGTCAATGGTAGAAAAGGAAATATCTTCGTATAAAAACTAGACAGAATGATTCTCAGAAACTCCTTTGTGATGTGTGCGTTCAACTCACAGAGTTTAACTTTTCTTTTCATAGAGCAGTTAGGAAACACTCTGTGTGTAAAGTCTGCAAGTGGATATTCAGACCTCTTTGAGGCCTTCGTTGGAAACGGGATTTCTCCATATTATGCTAGACAGAAGAATTCTCAGAATCTTCCTTGTGTTGTGTGTATTCAACGCACAGAGTTGAACGATCCTTTACACAGAGCAGACTTGAAACACTCTTTTTGTGGAATTTGCAAGTGGAGATTTCAGCCGCTTTGAGGTCCATGGTAGAAAAGGAAATATCTTCGTATAAAAACTAGACAGAATGATTCTCAGAAACTCCTTGGTGATGTGGGCGTTCAACTCACAGAGTTTAACCTTTCTTTTCATAGAGCCGTTAGGAAACACTCTGTTTGTAAAGTCTGCACGTGGATATTTGGACTTCTTTGAGGCCTTCGTTGGAAACGGGTTTTTTTCATGTAAGGCTAGACGGAAGAATTCTCAGTAACTTCCTTGTGTTGTGTGTATTCAACTGACAGAGTTGAACTTTCATTTAGAGAGAGCAGATTTGAAACACTGTTTTTGTGGAATTTGCAAGTGGAGATTTCAAGCGCTTTGGGGCCAAAGGCAGGAAAGGAAATATCTTCGTATAAAAACTAGACAGAATCATTCTCAGAATCTGCTGCGTGATGTGTGCGTTCAACTCTCAGAGTTTAACTTTTCTTTTCATTCAGCGGTTTGGAAACACTCTGTTTGTAAAGTCTGCACGTGGATATTTTGACCACTTAGAAGCCTTCTTTGGAAACGGTTTTTCTTCATGTAAGGCTAGACAGAAGAATTCCCAGTAACTTCCTTGTGTTGTGTGCATTCAACTCACAGAGTTGAACGTTCCCTTAGACAGAGCAGATTTGAAACACTCTATTTGTGTAATTTGCAAGTGTAGATTTCAAGCGCTTTAAGGTCAACGGCAGAAAAGGAAATATCTTCGTTTCAAAATTAGACAGGATCATTCCCACAAACTGCGTTGTGATGTGTTCGTTCAACTCACAGAGTTTAACCTTTCTTTTCATAGAGAAGTTAGGAAACACTCTGTTTGTAAAGTCTGCAAGTGGATATTCAGACTTCCTTGAGGCCTTCGTTGGAAACGGGATTTCTTCATATTCTGCTAGACAGAAGAATTCTCAGTAACTTCCTTGTGTTGTGTGTATTCAACTCACAGATTTGAATGATCCTTTACACAGAGCAGACTTGAAACACTCTTTTTGTGGAATTTGCAAGTGGAGATTTCAGCCGCTTTGAGTTCAATGGTAGAATAGGAAATATCTTCCTATAGAAACTAGACAGAATGATTCTCAGAAACTCCTTTGTGATGTGTGCGTTCAACTCACAGAGTTTAACCTTTCTTTTCATAGAGCAGTTAGGAAACACTCTGTTTGTAAAGTCAGCAACTGGATATTCAGACCTCCTTGTGGCCTTCTTTGGAAACGGGATTTCTTCATATTATGCTAGACAGAAGAATTCTCAGTAACTTCCTTGTGTTGTGTGTATTCAACTGACAGAGTTGAACTTTCATTTGGAGAGAGCAGATTTGAAACACTGTTTTTGTGGAATTTGCAAGTGGAGATTTCAAGCGCTTTGGGGCCAAAGGCAGAAAAGGAAATATCCTCGTATAAAAACAAGACAGAATCATTCTCAGAAACTGCTGCGTGATGTGTGCGTTCAACTCTCAGAGTTTAACTTTTCTTTTCATTCAGCGGTTTGGAAACACTCTGTTTGTAAAGTCTGCACGTGGATATTTTGACCACTTAGAGGTCTTCGTTGGAAACGGGTTTTTTTTAATGTAAGGCTAGACAGAAGAATTCCCAGTAACTTCCTTGTGTTGTGTGCATTCAACTCACAGAGTTGAACGTTCCCTTAGACAGAGCAGATTTGAAACACTCTATTTGTGCAATTTGCAAGTGTAGTTTTCAAGCTCTTTAAGGTCAACGGCAGAAAAGGAAATATCTTCGTTTCAAAACTAGACAGAATCATTCCCACAAACTGCGTTGTGATGTGTTCGTTCAACTCACAGAGTTTAACCTTTCTTTTCATAGAGCAGTTAGGAAACAGTCTGTTTGTCAATTCTGTAAGTGGATATTCTGACATCTTGTGGCCTTCGTTGGAAACAGGATTTCTTCATATTCTGCTAGACAGAAGAATTCTCAGTAACTTCCTTCTGTTGTGTGTATTCAACTCACAGAGTTGAACGATCCTTTACACAGAGCAGACTTGAACACAACTCTTTTTGTGGAATTTGCAAGTGGAGATTTCAGCCGCTTTGAGGTCAATAGTAGAAAAGGAAATATCTTCGTAGAAAAACTAGACAGAATGATTCTCAGAAACTTCTTTGTGATGTGTGCGTTCAACTCACAGAGTTTAACCTTTCTTTTCATAGAGCAGTTAGGAAACACTCTGTTTGTAAACTCTGCAAGTGGATGTTCAGACCTCTTTGAGGCCTTCGTTGGAAACGGGATTTCTTCATACTATGCTAGACAGAAGAATTCCCAGTAACTTCCTTGTGTTGTGTGTGTTCAACTCACAGAGTTGAACTTTCATTTACCCAGAGCAGATTCGAAACACTCTTTTTGTGGAATTTGCAAGTGGAGATTTCAAGCGCTTTGAGGCCAAAGGCAGAAAAGGAAATATCTTCGTTTCAAAACTAGACAGAATCATTCTCAGAAACTGCTCTGCGATGTGTGCGTTCAACTCTCAGATTTTAACTTTTCTTTTCATTCAGCAGTTTGGAATCACTCTGTTTGTAAAGTCTGCACGTGGATATTTTGACCACTTAGAGGCCTTCGTTGGAAACGGGTTTTTTTCCTGTAAGGCTAGACAGAAGAATTCCCAGTAACTTCCTTGCGTTGTGTACATTCAACTCACAGAGTTGAACGTTCCCTTAGACAGAGCAGATTTGAAACACTCTTTTTGTGCAATTGGCAAGTGGAGATTTCAAGCGCTTTAAGGTCAATGGCAGAAAAGGAAATATCTTCGTTTCAAAACTAGACAGAATCATTCCCACAAACTGCGTTGTGATGTGTTCGTTCATCTCACAGAGTTTAACCTTTCTTTTCATAGAGCAGTTAGGAAACACTCTGTTTGTAAATTCTGTAAGTGGATATTCTGACATCCTGGTGGCCTTCGTTGGAAACGGGATTTCTTCATATTCTGCTAGACAGAAGAATTCTCAGAAACTTCCTTGTGTTGTGTGTTTTCAACTCACAGAGTTGAACGATCCTTTACACAGAGCAGACTTGAAACACTCCTTTTGTGGAATTTGCAAGTGGAGATTTCAGCCGCTTTGAGGTCAATGGCAGAATAGGAAATATCTTCCTATAGAAACTAGACAGAATGATTCTCAGAAACTCCTTTGAGATGTGTGTGTTCAACTCACAGAGTTTAACCTTTCTTTTCATAGAGCAGTTAGGAAACACTCTGTTTGTAAAGTCTGCAGGTGGATATTCAGACCTCTTTGAGGCCTTCGTTGGAAACGGGTTTTTTTCATATAAGGCTAGACAGAAGAATTCCCAGTAACTTCCTTGTGTTGTGTGTGTTCAACTCACAGAGTTGAACTTTCATTTACAGAGAGCAGGTTTGAGACACACTTTTTGTGGAATTTGCTAATGGAGATTTCAAGCGCTTTGAGGCCAAAGGCAGAAAAGGAAATATCTTCGTATAAAAACTAGACAGAATCATTCTCAGAAACTGCTGCGTGATGTGTGCGTTCAACTCTCAGAGTTTAACTTTTCTTTTCATTCAGCGGTTTGGAAACACTCTGTTTGTAAAGTCTGCACGTGGATATTTTGACCACTTAGAGGCCTTCGTTGGAAACGGGTTTTTTTCATGTAAGGCTAGTCAGAAGAATTCTCAGTAACTGCCTTGTGTTGTGTTTATTCAACTCACAGAGTTAAACGATCCTTTACACAGAGCAGACTTGAAATACTCTTTTTGTGGAATTTGCAAGTGGAGATTTCAGCCGCTTTGAGGTCAATGGTAGAATAGGAAATATCTTCCTATAGAAACTAGACAGAATGATTCTCAGAAACTCCTTTGTGATGCGTGCGTTCAACTCACAGAGTTTAACCTTTCTTTTCATAGAGCAGTTAGGAAACACTCTGTTTGTAAAGTCTGCAAGTGGATATTCAGACATCCTTGAGGCTTTCGTTGGAAACGGGATTTCTTCGTATTCTGCTAGAAAGAAGAATTCTCAGTAACTTCCTTGTGTTGTGTGTATTCAACTCACAGAGTTGAACGATCCTTTACACAGAGCAGACTTGAAACACTCTTTTTGTGGAATTTGCAAGTGGAGATTTCAGCCGATTTGAGGTCAATGGTAGAAAAGGAAATATCTTCGTATAAAGACTAGACAGAATGATTCTCAGAAACTCCTTTGTGATGTGTGCGTTCAACTCACAGAGTTTAACCTTTCTTTTCATAGAGCAGTTAGGAAACACTCTGTTTGTAAAGTCTGCAAGTGGATATTCAGACCTCCTTAAGGCCTTCGTTGGAAACGGGATTTCTTCATATTATGCTAGACAGAAGAATTCTCAGTAACTTCCTTGTGTTGTGTGTATTCAACTCACAGAGTTCAACGATCCTTTACACAGAGCAGACTTGAAACACTCTTTTTGTGGAATTTGCAAGTGGAGATTTCAGCCGCTTTGAGGTCAATGGTAGAATAGGAAATATCTTCCCATAGAAACTAGACAGAATGATTCTCACAAACTCCTTTGTGATGTGTGCGTTCAACTCACAGAGTTAAACCTTTCTTTTCATAGAGCAGTTAGGAAACACTCTGTTTGTAAAGTCTGCAAGTGGATATTCAGACCTCCTTGAGGCCTTCTTTGGAAAGGGGATTTCTTCATATTATGCTAGACAGAAGAATTCTCAGAAACTTCCTTGTGTTGTGTGTATTCAACTCTCAGAGTTGAACGACCCTTTACACAGAGCAGACTTGAAACACTCTTTTTGCGGAATTTGCAAGTGGAGGTTTCAGCCGCTTTGAGGTCAATGGTAGAAAAAGAAATATCTTCGTATGAAAACTAGACAGAATGATTGTCAGAAACTCCTTTGTTATGTGGGCATTTAACTCACAGAGTTTAACCGTTCTTTTCATAGAGCAGTTAGGAAACACTCTGTTTGTAACGTCTGCAAGTGGATATTCAGACATATTTGAGGCCTTCTTTGGAAACGGGATTTCTTCATATTATGCTACACAGAAGAATTCTCAGTAACTTCCTTGTGTTGTGTGTATTCAACTCACAGAGTTGAAGGATCCTTTACACAGAGCAGTCTTGAAATACTCTTTTTGTGGAATTTACACGTGGAGATTTCTGCCGCTTTGATGTCAATGGTAGAATAGGAAATATCTTCGTATAGAAACTAGACAGAATGATTCTCAGAAACTCCTTTGTGATGTGTGCGTTCAACTCACAGTGTTTAACCTTTCTTTTCATAGAGCAGTTAGGAAACACTCTGTTTGTAAAGTCTGAAAGTGGATATTCAGACCTCTTTGAGGCCTTCGTTGGAAACGGGTTTTTTTCATATAAGGCTAGACAGAAGAATTCTCAGTAACTTCCTTGTGTTGTGTGTATTCAAATGACAGAGTTGAACTTTCATTTAGAGAGAGCAGATTTGAAACACTGTTTTTGTGGAATTTGCAAGTGGAGATTTCAAGCGCTTTGGGGCCAAAGGCAGAAAAGGAAATATCTTCGTATAAAAACTAGACAGAATCATTCTCAGAAACTCCTGCGTGATGTGTGCGTCCAACTCTCAGAGTTTAACTTTTCTTTTCATTCAGCGGTTTGGAAACACTCTGTTTGTAAAGTCTGCACGTGGATATTTTGACCACTTAGAGGCCTTCGTTGGAAACGGGTTTTTTTCATGTAAGGCTAGACAGAAGAATTCCCAGTAACTTCCCTTGTGTTGGGTGCATTAAACTCACAGAGTTGAACGTTCCCTTAGACAGAGCAGATTTGAAACACTCTATTTGTGCAATTTGCAAGTGTAGATTTCAAGCGCTTTAAGGTCAATGGCAGAAAAGGAAATATCTTCGTTTCAAAACTAGACAGAATCATTCCCACAAACTGCGTTGTGATGTGTTCGTTCAACTCACACAGTTTAACCTTTCTGTTCATAGAGCAGTTAGGAAACACTCTGTTTGTAAAGTCTGTAAGTGGATATTCTGACATCTTGTGGCCTTCGTTGGAAACGGGATTTCTTCATATTCTGCTAGACAGAACAATTCTCAGTAACTTCCTTGTGTTGTGTGTATTCAACTTACAGAGTTGAACGATTCTTTACACAGAGCAGACTTGAAACACTCTTTTTGTGGAATTTGCAAGTGGAGATTTCAGCCGCTTTGAGGTCAATGGTAGAAAAGGAAATATCTTCGTATAAAGACTAGACAGAATGATTCTCAGAAACTCCTTTGTGATGTGTGCGTTCAACTCACAGAGTTTAACCTTTCTTTTCATAGAGCAGTTGGGAAACACTCTGTTTGTAAAGTCTGCAAGTGGATATTCAGACCTCCTTGAGGCCTTCGTTGGAAATGGGATTTCTTCATATTATGCTAGACAGAAGAATTCTCAGTAACTTCCTTGTGTTGTGTGTATTCAACTGACAGAGTTGAACTTTCATTTAGAGAGAGCAGATTTGAAACACTGTTTTTGTGGAATTTGCAAGTGGAGATTTCAAGAGCTTTGGGGCCAAAGGCAGAAAAGGAAATGTCTTCGTATAAAAACTAGACAGAATCATTCTCAGAAACTGCTCTGCGATGTGTGCGTTCAACTCTCAGAGTTTAAATTTTCTTTTCATTCAGCAGTTTGGAAACACTCTGTTTGTAAAGTCTGCACGTGGATATTTTGACCACTTAGAGGCCTTCGTTGGAAACGGGTTTTTTTCCTGTAAGGCTAGACAGAAGAATTCCCAGTAACTTCCTTGTGTTTTGTACATTCAACCCACAGAGTTGAACGTTTCCTTAGACAGAGCAGATTTGAAACACTTTTTGTGCAATTGGCAAGTGGTGATTTCAGCCGCTTTGAGGTCAAAGGTAGAAAAGGAAATATCTTCCTATAAAAACTAGACAGAATCATTCCCACAAACTGCGTTGTGATGTGTTCGTTCAACTCACAGAGTTTAACCTTTCTTTTCATAGAGCAGTTAGGAAACACTCTGTTTGTAAACTCTGCAAGTGGATATTCAGACCTCTTTGAGGCCTTCGTTGGAAACGGGATTTCTCCATACTGTGCTAGACAGAAGAATTCTCAGTAACTTCCTTGTGTTGTGTGTATTCAACTCACAGAGTTGAACGATCCTTTACACAGAGCAGACTTGTAACACTCTTTTTGTGGAATTTGCAAGTGGAGATTTCAGCCGCTTTGAAGTCAAAGGTAGAAAAGGAAATATCTTCCTATAAAACCTAGACAGAATGATTCTCATAAACTCCTTTGTGATGTGTGCATTCAACTCACAGAGTTTCACCTTTCTTTTCATAGAGCAGTTAGGAAACACTCTGTTTGTAAAGTCTGCAAGTGGATATTCAGACCTCCTTGAGGCCTTCGTTGGAAACGGGATTTCTTCTTATTCTGCTAGACAGAAGAATTCCCCAGTAACTTCCTTGTGTTGTGTGTGTTCAACTCACAGAGTTGAACTTTCATTTACACAGAGCAGATTTGAAACACTCTTTTTGTGGAATTTGCAGGTGGAGATTTCAAGCGCTTTGAGGCCAAAGGCAGAAAAGGAAATATCTTCGTATAAAAACTAGACAGAATCATTCTCAGAAACTGCTGCGTGATGTGTGCGTTCAACTCTCAGAGTTTAACTTTTCTTTTCATTCAGCGGTTTGGAAACACTCTGTTTGTAAAGTGTGCACGTGGAAATTTTGACCACTTAGAGGCCTTCGTTGGAAACGGGTTTTTTTCATGTAAGGCTAGACAGAAGAATTCCCAGTAACTTCCCTTGTGTTGTGTACATTCAACTCACAGAGTTGAACGTTCCCTTAGACAGAGCAGATTTGAAACACTCTTTTTGTGCAATTGGCAAGTGGAGATTTCAAGCGCTTTGAGGTCAATGGCAGAAAAGGAAATATCTTCGTTTCAAAACTAGACAGAATCATTCCCACAAACTGCGTTGTGATGTGTTCGTTCAACTCACAGAGTTTAACTTTTCTGTTCATAGAGCAGTTAGAAAACACTCTGTTTGTAAAGTCTGCAAGTGGATATTCAGACCTCCTTGAGGCCTTCGTTGGAAACGGGATTTCTTCATATTCTGCTAGACAGAAGAATTCTCAGTAACTTCCTTGTGTGGTGTGTATTCAACTCACAGAGTTGAACGATCCTTTACAGAGAGCAGACTTGAAACACTCTTTTTGTGAAATTTGCAAGTGGAGATTTCAGCCGCTTTGAGGTCAATGGTAGAATAGGAAATATCTTCCTATAGAAACTAGACAGAATGATTCTCAGAAACTCCTTTGTGATGTGTGTGTTCAACTCACAGAGTTTAACCTTTCTTTTCATAGAACAGTTCGTAAACACTCTGTTTATAAAGTCTGCAAGTGGATATTCAGACCCCTTTGAGGCCTTCGTTGGAAACGGGATTTCTTCATATTATGCTAGACAGAAGAATTCTCAGTAACTTTCCTTGTGTTGTGTGTATTCAACTGACAGAGTTGAACTTTCATTTAGAGAGAGCAGATTTGAAACACTGTTTTTGTGGAATTTGCAAGTGGAGATTTCAAGCGCTTTGGGGCCAAGGGCAGAAAAGGAAATATCTTCGTATAAAAACTAGACAGAATCATTCTCAGAAACTGCTCTGCGATTTGTGCGTTCAACTCTCAGAGTTTAACTTTCCTTTTCATTCAGCAGTTTGGAAACACTCTGTTTGTAAAGTCTGCACGTGGATAATTTGACCACTTAGAGGCCTTCGTTGGAAACGGGTTTTTTTCATGTAAGGCTAGACAGAAGAATTCTCAGTAACTTCTTTGTGTTGTGTGTATTCAACTCACAGAGTTGAACGATCCTTTACACAGAGCAGACTTGTAACACTCTTTTTGTGGAATTTGCAAGTGGAGATTTCAGCCGCTTTGAAGTCAAAAGTAGAAAAGGAAATATCTTCCTATAAAAACTAGACAGAATCATTCCCACAAACTGCGTTGTGATGTGTTCGTTCAACTCACAGAGTTTAACTTTTCTGTTCATAGAGCAGTTAGAAAACACTCTGTTTGTAAAGTCTGCAAGTGGATATTCAGACCTCCTTGAGGCCTTCGTTGGAAACGGGATTTCTTCATATTCTGCTAGACAGAAGAATTCTCAGTAACTTCCTTGTGTTGTGTGTATTCAACTCACAGAGTTGAACGATCCTTTACACAGAGCAGACTTGAAACACTCTTTTTGTGGAATTTGCAAGTGGAGATTTCAGCCGCTTTGAGGTCAATAGTAGAAAAGGAAACATCTTCGTAGAAAAACTAGACAGAATGATTCTGAGAAATCCTTTGTGATGTGTGCGTTCAACTCACAGAGTTTAACCTTTCTTTTCATAGAGCAGTTAGGAAACACTCTGTTTTTAAAGTCTTCAAGTGGATATTCAGACCTCCTTGAGGCCTTCGTTGGAAACGGGATTTCTTCATATTATGCTAGACAGAAGAATTCCCAGTAACTTCCTTGTGTTGTGTGTGTTCAACTCACAGAGTTGAACTTTCATTTACACAGAGCAGATTTGAAACACTCTTTTTGTGGAATTTGCAAGTGGAGATTTCAAGCGCTTTGAGGCTAAAGGCAGAAAAGGAAATATCTTCGTATAAAAACTAGGCAGAATCATTCTCAGAAACTGCTCTGCGATGTGTGCGTTCAACTCTCAGAGTTTAACTTTTCTTTTCATTCAGCAATTTGGAAACACTCTGTTTGTAAAGTCTGCACGTGGATATTTTGACCACTTAGAGGCCTTCGTTGGAAACGGGTTTCTTTCCTGTAAGGCTAGACAGAAGAATTCCCAGTAACTTCCTTGCGTTGTGTACATTCAACTCACAGAGTTGAACGTTCCCTTAGACAGAGCAGATTTGAAACACTCTTTTTGTGCAATTGGCAAGTGGAGATTTCAAGCGCTTTAAGGTCAATGGCAGAAAAGGAAATATCTTCGTTTCAAAACTAGACAGAATGATTCTCAGAAACTCCTTTGTGATGTGTGCGTTCAACTCACGGAGTTTAACCTTTCTTTTCATAGAGCAGTTAGGAAACACTCTGTTTGTAAAGTCTGGAAGTGGATATTCAGACATCTTTGAGGCTTTCGTTGGAAACGGGATTTCTTCATATTCTGCTATACAGAAGAATTGTCAGAAACTTCCTTGTGTTGTGTGTCTTCAACTCACAGAGTTGAACGATGCTTTACACAGAGTAGACTTGAAACACTCTTTTTCTGGAATTTGCAAGTGGAGATTTCAGCCGCTTTGAGGTCAATGGTAGAAAAGGAAATATCTTCGTATAAAAACTAGACAGAATGTTTCTCAGAAACTCCTTTGTGATGTGGGCGTTGAACTCACAGAGTTTAACCTTTCTTTTCATAGAGCAGTTAGGAAACACTCTGTTTGTAACGTCTGCAGGTGGATATTTGGACTTCTTTGAGGTCTTCGTTGGAAACGGGTTTTTTTCATGTAAGGCTAGACAGAAGAATTCCCAGTAACTTCCCTTGTGTTGTGTGTGTTCAACTCACAGAGTTGAACTTTCATTTACACAGAGCAGATTTGAAACA
Source organism: Homo sapiens (assembly GCF_000001405.40). Taxonomy (NCBI): domain Eukaryota; kingdom Metazoa; phylum Chordata; class Mammalia; order Primates; family Hominidae; genus Homo; species Homo sapiens. Next base: position 25,834,727 of record NC_000019.10, read on the forward strand.
CTCTTTTTGTGGAATTTGCAAGTGGAGATTTCAAGCGCTTTGAGGCCAAAGGCAGAAAAGGAAATATCTTCGTATAAAAACTAGACAGAATCATTCTCAGAAACTCCTTTGTGATGTGTGCGTTCAACTCTCAGAGTTTAACTTTTCTTTTCATTCAGCGGTTTGGAAACACTCTGTTTGTAAAGTCTGCACGTGGATATTTTGACCACTTAGAGGCCTTCGTTGGAAACGGGTTTTTTTCATGTAAGGCTAGACAGAAGAATTCTCAGTAACTTTCCTTGTGTTGTGTGTATTCAACTCACAGAGTTGAACGATCCTTTACACAGAGCAGACTTGTAACACTCTTTTTGTGGAATTTGCAAGTGGAGATTTCAGCCGCTTTGAAGTCAAAGGTAGAAAAGGAAATATCTCCCTATAAAAACTAGACAGAATGATTCTCAGAAACTTCTTGGTGATGTGTGCGTTCAACTCACAGAGTTTAACCTTTCTTTTCATAGAGCAGTTAGGAAACACTCTGTTTGTAAACTCTGCAAGTGGATATTCAGACCTCCTTGAGGCCTTCGTTGGAAACGGGATTTCTTCATACTGTGCTAGACAGAAGAATTCTCAGTAACTTCCTTGTGTTGTGTGTATTCAACTCACAGAGTTGAATGATCCTTTACACAGAGCAGACTTGAAACACTCTTTTTGTGGAATTTGCAAGTGGAGATTTCAGCCGCGTTGAGGTCAATGGTAGAAGAGGAAATATCTTCGTATAAAAACTAGACAGAATGATTCTCAGAAACTCCTTTGTGATGTGTGCGTTCAACTCACAGAGTTTAACTTTTCTTTTCATAGAGCAGTTAGGAAACATTCTGTTTGTAAAGTCTGCAAGTGGATATTCAGACCTCTTTGAGGCCTTCTTTGGAAACGGGATTTCTTCATATTATGCTAGACAGAAGAATTCTCAGTAACTTCCTTGTGTTGTGTGTATTCAACTGACAGAGTTGAACTTTCATTTAGAGAGAGCAGATTTGAAACACTGTTTTTGTGGAATTTGCAAGTGGAGATTTCAAGGGCTTTGGGGCCAAGGGCAGAAAAGGAAATATCTTCGTATAAAAACTAGACAGAATCATTCTCAGAAACTGATGCGTGATGTGTGCGTTCAACTCTCAGAGTTTAACTTTTCTTTTCATTCAGCGGTTTGGAAACACTCTGTCTGTAAAGTCTGCACGTGGATATTTTGACCACTTAGAGGCCTTCGTTGGAAACGGGTTTTTTTCATGTAAGGCTAGACAGAAGAATTCCCAGTAACTTCCTTGTGTTGTGTACATTCAACTCACAGAGTTGAACTTTCCCTTAGACAGAGCAGACTTGTAACACTCTTTTTGTGGAATTTGCAAGTGGAGATTTCAGCCGCTTTGAAGTCAAAGGTAGAAAAGGAAATATCTTCCTATAAAAACTAGACAGAATGATTCTCAGAAACTCCTTTGTGATGTGTGCGTTCAACTCACAGAGTTTAACCTTTCTTTTCATAGAGCAGTTAGGAAACACTCTGTTTGTAAAGTCTGCAAGGGGATAATCAGACCTCTTTGAGGCCTTCGTTGGAAACGGGATTTCTTCGTATTCTGCTAGACAGAAGAATTCTCAGTAACTTCCTCGTGTTGTGTGTATTCAACTCACAGACTTGAACGATCCTTTACACAGAGCAGACTTGAAACACTCTTTTTGTGGAATTTGCAAATGGAGATTTCAGCCGCTTTAAGATCAATGGTTGAAAAGGAAATATCTTCATATAAAAATTAGACAGAATGATTCTCAGAAACTCCTTTGTGATGTGTGTGTTCAACTCACAGAGTTTCACCTTTCTTTTCATAGAGCAGTTAGGAAACACTCTGTTTGTAAAGTCTGCAAGTGGACATTCAGACCTCCTTGAGGCCTTCGTTGGAAACGGGATTTCTTCATATTCTGCTAGACAGAAGAATTCTCAATAACTTCCTTGTGTTGTGTGTATTCAACTCACAGAGTTGAACGATCCTTTACACAGAGCAGACTTGAAACACTCTTTTTGTGGAATTTGCAAGTGGAGATTTCAGCCGCTTTGAGTTCAATGGTAGAATAGGAAATATCTTCCTATAGAAACTAGACAGAATGATTCTCAGAAACTTCTTTGTGATGTGTGCGTTCAACTCACAGAGTTAAAACTTTCTTTTCATAGAGCAGTTAGGAAACACTCTGTTTGTAAAGACTGCACGTGGATATTCAGACCTCTTTGAGGCCTTCGTTGGAAACGGGTTTTTTTCCTGTAAGGCTAGACAGAAGAATTCTCAGTAACTTCCTTGTGTTGTGTGTATTCAACTGACAGAGTTGAACTTTCATTTAGAGAGAGCAGATTTGAAACACTGTTTTTGTGGAATTTGCACTTGGAGATTTCATGCGCTTTGGGGCCAATGGCAGAAAAGGAAATATCTTCGTATAAAAACTAGACAGAATCATTCTCAGAAACTGCTGCGTGATGTGTGCGTTCAACTCTCAGAGTTTAACTTTTCTTTTCATTCAGCGGTTTGGAAACACTCTGTTTGTAAAGTCTGCACGTGGATATTTTGACCACTTAGAGGCCTTCGTTGGAAACGGGTTTTTTTCATGTAAGGGTAGACAGAAGAATTCCCAGTAACTTCCTTTTGTTGTGTGCATTCAACTCACAGAGATGAACGTTCGCTTAGACAGAGCAGATTTGAAACACTCTATTTGTGCAATTTGCAAGTGTAGATTTCAAGCGCTTTAAGGTCAATGGCAGAAAAGGAAATATCTTCGTTTCAAAACTAGACAGAATCATTCCCACAAACTGCGTTGTGATGTGTTCGTTCAACTCACAGGGTTTAACCTTTCTGTTCATAGAGCAGTTAGGAAACACTCTGTTTGTAAAGTCTGTAAGTGGATATTCTGACATCTTGTGGCCTTCGTTGGAAACGGGATTTCTTCATATTCTGCTAGACAGAAGAATTCTCAGTAACTTCCTTGTGTTGTGTGTATTCAACTCACAGAGTTCAATGATCATTTACACAGAGCAGACTTGAAACACTCTTTTTGTGGAATTTGCAAGGGGAGATTTCAGCCGCTTTGAGGTCAATGGTAGAAAAGGAAATATCTTCGTATAAAAACTAGACAGAATGATTCTCAGAAAATCTTTTGTGATGTGTGCGTTCAACTCACAGAGTTTAACTTTTCTTCTTATAGAGCAGTTAGGAAACACTCTGTTTGTAAAGTCTGCAAGTGGATATTCAGACCTCTTTGAGGCCTTCGTTGGAAACGGGATTTCTTCATATTATGCTAGACAGAATAATTCTCAGTAACTTCCTTGTGTTGTGTGTATTCAACTCACAGAGTTGAAGGATCCTTTACAGAGAGCAGGCTTGAAACACTCTTTTTGTCGAATTTGCAAGTGGAGATTTCTGCCGCTTTGAGGTCAATGGTAGAATAGGAAATATCTTCTTATAGAAACTAGACAGAATCATTCTCAGAAACTGCTCTGCGATGTGTGCGTTCAACTCTCAGAGTTTAACTTTTCTTTTCATTCAGCAGTTTGGAAACACTCTGTTTGTAAAGTCTGCACGTGGATATTTTGACCACTTAGAGGCCTTCGTTGCAAACGTGTTTTTTTCCTGTAAGGCTAGACAGAAGAATTCCCAGTAACTTCCTTGTGTTGTGTACATTCAACTCACAGAGTTGAACGTTCCCTTAGACAGAGCAGATTTGAAACACTCTTTTTGTGCAATTGGCAAGTGGAGATTTCAAGCGCTTTAAGGTCAAAGGCAGAAAAGGAAATATCTTCGTTTCAAAACTAGACAGAATGATTCTCAGAAACTCCTTTGTGATGTGTGCGTTCAACTCACACAGTTTAACCTTTCTTTTCATAGAGCAGTTAGGAAACACTGTTTGTAAAGTCTGCAAGTGGATATTCAGACCTCCTTGAGGCCTTCGTTGGAAACGGGATTTCTTCATATTCTGCTAGACAGAAGAATTCTCAGTAACTTCCTTGTGTTCTGTGTATTCAACTCACAGAGTTGAACGATCCTTTACACAGAGCAGACTTGAAACAGTCTTTTTGTGGAATTTGCAAGTGGAGACTTCAGCCGCTTTGAGGTCAATGGTAGAATAGGTAATATCTTCCTATAGAAACTAGACAGAATGATTCTCAGAAACTCCTTTGTGATGTGTGCGTTCAACTCACAGAGTTTAACTTTTCTTTTCATAGAGCAGTTAGGAAACACTCTGTTTGTAAAGTCTGCAAGTGGATATTCAGACCTCTTTGAGGCCTTCGTTGGAAACGGGATTTCTTCATATTCTGCTAGACAGAATAATTCTCAGTAACTTCCTTGTGTTGTGTGTATTCAACTCACAGAGTTGAACGATCCTTTACACAGAGCAGACTTGAAACATTCTTTTTGTGGAATTTGCAAGTGGAGATTTCTGCCGCTTTGAGGTCAATGGTAGAATAGGAAATATCTTCCTATAGAAACTAGACAGAATGATTCTCAGAAACTCCTTTGTGATGTGTGCGTTCAACTCACAGAGTTTAACCTTTCTTTTCATTCACCAGTTTGGGAAACACTCTGTTTGTAAAGTCTGCACGTGGATATTTTGACCACTTAGAGGCCTTCGTTGGAAACGGGTTTTTTTCCTGTAAGGCTAGACAGAAGAATTCCCAGTAACTTCCTTGTGTTGTGTGCATTCAACTCACAGAGTTGAACGTTCCCTTAGACAGAGCAGATTTGAAACACTCTATTTGTGTAATTTGCAAGTGTAGATTTCAAGCGCTTTAAGGTCAACGGCAGAAAAGGATATATCTTCGTTTCAAAACTAGACAGAATCATTCCCACAAACTCGTTGTGATGTGTTCGTTCAACTCACAGAGTTTAACCTTTCTGTTCATAGAGCAGTTAGGAAACACTCTGTTTGTAAAGTCTGCAAGTGGATATTCAGACCTCCTTGAGGCCTTCGTTGGAAACGGGATTTCTTCATATTCTGCTAGACAGAAGAATTCTCAGAAACTTCCTTGTGTTGTGTGTATTCAACTCACAGATGTGAACGATCGTTTACACAGAGCAGACTTGAGACACTCTTTTTGTGGAATTTGTAAGTGGAGATTTCAGCCGCTTTGAGGTCAATGGTAGAAAAGGAAATATCTTCATATAAAAACTAGACAGAACGATTCTCAGAAACTCCTTTGTGATGTGTGCGTTCAACTCACAGAGTTTAACCTTTCTGTTCATAGAGCAGTTAGGAAACACTCTGTTTGTAAAGTCTGCAAGTGGATATTCAGACCTCCTTGAGGCCTTCGTTGGAAACGGGATTTCTTCATATTCTGCTAGACAGAAGAATTCCCACTAACTTCCTTGTGTTGTGTGTGTTCAACTCACAGAGTTGAACTTTCATTTACACAGAGCAGATTTGAAACACTCATTTTGTGGAATTTGCAAGTGGAGATTTCAAGCGCTTTGAGGCCAAAGGCAGAAAAGGAAATATCTTCGTATAAAAACTAGACAGAATCATTCTCAGAAACTGCTCTGCGATGTGTGCGTTCAACTCTCAGAGTTTAACTTTTCTTTTCATTCAGCAGTTTGGAAACACTCTGTTTGTGAAGTCTGCACGTGGATATTTTGACCACTTAGAGGCCTTCGTTGGAAACGGGTTTTTTTCCTGTAACGCTAGACAGAAGAATTCCCAGTAACTTCCTTGTGTTGTGTGCATTCAACTCACAGAGTTGAACGTTCCCTTAGACAGAGCAGATTTGAAACACTCTATTTGTCCAATTTGCAAGTGTAGATTTCAAGCGCTTTAAGGTCAACGGCAGAAAAGGAAATATCTTCGTTTCAAAACTAGACAGAATGATTCTCAGAAACTTCATTGTGATGTGTGTGTGCAACTCACAGAGTTTAACCTTTCTTTTCATAGAGCAGTTGGGAAACAGTCTGTTTGTAAATTCTGTAAGTGGATATTCTGACATCTTGTGGCCTTCGTTGGAAACGGGATTTCTTCATATTCTGCTAGACAGAAGAATTCTCAGTAACCTCCTTGTGTTGTGTGTATTCAACTCACAGAGTTGAACGATCCTTTACACAGAGCAGACTTGAAACACTCTTTTCGTGGAATTTGCAAGTGGAGATTTCAGCCGCTTTGAGATCAATGGTAGAAAAGGAAATATCTTCGTATAAAAACTAGACAGAATGATTCTCATAAACTCATTTGTGATGGGTGCGTTCAACTCACAAAGTTTAACTTTTCTTTTCATAGAGCAGTTAGGAAACACTCTGTTTGTAAAGTCTGCAAGTGGATATTCAGACCTCTTTGAGGCCTTCGTTGGAAACGGGATTTCTTCATATTATGCTAGACAGAATAATTCTCAGTAACTTCCTTGTGTTGTGTGTATTCAACTCACAGAGTTGAACGATCCTTTACACAGAGCAGACTTGAAACATTCTTTTTGTGGAATTTGCAACTGGAGATTTCAGCCGCTTTGAGGTCAATGGTAGAATAGGAAATATCTTCCTACAGAAACTAGACAGAATCATTCTCAGAAACTGCTGCGTGATGTGTGCGTTCAACTCTCAGAGTTTAACTTTTCTTTTCATTCAGCGGATTGGAAACACTCTGTTTGTAAAGTCTGCACGTGGATATTTTGACCACTTAGAGGCCTTCGTTGGAAACGGGTTTTTTTCATGTAAGGCTAGACAGAAGCATTCCCAGTAACTTCCTTGTGTTGTGTGCATTCAACTCACAGAGATGAACGTTCCCTTAGACAGAGCAGATTTGAAACACTCTATTTGTGCAATTTGCAAGTGTAGATTTCAAGCGCTTTAAGGTCAACGGCAGAAAAGGAAATATCTTCGTTTCAAAACTAGACAGAATCATTCCCACAAACTGCGTTGTGATGTGTTCGTTCAACTCACAGAGTTTAACCTTTCTGTTCATAGAGCAGTTAGGAAACACTCTGTTTGTAAAGTCTGTAAGTGGATATTCGGACATCTTGTGGCCTTCGTTGGAAACGGGATTTCTTCATATTCTGCTAGACAGAAGAATTCTCAGTAACTTCCTTGTGTTGTGTGTATTCAACTCACAGAGTTGAACGATCCTTTACACAGAGCAGACTTGAAACATTCTTTTTGTGGAATTTGCAAGTGGAGATTTCAGCCGCTTTGAGGTCAATAGTAGAAAAGGAAATATCTTCGTAGAAAAACTAGGCAGAATGATTCTCAGAAACTCCTTTGTGATGTGTGCGTTCAACTCACAGAGTTTAACCTTTCTTTTCATAGAGCAGTTAGGAAACACTCTGTTTGTAAAGTCTGGAAGTGGATATTCAGACCTCCTTGAGGCCTTCGTTGGAAACGGGATTTCTTCATATTATGCTAGACAGAAGAATTCTCAGTAACTTCCTTGTGTTGTGTGTATTCAACTCACAGAGTTGAACTTTCATTTAGAGAGAGCAGATTTGAAACACTGTTTTTGTGGAATTTGCAAGTGGAGATTTCAAGCGCTTTGGGGCCAAAGGCAGAAAAGGAAATATCTTCGTATAAAAACTAGACAGAATCATTCTCAGAAACTGCTGCGTGATGTGTGCGTTCAACTCTCAGAGTTTAACTTTTCTTTTCATTCAGCGGTTTGGAAACACTCTCTTTGTAAAGTCTGCACGTGGAAATTTTGACCACTTAGAGGCCTTCGTTGGAAACGGGTTTTTTTCATGTAAGGCTAGACAGAAGAATTCCCAGTAACTTCCTTGTGTTGTGTACATTCAACTCACAGAGTTGAACGTTCCCTTAGACCGAGCAGATTTGAAACACTCTTTTTGTGCAATTGGCAAGTGGAGATTTCAACCGCTTTAAGGTCAATGGCAGAAAAGGAAATATCTTCGTTTCAAAACTAGACAGAATCATTCCCACAAACTGCGTTGTGATGTGTTCGTTCATCTCACAGAGTTTAACCTATCTTTTCATAGAGCAGTTAGGAAACACTCTGTTTGTAAATTCTGTAAGTGGATATTCTGACATCTTGTGGCCTTCGTTGGAAACGGGATTTCTTCATATTCTGCTAGACAGAGGAATTCTCAGTAACTTCCTTGTGTTGTGTGTATTCAACTCACAGAGTTGAACGATCCTTTAAACAGAGCAGACTTGAAACACTCTTTTTGTGGAATTTGCAAGTGGAGATTTCAGCCGCTTTGAGTTCAATGGTAGAATAGGAAATATCTTCCTATAGAAACTACACAGAATGATTCTCAGAAAATCCTGTGTGATGTGTGCGTTCAACTCACAGAGTTTAACTTTTCTTTTCATAGAGCAGTTAGGAAACACTCTGTTTGTAAAGTCTGCAAGTGGATATTCAGACGTCTTTGAGGCCTTCGTTGGAAACGGGATTTCTTCATATTCTGCCAGACAGAATAATTCTCAGTAACTTCCTTGTGTTGTGTGTATTCAACTCACAGAGTTGAAGGATCCTTTACAGCGAGCAGGCTTGAAACACTCTTTTTGTCGAATTTGCAAGTGGAGATTTCAGCCGCTTTGAGGTCAATGGTAGAATAGGAAATATCTTCTTATAGAAACTAGACAAAATCATTCTCAGAAACTGCTCGGTGATGTGTGCGTTCAACTCTCAGAGTTTAACTTTTCTTTTCATTCAGCAGTTTGGAAACACTATGTTTGTAAAGTCTGCACGTGGATATTTTGACCTCTGAGAGGCCTTCGTTGGAAACGGGTTTTTTTCATGTAAGGCTAGACAGAAGAATTCTCAGTAACTTCCTTGTGTTGTGTGTATTCAACTCACAGAGTTGAACGATCCTTTACACAGAGCAGACTTGTAACACTCTTTTTGTGGAATGTGCAAGTGGAGATTTCAGCCGCTTTGAAGTCAAAGGTAGAAAAGGAAATATCTTCCTATAAAAACTAGACAGAATGATTCTCAGAAACTCCTTTGTGATGTGTGTGTTCAACTCACAGAGTTTAACCTTTCTTTTCATAGAGCAGTTAGTAAACACTCTGTTTATAAAGTCTGCAAGTGGATATTCAGACCCCTTGAGGCCTTCGTTGGAAACGGGATTTCTTCACATTGTGCTAGACAGAGAATTCTCAGTAACTTCCTTGTGTTGTGTGTATTCAACTCACAGAGTTGAACGATCCTTTACACAGAGCAGACTTGAAACACTCTTTTTGTGGAATTTGCAAGTGGAGATTTCAGCCGCTTTGAGGTCAATAGTAGAAAAGGAAATATCTTCGTAGAAAAACTAGGCAGAATGATTCTCAGAAACTCCTTTGTGATGTTTGTGTTCAACTCACAGAGTTTAACCTTTCTTTTCATAGAGCAGTTAGTAAACACTCTGTTTATAAAGTCTGCAAGTGGATATTCAGTCCCCTTTGAGGCCTTCGTTGGAAACGGGATTTCTTCATATTATGCTAGACAGAAGAATTCTCAGTAACTTCCTTGTGTTGTGTGTATTCAACTCACAGAGTTGAACTTTCATTTAGAGAGAGCAGATTTGAAACACTGTTTCTGTGGAATTTCCAAGTGGAGATTTCAAGCGCTTTGGGGCCAAAGGCAGAAAAGGAAATATCTTCGTATAAAAACTAGACAGAATCATTCTCAGAAACTGCTGCGTGATGTGTACGTTTAACTCTCAGAGTTTAACTTTTCTTTTCATTCAGCGGTTTGGAAACACTCTGTTTGTAAAGTCTGCACGTGGATATTTTGACCACTTAGAGGCCTTCGTTGGAAACGGGTTTTTTTCATCTAAGGTTAGACAGAAGAATTCCCAGTAACTTCCTTGTGTTGTGTACATTCAACTCACAGAGTTGAACGTTCCCTTAGACAGAGCAGATTTGAAACACTCTTTTTGTGCAATTGGCAAATGGAGATTTCAAGCGCTTTAAGTTCAATGGCAGAAAAGGAAATATCTTCGTTTCAAAACTAGACAGAATCATTCCCACAAACTGCCTTGTGATGTGTTCGTTCAACTCACAGAGTTTAACCTTTCTGTTCATAGAGCAGTTAGGAAACACTCTGTAACGTCTGTAAGTGGATATTCTGACATCTTGTGGCCTTCGTTGGAAACGGGATTTCTTCATATTCTGCTAGACAGAAGAATTCTCAGAATCTTCCTTGTGTTGTGTGTATTCAACTCACACAGTTGAACGATGGTTTACACAGAGCAGATATGAAACACTCTTTTTGTGGAATTTGCAAGTGGAGATTTCAGCCGCTTTGAGGTCAATGGTAGAAAAGGAAATATATTCGTATAAAAACTAGACAGAATGATTCTCAGAAACTTCTTTGTGATGTGTGCGTTCAACTCACAGAGTTTAACCTTTCTTTTCATAGAGCAGTTAGGAAACACTCTGTTTGTAAACTCTGCAAGTGGATATTCAGACCTCTGTGAGGCCTTCGTTGGAAACGGGATTTCTTCATACTGTGCTAGACAGAAGAATTCCCAGTAACTTCCTTGTGTTGTGTGTGTTCAACTCACAGAGTTGAACTTCCATTTACACAGAGCAGATTTGAAACACTCTTTTTGTGGAATTTGCAAGTGGAGATTTCAAGCGCTTTGAGGCCAAAGGCAGAAAAGGAAATATCTTCATTTCAAAACTAGACAGAATCATTCTCAGAAACTGCTGCGTGATGTGTGCGTTCAACTCTCAGAGTTTAACTTTTTTTTTCATTCAGCGGTTTGGAAACACTCTGTTTGTAAAGTCTGCACGTGGATATTTTGACCACTTAGAGGCCTTCGTTGGAAACGGGTTTTTTTCATGTAAGGCTAGACAGAAGAATTCCCAGTAACTTCCCTTGTGTTGTGTGCATTCAACTCACAGAGTTGAACGTTCACTTAGACAGAGCAGATTTGAAACACTCTATTTGTGCAATTTGCAAGTGTAGATTTCAAGCGCTTTAAGGTCAATGGCAGAAAAGGAAATTTCTTCGTTTCAAAACTAGACAGAATCATTCCCACAAACTGCGTTGTGATGTGTTCGTTCAACTCACAGAGTTTAACCTTTCTGTTCATAGAGCAGTTAGGAAACACTCTGTTTGTAAAGTCTGTAAGTGAATATTCTGACATCTTGTGGCCTTCGTTGGAAACGGGATTTCTTCATATTCTGCTAGACAGAAGAATTCTCAGTAACTTCCTTGTGTTGTGTGTATTCAACTCACAGAAGTTGAACGATCCTTTACACAGAGCAGACTTGAAACACTCTTTTTGTGGAATTTGCAAGTGGAGATTTCAGCCGCTTTGAGGTCAATGGTAGAAAAGGAAATATCTTCGTATAAAGACTAGACAGAGTGATTCTCAGAAACTCCTTTGTGATGTGTGCGTTCAACTCACAGAGTTTAACCTTTCTTTTCATAGAGCAGTTAGGAAACACTCTGTTTGTAAAGTCTGCAAGTGGATATTCAGACCTCCTTGAGGTCTTCGTTGGAAACGGGATTTCTTCATATTATGCTAGACAGAAGAATTCTCAGTAACTTCCTTGGTGTTGTGTGTATTCAAATGACAGAGTTGAACTTTCATTTAGAGAGAGCAGATTTGAAACACTGTTTTTGTGGAATTTGCAAGTGGAGATTTCAAGCGCTTTGGGGCCAAAGGCAGAAAAGGAAATATCTTCGTATAAAAACTAGACAGAATCATTCTCAGAAACTGCTCTGCGATGTGTGCGTTCAACTCTCAGAGTTTAACTTTTCTTTTCATTCAGCAGTTTGGAAACACTCTGTTTGTAAAGTCTGCACGTGGATATTTTGACCACTTAGAGGCCTTCGTTGGAAACGGGTTTTTTTTCTGTAAGGCTAGACAGAAGAATTCCCAGTAACTTCCTTGTGTTGTGTACATTCAACTCACAGAGTTGAACGTTCCGTTAGACAGAGCAGATTTGAAACACTCTTTTTGTGCAATTGGCAAATGGAGATTTCAAGCGCTTTAAGTTCAATGGCAGAAAAGGAAATATCTTCGTTTCAAAACTAGACAGAATCATTCCCACAAACTGCGTTGTGATGTGTTCGTTCAACCCACAGAGTTTAACCTTTCTTTTCATAGAGCAGTTAGGAAACACTCTGTTTGTAAAGTATGAAAGTGGATATTCTGACATCTTGTGGCCTTCGTTGGAAACGGGATTTCTTCATATTCTGCTAGACAGAAGAATTCTCAGTAACTTCCTTGTGTTGTGTGTATTCAACTCACAGAGTTGAACGATCCTTTACACAGAGCAGACTTGAAACATTCTTTTTATGGAATTTGCAAGTGGAGATTTCAGCCGCTTTGAGGTCAATGGTAGAATAGGAAATATCTTCCTATACAAACTAGACAGAATGATTCTCAGAAACTCCTTTCTGATGTGTGCGTTCAACTCACAGAGTTTAACATTTCTTTTCATAGAGCAGTTAGGAAACACTCTGTTTGTAAAGTCTGCAAGTGGATATTCAGACCTCTTTGAGGCCTTCGTTGGAAACGGGATTTCTTCATATTCTGCTAGACAGAAGAATTCCCACTAACTTCCTTGTGTTGTGTGTGTTCAACTCACAGAGTTGAACTTTCATTTACACAGAGCAGATTTGAAACACTCTTTTTGTGGAATTTGAAAGTGGAGATTTCAAGCGCTTTGAGGCCAAAGGCAGAAAAGGAAATATCTTCGTTTCAAAACTAGACAGAATCATTCTCAGAAACTGCTCTGCGATGTGTGCGTTCAACTCTCAGAGTTTAACTTTTCTTTTCATTCAGCAGTTTGGAAACACTCTGTTTGTAAAGTCTGCACGTGGATAATTTGACCACTTAGAGGCCTTCGTTGGAAACGAGTTTTTTTCATGTAAGGCTAGACAGAAGAATTCCCAGTAACTTCCTTGTGTTGTGTGCATTCAACTCACAGAGTTGAACGTTCCCTTAGACAGAGCAGATTTGAAACACTCTATTTGTCCAATTTGCAAGTGTAGATTTCAAGCGCTTTAAGGTCAACGGCAGAAAAGGAAATATCTTCGTTTCAAAACTAGACAGAATCATTCCCACAAACTGCGTTGTGATGTGTTCGTTCAACTCACAGAGTTTAACCTTTCTTTTCATAGAGCAGTTAGGAAACAGTCTGTTTGTCAATTCTGTAAGTGGATATTCTGACATCTTGTGGCCTTCGTTGGAAACGGGATTTCTTCATATTCTCCTAGACAGAAGAATTGTCAGTAACTTCCTTGTGTTGTGTGTATTCAACTCACAGAGTTGAACGATCCTTTACACAGAGCAGACGTAAAGCACTCTTTTTGTGGAATTGGCAAGTGGAGATTTCAGCCGCTTTGAGGTCAATGGTAGAAAAGGAAATATCTTCGTATAAAAACTAGACAGAATGATTCTCAGAAACTCCTTTGTGATGTGTGCGTTCAACTCACAGAGTTTAACCTTTCTTTTCATAGAGCAGTTAGGAAACACTCTGTTTGTAAAGTCTGCAAGTGGATATTCAGACATCTTTCAGGCGTTCATTGGAAACGGGATTTCTTCATATTATGCTAGACAGAAGAATTCCCAGTAACTTCCTTGTGTTGTGTGTGTTCAACTCACAGAGTTGAACTTTCATTTACACAGAGCAGATTTGAAACACTCTTTTTGTGGAATTTACAGGTGGAGATTTCAAGCGCTTTGAGGCCAAAGGCAGAAAAGGAAATATCTTCGTATAAAAACTAGACAGAATCATTCTCAGAAACTGCTCTGCGATGTGTGCGTTCAACTCTCAGAGTTTAACTTTTCTTTTCATTCAGCAGTTTGGAAACACTCTGTTTGTAACGTCTGCACGTGGATAATTTGACCACTTAGAGGCCTTCGTTGGAAACGGGTTTTTTTCATGTAAGGCTAGACAGAAGAATTCCCAGGAACTTCCTTGTGTTGTGTACATTCAACTCACAGAGTTGAACGTTCCCTTAGACAGAGCAGATTTGAAACAGTCTTTTTGTGCAATTGGCAAGTGGTGATTTCAGCCGCTTTGAGGTCAATGGTAGAAAAGGAAATATCTTCGTATAAAAACTAGACAGAATGATTCTCATAAACTCCTTTGTGATGTATGCGTTCAACTCACAGAGTTTAACCTTTCTTTTCATAGAGCAGTTAGGAAACACTCTGTTTGTAAAGTCTGCAAGTGGATATTCAGACCTCCTTGAGGCCTTCGTTGGAAACGGGATTTCTTCATATTCTGCTAGAAAGAAGAATTCTCAGTAACTTCCTTGTGTTGTGTGTATTCAACTCACAGAGTTGAACGATCCTTTACACAGAGCAGACTTGAAACACTCTTTATGTGGAATTTGCTTGTGGAGATTTCAGCTGCTTTGAGGTCAATGGTAGAAAAGGAAATATCTTCGTATAAAGAGTAGACAGAACGATTCTCAGAAACTCCTTTGTGATGTGTGCGTTCAACTCACAGAGTTTAACTTTTCTTTTCATAGAGCCGTTAGGAAACACTCTGTTTGTAAAGTCTGCAAGTGGATATTCAGACCTCTTTGAGGCCTTCGTTGGAAACGGGATTTCTTCCTATTCTGCTAGACAGAAGAATTCTCAGTAACTTCCTTGTGTTGTGTGTATTCAACTCACAGAGTTGAACGATCCTTTACACAGAGCAGACTTGAAACACTCTTTTTGTGGAATTTGCAAGTGGAGATTTCAGCCGCTTTGAGGTCAATGGTAGAAAAGGAAATATCTTCGTATAAAAGACTAGACAGAATCATTCTCAGAAACTGCTCTGCGATGTGTGCGTTCAACTCTCAGAGTTTAACTTTTCTTTTCATTCAGCAGTTTGGAAACACTCTGTTTGTAAAGTCTGCACGTGGATATTTTGACCCCTTAGAGGCCTTCGTTGGAAACGGGTTTTTTTCCTGTAAGGCTAGACAGAAGAATTCCCAGGAACTTCCTTGTGTTGTGTGCATTCAACTCACAAAGTTGAACGTTCCCTTAGACAGAGCAGATTTGAAACACTCTATTTGTGCAATTTGCAAGTGTAGTTTTCAAGCTCTTTAAGGTCAACGGCAGAAAAGGAAATATCTTCGTTTCAGAACTAGACAGAATCATTCCCACAAACTGCGTTGTGATGTGTTCGTTCAACTCACAGAGTTTAACCTTTCTTTTCATAGAGCAGTTAGGAAACACTCTGTTGTAAATTCTGTAAGTGGATATTCTGACATCTTGGGGCCTTCGTTGGAAACGGGATTTCTTCATATTCTGCTAGACAGAAGAATTCTCAGTAACTTCCTTGTGTTGTGTGTATTCAACTCACAGAGTTGAACGATCCTTTACACAGAGCAAACTTGAAACACTCTTTTTGTGGAATTTGCAAGTGGAGATTTCAGCCGCTTTGAGGTCAATGGTAGAAAAGGAAATATCTTCGTATAAAGACTAGACAGAATGATTCTCAGAAACTCCTTTGTGATGTGTGCGTTCAACTCACAGAGTTTAACCTTTCTTTTCATAGAGCAGTTAGGAAACACTCTGTTTGTAAAGTCTGCAAGTGGATATTCAGACCTCTTTGAGGCCTTCGTTGGAAACGGGTTTTTTTTCATATAAGGCTAGACAGAAGAATTCCCAGTAACTTCCTTGTGTTGTGTGTGTTCAACTCACAGAGTTGAACTTTCATTTACACAGAGCAGATTTGAAACACTCTTTTTGTGGAATTTGCAAGTGGAGATTTCAAGCGGTTTGAGGCCAAAGGCAGAAAAGGAAATATCTTCGTTTGAAAACTAGACAGAATGATTCTCATAAACTCCTTTGTGATGTGTGCGTTCAACTCACAGAGTTTAACCTTTCTTTTCATAGAGCAGTTAGGAAACACTCTGTTTGTAAAGTCTGCAAGTGGATATTCAGACCTGTTTGAGGCCTTCGTTGGAAACGGGATTTCTTCATATTCTGCTAGACAGAAGAATTCTCAGTAACTTCCTTGTGTTGTGTGTATTCAACTCACAGAGTTGAACGATCCTTTACACAGAGCAGACTTGAAACACTCTTTTTGTGGAATTTGCAAGTGTAGATTTCAAGCGCTTTAAGGTCAATGGCAGAAAAGGAAATATCATCGTTTCAAAACTAGACAGAATCATTCCCACAAACTGCGTTGTGATGTGTTCGTTCAACTCACAGAGTTTAAACTTTCTGTTCATAGAGCAGTTAGGAAACACTGTGTTTGTAAAGTCTGCAAGTGGATATTCAGACCTCTTTGAGGCCATCGTTGGAAACGGGATTTCTTCATATTCTGCTAGACAGAAGAATTCTCAGAAACTTCCTTGTGTTGTGTGTTTTCAACTCACAGAGTTCAACGATCCTTTACACAGAGCAGACTTGAAACACTCTTTTTGTGGAATTTGCAAGTGGAGATTTCAGCCTCTTTGAGATCAATGGTAGAATAGGAAATATCTTCCTATAGAAACTAGACAGAATGATTCTCAGAAACTCCTTTGTGATGTGTGCGTTCAACTCACACAGTTTAACCTTTCTTTTCATAGAGCAGTTAGGAAACACTCTGTTTGTAAAGTCTGCAAGTGGATATTCAGACCTCCTTGAGGCATTCGTTGGAAACGGGATTTCTTCATATTATGCTAGACAGAAGAATTCTCAGTAACTTCCTTGTGTTGTGTGTATTCAAATCACAGAGTTGAACGATCCTTTACACAGAGCAGACTTGAAACACTCTTTTTGTGGAATTTGCAAGTGGAGATTTCAGCCGCTTTGAGGTCAATGTTAGAATAGGAAATATCTTCCTATAGAAACTAGACAGAATGATTCTCAGAAAATCTTTTGTGATGTGTGCGTTCAACTCACAGGAGTTTAACTTTTCTTCTCATAGAGCAGTTAGGAAACACTCTGTTTGTAAAGTCTGCCAGTGGATATTCAGACCTCTTTGAGGTCTTCGTTGGAAACGGGATTTCTTCATATTATGCTAGACAGAAGAATTCCCAGTAACTTCCTTGTGTTGTGTACATTCAACTCACAGAGTTGAACGTTCCCTTAGACAGAGCAGATTTGAAACACTCTTTTTGTGCAATTGGCAAATGGAGATTTCAAGCGCTTTAAGTTCAATGGCAGAAAAGGAAATATCTTCGTTTCAAAACTAGACAGAATGATTCTCAGAAACTTCTTTGTGATGTGTGCGTTCAACTCACAGAGTTTAACCTTTCTTTTCATAGAGCAGTTAGGAAACACTCTGTTTGTAAACTCTGCAAGTGGATATTCAGACCTCTTTGTGGCCTTCGTTGGAAACGGGATTTCTTCATACTATGCTAGACAGAAGAATTCTCAGTAACTTCCTTGTGTTGTGTGTATTCAACTCACAGAGTTGAACGATCCTTTACACAGAGCAGACTTGTAACACTCTTTTTGTGGAATTTGCAAGTGGAGATTTCAGCCGCTTTGAAGTCAAAGGTAGAAAAGGAAATATCTTCGTATAAAAACTAGACAGAATGATTCTCAGAAACTTCCTTGTGATGTGTGCGTTCAACTCACAGAGTTTAACCTTTCTTTTCATAGAGCAGTTAGGAAACACTCTGTTTGTAAACTCTGCAAGTGGATATTCAGACCTCTTTGAGGCCTTCGTTGGAAACGGGATTTCTTCATACTATGCTAGACAGAAGAATTCTCAGTAACTTACCTTGTGTTGTGTGTATTCAACTGACAGAGTTGAACTTTCATTTACACAGAGCAGATTTGAAACACTCTTTTTGTGGAATTTGCAAATGGAGATTTCAAGCGCTTTGAGGCCAAAGGCAGAAAAGGAAATATCTTCGTATAAAAACTAGACAGAATCATTCTCAGAAACTGCTCTGCGATGTGTGCGTTCAACTCTCAGAGTTTAACTTTTCTTTTCCTTCAGCAGTTTGGAAACACTCTGTTTGTAAAGTCTGCACGTGGATAATTTGACCACTTAGAGGCCTTCGTTGGAAACGGGTTTTTTTCATGTAAGGTCTAGACAGAAGAATTCCCAGTAACTTCCTTGTGTTGTGTGCATTCAACTCACAGAGTTGAACGTTCCCTTAGACAGAGCAGATTTGAAACACTCTATTTGTGCAATTGGCAAGTGTAGATTTCAAGCGCTTTAAGGTCAATGGCAGAAAAGGAAATATCTTCGTTTCAAAACTAGACAGAATGATTCTAAGAAAATCTTTTGTGATGTGTGCGTTCAACTCACAGAGTTTAACTTTTCTTCTCATAGAGCAGTTAGGAAACACTCTGTTTGTAAAGTCTGCAAGTGGATATTCAGACCTCTTTGAGGCCTTCGTTGGAAACGGGATTTCTTCATATTATGCTAGACAGAATAATTCTCAGTAACTTCCTTGTGTTGTGTGTATTCAACTCACAGAGTTGAAGGATCCTTTACAGAGAGCAGGCTTGAAAGACTCTTTTTGTCGAATTTGCAAGTGGAGATTTCAGCCGCTTTGAGGTCAATGGTAGAATAGGAAATATCTTCTTATACAAACTAGACAGAATGATTCTGAGAAACTCCTTTGTGATGTGTGCGTTCATCTCACAGAGTTTAACCTTTCTTTTCATAGAGCAGTTAGGAAACACTCTGTTTGTAAAGTCTGCAAGTGGATATTCAGACCTCCTTGAGGCCTTCTTTGGAAACGGGATTTCTTCATATTATGCTAGACACAAGTATTCCCAGTAACTTCCTTGTGTTGTGTGTGTTCAACTCACACAGTTGAACTTTGATTTACACAGAGCAGATTTGAAACACTCTTTTTGTGGAATTTGCAAGTGGAGATTTCAAGCGCTTTGAGGCCAAAGGCAGAAAAGGAAATATCTTCGTATAAAAACTAGACAGAATCATTCTCAGAAACTGCTCTGCGATGTGTGCGTTCAACTCTTAGAGTTTAACTTTTCTTTTCATTCAGCAGTTTGGAAACACTCTGTTTGTAAAGTCTGCACGTGGATATTTTGACCACTTAGAGGCCTTCGTTGGAAACGGGTTTTTTTCCTGTAAGGCTAGACAGAAGATTTCCCAGTAAATTCCTTGTGTTGTGTACATTCAACTCACAGAGTTGAACGTTCCCTTAGACAGAGCAGATTTGAAACACTCTTTTTGTGCAATTGGCAAGTGGAGATTTCAAGCGCTTTAAGGTCAATGGCAGAAAAGGAAATATCTTCGTTTCAAAACTAGACAGAATCATTCCCACAAACTGCGTTGTGATGTATTCGTTCAACTCACAGAGTTTAACCTTTCTTTTCATAGAGCAGTTAGGAAACAGTCTGTTTGTAAATTCTGTAAGTGGATATTCTGACATCTTGTGGCCTTCGTTGGAAACGGGATTTCTTCACATTCTGCTAGACAGAAGAATTCTCAGTAACTTCCTTGTGTTGTGTGTATTCAACTCACAGAATTGAATGATCCTTTACACAGAACAGTCTTGAAACACTCTTTTTGTGGAATTTGCAAGTGGAGATTTCAGCCGCTTTGAGGTCAATGGTAGAATAGGAAATATCTTCCTATAGAAACTAGACAGAATGATTCTCAGAAACTCCTTTGTGATGTGTGCGTTCAACTCACAGAGTTCAACCTTTCTTTTCATAGAGCAGTTAGGAAACACTCTGTTTGTAAAGTCTGCAAGTGGATATTCAGACATCTTTGAGGCTTTCGTTGGAAACGGGATTTCTTCATATTCTGCTAGACAGAAGAATTCCCAGTAACTTCCTTGTGTTGTGTGTGTCCAACTCACAGAGTTGAACTTTCATTTACACAGAGCAGATTTGAAACACTCTTTTTGTGGAACTTGCAAGTGGAGATTTCAAGCGCTTTGAGGCCAAAGGCAGAAAAGGAAATATCTTCATTTCAAAACTAGACAGAATCATTCTCAGAAACTGCTCTGCGATGTGTGCGTTCAACTCTCAGAGTTTAACTTTTCTTTTCATTCAGCAGTTTGGAAACACTCTGGTTGTAAAGTCTGCACGTGGATATTTTGACCACTTAGAGGCCTTCGTTGGAAACGGGTTTTTTTCCTGTAAGGCTAGACAGAAGAATTCCCAGTAACTTCCTTGTGTTGTGTGCATTCAACTCACAGTGTTGAACGTTCCCTTAGACAGAGCAGATTTGAAACACTCTATTTGTGCAATTTGCAAGTGTAGATTTCAAGCGCTTTAAGGTCAATGGCAGAAAAGGAAATATCTTCGTTTCAAAACTAGACAGAATCATTCCCACAAACTGCGTTGTGATGTGTTCGTTCAACTCACAGAGTTTAACCTTTCCGTTCATAGAGCAGTTAGGAAACACACTGTTTGTAAAGTCTGTAAGTGGATATTCTGACATCTTGTGGCCTTCGTTGGAAACGGGATTTCTTCATATTCTGCTAGACAGAAGAATTCTCAGTAACTTCCTTGTGTTGTGTGTATTCAACTCACAGAGTTGAACGATCCTTTACACAGAGCAGACTTGTAACACTCTTTTTGTGGAATTCGCAAGTGGAGATTTCAGCCGCTTTGAAGTCAAAGGTAGAAAAGGAAATATCTTCCTATAAAAACTAGACAGAATGTTTCTCAGAAACTTCTTTGTGATGTGTGCGTTCAACTCACAGAGTTTAACCTTTCTTTTCATAGAGCAGTTAGGAAACACTCTGTTTGTAAAGTCTGCAAGTGGATATTCAGACCTCTTTGAGGCCTTCGTTGGAAACGGGATTTCTTCATACTGTGCTAGACAGAAGAATTCTCAGTAACTTCCTTGTGTTGTGTGTATTCAACTCACAGAGTTGAACGATCCTTTACACAGAGCGGACTGGAAACACTCTTTTTGTGGAATTTGCAAGCGGAGATTTCAGGTGCGTTGAGGTCAATGGTAGAAAAGGAAATATCTTCGTATAAAAACTAGACAGAATCATTCTCAGAAACTGCTCTGCGATGTGTGCGTTCAACTCTCAGAGTTTAACTTTTCTTTTCATTCAGCAGTTCGGAAACACTCTGTTTGTAAAGTCTGCACGTGGATATTTTGACCACTTAGATGCCTTCTTTGGAAACGGGTTTTTTTCTTGTAAGGCTAGACAGAAGAATTCCCAGTAACTTCCTTGTGTTGTGTGCATTCAACTCACAGACTTGAACGTTCCCTTAGACAGAGCAGATTTGAAACACTCTATTTGTGCAATTTGCAAGTGTAGATTTCAAGCGCTTTAAGGTCAATGGCAGAAAAGGAAATATCTTCGTTTCAAAACTAGACAGAATCATTCCCACAAACAGCGTTGTGATGTGTTCGCTCAACTCACAGAGTTTAACCTTTCTTTTCATAGAGCAGTTAGGAAACAGTCTGTTTGTCAATTCTGTAAGTGGATATTCTGACATCTTGTGGCATTCGTTGGAAACGGGATTTCTTCATATTCTGCTAGACAGAAGAATTCTCAGAATCTTCCTTGTGTTGTGTGTATTCAACTCACAGAGTTGAACGATCCTTTACACAGAGCAGACTTGAAACACTCTTTTTGTGGAATTTGCAAGTGGAGATTTCAGCCGCTTTGAGGACCATGGTAGAAAAGGAAATATCTTCGTATAAAAACTAGACAGAATGATTCTCAGAAACTCCTTTGTGATGTGTGCTTTCAACGCACAGAGTTTAACCTTTCTTTTCATAGAGCAGTTAGGAAACACTCTGTTGGTAAAGTCTGCAAGTGGATATTCAGACCTCCTTGAGGCCTTCGTTGGAAACGGGATTTCTTCATATTATGCTAGACAGAAGAATTCTCAGTAACTTTCCTTGTGTTGTGTGTATTCAACTGACAGAGTTGAACTATCATTTAGAGAGAGCAGATTTGAAACACTGTTTTTGTGGAATTTGCAAGTGGAGATTTCAAGCGCTTTGGGGCCAAAGGCAGAAAAGGAAATATCTTCGTATAAAAACTAGACAGAATAATTGTCAGAAACTGCTGCGTGATGTGTGCGTTCAACTCTCAGAGTTTAACTTTTCTTTTCATTCAGCGGTTTGGAAACACTCTGTTTGTAAAGTCTGCACGTGGAAATTTTGACCACTTAGAGGCCTTCGTTAGAAACGGGTTTTTTTCATGTAAGGCTAGACAGAAGAATTCCCAGTAACTTCCTTGTGTTGTGTGCATTCAACTCACAGAGTTGAACGTTCCCTTAGACAGAGCAGATTTGAAACACTCTATTTGTGCAATTTGCAAGTGTAGATTTCAAGCGCTTTAAGGTCAATGGCAGAAAAGGAAATATCTTCGTTTTAAAACTAGACAGAATGATTCTCAGAAAATCCTTTGTGATGTGTGCGTTCAACTCACAGAGTTTAACCTTTCTTTTCATAGAGCAGTTAGGAAACACTCTGTTTGTAAAGTCTGCAAGTGGATATTCAGACCTCTTTGAGGCCTTCGTTGGAAACGGGATTTCTTCATATTCTGCTAGACAGAAGAATTCTCAGTAACTTCCTTGTGTAGTGTATATTCAACTCACAGAGTTGAACGATCCTTTACACAGAGCAGACTTGAAACACTCTTTTTGTGGAATTTGCAAGTGGAGATTTCAGCCGCTTTGAGGTCAATAGTAGAAAAGGAAATATCTTCGTAGAAAAACTAGACAGAATGATTCTCAGAAACTGCTTTGTGATGTGTGCGTTCAACTCACAAAGTTTAACCTTTCTTTTCATAGAGCAGTTAGGAAACACTCTGTTTGTAAAGTCTGCAAGTGGATATTCAGACCTCTTTGAGGCCTTCGTTGGAAACGGGTTTTTTTCATATAAGGCTAGACAGAAGAATTCTCAGTAACTTCCTTGTGTTGTGTGTATTCAACTGACAGAGTTGAACTTTCATTTAGAGAGAGCAGATTTGTAACACTGTATTTGTGGAATTTGCAAGTGTAGATTTCAAGCGATTTGCGGCCAAAGGCAGAAAAGGAAATATCTTCGTATAAAAACTAGACAGGATCATTCTCAGAAACTGCTCTGCGATGTGTGCGTTCAACTCTCAGAATTTAACTTTTCTTTTCATTCAGCAGTTTGGAAACACTCTGTTTGTAAAGTCTGCACGTGGATATTTTGACCACTTAGAGGCCTTCGTTGGAAACGGGTTTTTTTCCTGTAAGGCTAGACAGAAGAATTCCCAGTAACTTCCTTGTGTTGTGTACATTCAACTCACAGAGTTGAACGTTCCCTTAGACAGAGCAGATTTGAAACACTCTTTTTGTGCAATTGGCAAGTGGAGATTTCAAGCGCTTTGAGGTCAATGGCAGAAAAGGAAATATCTTCGTTTCAAAACTAGACAGAATCATTCCCACAAACTGCGTTGTGATGTGTTCGTTCATCTCACAGAGTTTAACCTTTCTTTTCGTAGAGCAGTTAGGAAACAGTCTGTTTGTAAATTCTGTAAGTGGATATTCTGACATGCTTGTGGCCTTCGTTGGAAACGGGATTTGCTTCATATTCTGCTAGACAGAAGAATTCTCAGTAACTTCGTTGTGTTGTGTGTTTTCAACTCACAGAGTTAAAGGATCATTTACACAGAGTAGACTTGAAACACTCTTTTTGTGGAATTGGCAGGGTGGAGATTTCAGCCGCTTTGAGGTCAATGGTAGAAAAGGAAATATCTTCGTATAAAAACTAGACAGAGTGATTCTCAGAAACTCCTTTGTGATGTCTGCGTTCAACTCACAGAGTTTAACCTTTCTTTTCATAGAGCAGTTAGGAAACACTCTGTTTGTAAAGTCTGCAAGTGGATATTCCGACCTCCTTGAGGGCTTCGTTGGAAACGGGATTTCTTCATATTATGCTAGACAGAAGAATTCCCAGTAACTTCCTTGTGTTGTGTGTGTTCAACCCACAGAGTTGAACTTTCATTTACACAGAGCAGATTTGAAACACTCTTTTTGTGGAATTTGCAAGTGGAGATTTCAAGCGCTTTGAAGCCAAAGGCAGAAAAGGAAATATCTTCGTTTCAAAACTAGACAGAATCATTCTCAGAAACTGCTCTGCGATGTGTGCATTCAACTCTCAGAGTTTAACTTTTCTTTTCATTCAGCAGTTTGGAAACACTCTGTTTGTAAAGTCTGCACGTGGATAATTTGACCACTTAGAGGCCTTCGTTGGAAACGGGTTTTTTTCATGTAAGGCTAGACAGAAGAATTCCCAGTAACTTCCTTGTGTTTTGTGCATTCAACTCACAGAGTTGAACGTTCCCTTAGACAGAGCAGATTTGAAACACTCTATTTGTGCAATTTGCAAGTGTAGATTTCAAGCGCTTTAAGGTCAATGGCAGAAAAGGAAATATCTTCGTTTCAAAACTAGACAGAATCACTCCCACAAACTGCGTTGTGATGTGTGCGTTCAAGTCAAAGAGTTTAACCTTTCTTTTCATAGAGCAGTTAGGAAACACTCTGTTTGTAAAGTCTGCAAGTGGATATTCAGACCTCCTTGAGGCCTTCGTTGGAAACGGGATTTCTTCATATTCTGCTAGACAGAATGATTCTCAGAAACTCCTTTGTGATGTGTGCGTTCAACTCACAGAGTTTAACCTTTCTTTTCATAGAGCAGTTAGGAAACACTCTGTTTGTAAAGTCTGCACGTGGATATTCAGACCTCTTTGAGGCCTTCGTTGGAAACGGGATTTCTTCATATTCTGCTAGACAGAAGAATTCCCAGTAACTTCCTTGTGTTGTGTGTGTTCAACTCACAGAGTTGAACTTTGATTTACACTGAGCAGATTTGAAACACTCTTTTTGTGGAATTTGCAAGTGGAGATTTCAAGCGCTTTGAGGCCAAAGGCAGAAAAGGAAATATCTTCGTATAAAAACTAGACAGAATCATTCTCAGAAACAGCTCTGCGATGTGTGCGTTCAACTCTCAGAGTTTAACTTTTCTTTTCATTCAGCAGTTTGGAAACACTCTGTTTGTAAAGTCTGCACGTGGATAATTTCACCACTTAGAGGTCTTCGTTGGAAACGGGATTTTTTCATGTAAGGCTAGACAGAAGAATTCCTAGTAACTTCCCTTGGGTTGTGTACATTCAACTCACAGAGTTGAACGTTCCCTTAGACAGAGCAGATTTGAAACACTCTTTTTGTGCAATTGGCAAGTGGTGATTTCAGCCGCTTTGCGGTCAATGGTATAAAAGGAAATATCTTCGTATTAAAACTAGACAGAATCATTCCCACAAACTGCGTTGTGATGTGTTCGTTCAACTCACAGAGTTTAACCTTTCTTTTCATAGAGCAGTTACGAAACAGTCTGTTTGTAAATTCTGTAAGTGGATATTCTGACATCTTGTGGCCTTCGTTGGAAACGGGATTTCTTCATATTCTGCTAGACAGAAGAATTCTCAGTAACTTCCTTGTGTTGTGTGTATTCAACTCACAGAGTTGAACTCTGGTTTACACAGAGCAGATTTGAAACACTCTTTTTGTGGAATTTGCAAGTGGAGATTTCAGCCGCTTTGAGGTCAATGGTAGAAAAGGAAATATCTTCGTATAAAAACTAGACAGAATGATTCTCAGAAACTCCTTTGTGATGTGTGCGTTCAACTCACAGAGTTTAACCTTTCTTTTCGTAGAGCAGTTAGGAAACACTCTGTTTGTAAACTCTGCAAGTGGATATACAGACCTCTTTGAGGCCTTCGTTGGAAACGGGATTTCTTCATACTATGCTAGACAGAAGAATTCCCAGTAACTTCCTTGTGTTGTGTGTGTTCAACTCACAGAATTGAACTTTCATTTACACAGAGCAGATTTGAAACACTCTTTTTGTGGAATTTGCAAGTGGAGATTTCAAGCGCTTTGAGGCCAAAGGCAGAAAAGGAAATATCTTCGTTTCAAAACTAGACAGAATCATTCTCAGAAACTGCTCTGCGATGTGTGCGTTCAACTCTCAGAGTTTAACTTTTCTTTTCTTTCAGCAGTTTGGAAACACTCTGTTTGTAAAGTCTGCACGTGGATAATTTGACCACTTAGAGGCCTTCGTTGGAAACGGGTTTTTTTCATGTAAGGCTAGACAGAGGAATTCTCAGTAACTTCCTTGTGTTGTGTGTATTCAACTCACAGAGTTGAACGATCCTTTACACAGAGCAGACTTGTAACACTCTTTTTGTGGAATTTGCAAGTGGAGATTTCAGCCGCTTTGAAGTCAAAGGTAGAAAAGGAAATATCTTCCTATAAAAACTAGACAGAATCATTCCCAGAAACTGCGTTGTGATGTGTTCGTTCAACTCACAGAGTTTAACCTTTCTGTTCATAGAGCAGTTAGGAAACACTCTGTTTGTAAAGTCTGTAAGTGGATATTCTGACATCTTGTGGCCTTCGTTGGAAACGGGATTTCTTCATATTCTGCTAGACAGAAGAATTCTCAGTAACTTCCTTGTGTTGTGTGTATTCAACTCACAGAGTTGAACGATCCTTTACACAGAGCAAACTTGAAACACTCTTTTTGTGGAATTTGCAAGTGGAGATTTCAGCCGCTTTGAGGTCAATGGTAGAAAAGGAAACTATCTTCATATAAAGACTAGACAGAATGATTCTCAGAAACTCCTTTGTGATGTGTGTGTTCACCTCACAGAGTTTAACCTTTCTTTTCATAGAGCAGTTAGTAAACACTCTGTTTATAAAGTCTGCAAGTGGATATTCAGACCCCTTTGAGGCCTTCGTTGGAAACGGTATTTCTTCATATTATGCTAGACAGAGGAATTCCCAGTAACTTCCTTGTGTTGTGTGTGTTCAACTCACAGAGTTGAACTTTCATTTACACAGAGCAGATTTGAAACACTCTTTTTGTGGAATTTGCAGGTGGAGATTTCAAGCGCTTTGAGGCCAAAGGCAGAAAAGGAAATATCTTCGTATAAAAACTAGACAGAATCATTCTCAGAAAATGCTCTGTGATGTGTGCGTTGAACTCTCAGAGTTTAACTTTTGTTTTCATTCAGCAGTTTGGAAATACTCTGTTTGTAAAGTCTGCACGTGGATATTTTGACCACTTAGAGGCCTTCTTTGGAAACGGGTTTTTTTCATGTAAGGGTAGACAGAAGAATTCCCAGTAACTTCCTTGTGTTGTGTGCATTCAACTCACAGAGTTGAACGTTCCCTTAGACAGAGCAGATTTGAAACACTCTATTTGTGCAATTTGCAAGTGTAGAATTCAAGCGCTTTAAGGTCAATGGCAGAAAAGGAAATATCTTCGTTTCAAAACTAGACAGAATCATTCCCACAAACTGCGTTGTGATGTGTTCGTTCAACTCACAGAGTTTAACCTTTCTGTTCATAGAGCAGTTAGGAAACACTCTGTTTGTAAAGTCTGTAAGTGGATATTGCTGACATACTTGTGGCCTTCGTTGGAAACGGGATTTCTTCATATTCTGCTAGACAGAGAGATTCTCAGTAACTTCCTTGTGTTGCGTGTATTCAACTCACAGAGTTCAACGATCCTTTACACAGAGCAGACTTGAAACACACTTTTTGTGGAATTTGCAAGTGGAGATTTCAGCCGCTTTGAGGTCAGTGGTAGAAAAGGAAATATCTTCGTATAAAAACTAGACAGAATGATTCTCAGAAACTCCTTTGTGATGTGTGCGTTCAACTCACAGAGTTTAACCTTTCTTTTCATAGAGCAGTGAGGAAACACTCTGTTTGTAAAGTCTGCAAGTGGATATTCAGACCTCTTTGTGGCCTTCGTTGGAAACGGGATTTCTTCATATTATGCTAGACAGAAGAATTCCCAG
This sequence comes from Homo sapiens, assembly GCF_000001405.40. NCBI lineage: Eukaryota > Metazoa > Chordata > Mammalia > Primates > Hominidae > Homo > Homo sapiens. Next base: position 25,862,357 of record NC_000019.10, read on the forward strand.
TAACTTCCTTGTGTTGTGTGTGTTCAACTCACAGAGTTGAACTTTCATTTACACAGAGCAGATTTGAAACACTCTTTTTGTGCAATTTGCAAGTGGCGATTTCAAGCGCTTTGAGGCCAAAGGCAGAAAAGGAAATATCTTCGTATAAAAACTAGACAGAATCATTCTCAGAAACTACTCTGTGATGTGTGCGTTCAACTCTCAGAGTTTAACTTTTCTTTTCATTCAGTAGTTTGGAAACACTCTGTTTGTAAATCTGCACGTGGATATTTTGACGACTTAGAGGCTTTCGTTGGAAACGGGTTTTTTTCATGTAAGGCTAGACAGAAGAATTCCCAGTAACTTCCTTGTGTTGTGTGCATTCAACTCACAGAGTTGAACGTTCCCTTAGACAGAGCAGATTTGAAACACTCTATTTGTCCAATTTGCAAGTGTAGATTTCAAGCGCTTTAAGGTCAACGGCAGAAAAGGAAATATCTTCGTTTCAAAACTAGACAGAATCATTCCCACAAACTGCGTTGTGATGTGTTCGTTCAACTCACAGAGTTTAACCTTTCTGTTCATAGAGAAGTTAGGAAACACTCTGTTTGTAAAGTCTGTAAGTGGATATTCTGACATCTTGTGGCCTTCGTTGGAAACGGGATTTCTTCATATTCTGCTAGACAGAAGAATTCTCAGTAACTTCCTTGTGTTGTGTGTATTCAACTCACAGAGTTGAACGATCCTTTACACAGAGCAGACTTGTATCACTCTTTTTGTGGAATTTGCAAGTGGAGATTTCAGCCGCTTTGAAGTCAAAGGTAGAAAAGGAAATATCTTCCTATAAAAACTAGACAGAATGATTCTCAGAAACTCCTTTGTGATGTGTGTGTTCAACTCACAGAGTTTAACCTTTCTTTTCATAGAGCAGTTAGTAAACACTCTGTTTATAAAGTCTGCAAGTGGATATTCAGACCCCTTTGAGGCCTTCGTTGGAAACGGGATTTCTCCATATTATGCTAGACAGAAGGATTCCCAGTAACTTCCTTGTGTTGTGTGTGTTCAACTCACAGAGTTGAACTTTCTTTTACAAATAGCAGATTTGAAACACTCTTTTTGTGGAATTTGCAAGTGGAGATTTCAAGCGCTTTGAGGCCAAAGGCAGAAAAGGAAATATCTTCGTATAAAAACTAGACAGAATGATTCTCAGAAACTCCTTTGTGATGTGTGCGTTCAACTCACCTTTCTTTTCATAGAGCAGTTAGGAAACACTCTGTTTGTAAAGTCTGCACGTGGATATTTGGACTTCTTTGAGGCCTTCGTTGGAAACGGGTTTTTTTCATGTAAGGCTAGACAGAATAATTCCCAGTAACTTCCTTGTGTTGGGTGCATTAAACTCACAGAGTTGAACGTTCCCTTAGACAGAGCAGATTTGAAACACTCTATTTGTGCAATTTGCAAGTGTAGATTTCAAGCGCTTTAAGGTCAATGGCAGAAAAGGAAATATCTTCGTTTCAAAACTAGACAGAATCATTCCCACAAACTGCGTTGTTATGTGTTCGTTCAACTCACAGAGTTTAACCTTTCTTTTCATAGAGCAGTTAGGAAACACTCTGTTTGTAAATTCTGTAAGTGGATATTCTGACAACTTGTGGCCTTCGTTGGAAACGGGATTTCTTCATACTATGCTAGATAGAAAGAATTCTCAGTAACTTCCTTGTGTTGTGTGTATTCAACTCACAGCAGTTGAACGATCCTTTACACAGAGCAGACTTGAAACACTCTTTTTGTGGAATTTGCAAGTGGAGATTTCAGCCGCTTTGAGGTCAATAGTCGAAAAGGAAATATCTTCGTAGAAAAACTAGACAGAATGATTCTCAGAAACTCCTTTGTGATGTGTGCGTTTAACTCACAGAATTTAACCTTTCTTTTCATAGAGCAGTTAGGAAACACTCTGTTTGTTAAAGTCTGCAAGTGGATATTCAGACCTCTTTGAGGCCTTCGTTGGAAACGGGATTTCTTCATATTCTGCTAGACAGAAGAATTCTCAGTAACTTCCTTGTGTTGTGTGTATTCAACTGACAGAGTTGAACTATCATTTAGAGAGAGCAGATTTGAAACACTGTTTTTGTGGAATTTGCAAGTGGAGATTTCAAGCGCTTTGGGGCCAAAGGCAGAAAAGGAAATATCTTCGTATAAAAACTAGACATAATCATTCTCAGAAACTGCTCTGCGATGTGTGCCTTCAACTCTCAGAGTTTAACTTTTCTTTTCATTCAGCAGTTTGGAAACACTCTGTTTGTAAAGTCTGCACGTGGATATTTTGACCACTTAGAGGCCTTCTTTGGAATCGGGTTTTTTTCCTGTAAGGCTAGACAGAAGAATTCCCAGTAACTTCCTTGTGTTGTGTACATTCAACTCACAGAGTTGAAGGTTCCCTTAGACAGAGCAGATTTGAAACACTCTTTTTGTGCAATTGGCAAGTGGAGATTTCAAGCGCTTTAAGGTCAATGGCAGAAAAGGAAATATCTTCGTTTCAAAACTAGACAGAATCATTCCCACAAACTGCGTTGTGATGCGTTTGTTCAACTCACAGAATTTAACCTTTCTTTTCATAGAGCAGTTAGGAAACAGTCTGTTTGTAAATTCTGTAAGTGGATATTCTGACATCTTGTGGCCTCGCTGGAAACGGGATTACTTCATATTCTGCTAGACAGAAGAATTCTCAATAACTTCCTTGTGTTGTGTGTATTCAACTCACAGAGTTGAACGATCCTTTACACAGAGCAGATTTGAAACACTCTTTTTGTGGAATTTGCAAGTGGAGATTTCAGCCGCTTTGAGGTCAATGGTAGAAAAGGAAATATCTTCGTATGAAAACTAGACAGAATGATTCTCATAAACTCCCTTTGTGATGTGTGCGTTCAACTCACAGAGTTTAACCTTTCTTTTCATAGAGCAGTTAGGAAACACTCTGTTTATAAAGTCTGCAAGTGGATATTCAGACCTCCTTGAGGCCTTCGTTGGAAACGGGATTTCTTCATATTCTGCTAGACAGAAGAATTCTCAGTAACTTCCTTGTGTTGTGTGTATTCAACTGACAGAGTTGAACTTTCATTTAGACAGAGCAGATTTGAAACACTCTTTTTGTGGAATTTGCAAATGGAGATTTCAAGCGCTTTGAGGCCAAAGGCAGAAAAGGAAATATCTTCGTATAAAAACTAGACAGAATGATTCTCAGAAACTGCTCTGCGATGTGTGCGTTCAACTCTCAGAGTGTAACTTTTCTTTTCATTCAGCAGTTTGGAAACACTCTGTTTATAAAGTCTGCACGTGGATATTTTGACCACTTAGAGGCCTTCGTTGGAAACGGGATTTTTTCATGTAAGGCTAGACCGAAGAATTCCCAGTAACTTCCTTGTGTTGTGTACATTCAACTCACAGAGTTGAACGTTCCCTTAGACAGAGCAGATTTGAAACACTCTTTTTGTGCAATTGGCAAGTGGAGATTTCAAGCGCTTTAAGGTCAATGGCAGAAAAGGAAATATCTTCGTTTCAAAACTAGAGAGAATGATTCTCAGAAACTTCATTGTGACGTGTGCGTTCAACTCACAGAGTTTAACCTTTCTTTTCATAGAGCAGTTAGGAAACAGTCTGTTTGTCAATTCTGTAAGTGGATATTCTGACATCTTGTGGCCTTCGTTGGAAACGGGATTTCTTCATATTCTGCTAGACAGAAGAATTCCCAGTAACTTCCTTGTGTGGTGTGTATTCAACTCACAGAGTTGAACGATGCTTTACACAGAGCAGACTTGAAACACTCTTTTTGTGGAATTTGCAAGTGGAGATTTCAGCCGCTTTGAGGTCAATGGTAGAATAGGAAATATCTTCCTATAGAAACTAGACAGAGTGATTCTCAGAAACTCCTTTGTGATGTCTGCGTTCAACTCACAGAGTTTAACCTTTCTTTTCATAGAGCAGTTAGGAAACACTCTGTTTGTAAAGTCTGCAAGTGGATATTCAGACCTCCTTGAGGCCTTCGTTGGAAATGGGATTTCTTCATATTATGCTAGACAGAAGAATTCTCAGTAACTTCCTTGTGTTGTGTGTATTCAACTCACAGAGTTGAACTTTCATTTAGAGAGAGCAGATTTGAAACACTGTTTTTGTGGAATTTGCAAGTGGAGATTTCAAGCGCTTTGCGGCCAAAGGCAGAAAACGAAATATCTTCGTATAAAAACTAGACAGAATCATTCTCAGAAACTGCTGCGTGATGTGTGCGCTCAACTCTCAGAATTTAACTTTTCTTTTCATTCAGCGGTTTGGAAACACTCTGTTTGTAAAGTCTGCACGTGGATATTTTGACCACTTAGAGGCCTTCGTTGGAAACGGGTTTTTTTCATGTAAGGCTAGACGGAAGAATTTCCCAGTAACTTCCTTGTGTTGTGTGCATTCAACTCACAGAGTTGAACGTTCCCTTAGACAGAGCAGATTTGAAACACTCTATTTGTGCAATTTGCAAGTGTAGATTTCAAGCGCTTTAAGGTCAATGGCAGAAAAGGAAATATCTTCGTTTCAAAACTAGACAGAATCATTCCCACAAACTGCGTTGTGATGTGTTCGTTCAACTCACAGAGTTTAACCTTTCTGTTCATAGAGCAGTTAGGAAACACTCTGTTTGTAAAGTCTGTAAGTGGATATTCTGACATCTTGTGGCCTTCGTTGGAAACGGGATTTCTTTATATTCTGCTAGACAGAAGAATTCTCAGTAACTTCCTTGTGTTGTGTGTATTCAACTCACAGAGTTGAACGATACTTTACAGAGAGCAGACTTGACACACTCTTTTTGTGGAATTTGCAATTGGAGATTTCAGCCGCTTTGAGGTCAATGGTAGAATAGGAAATATCTTCCTATAGAAACTAGACAGAATGATTCTCAGAAACTCCTTTGTGATGTGTGCGTTCAACTCACAGAGTTTAACCTTTCTTTTCATAGAGCAGTTGGGAAACACTCTGTTTGTAAAGTCTGCAAGTGGATATTCAGACTTCTTTGAGGCCTTCGTTGGAAGCGGGATTTCTTCATGTTCTGCTAGACAGAAGAATTCCCAGTAACTTCCTTGTGTTGTGTGTGTTCAACTCACAGAGTTGAACTTTGATTTACACAGAGCAGATTTGAAACACTCCTTTTGTGGAATTTGCAAGTGGAGATTTCAAGCGCTTTGAGGCCAAAGGCAGAAAAGGAAATATCTTCGTATAAAAACTAGACAGAATCATTCTCAGAACCTGCTGCGCGATATGTGCGTTCAACTCTCAGAGTTTAACTTTTCTTTTCATTCAGCGGTTTGGAAACACTCTGTTTGTAAAGTCTGCACGTGGATATTTTGACCACTTAGAGTCCTTCGTTGGAAACGGGTTTTTTTCATGTAAGGCTAGACAGAAGAATTCCCAGTAACTTCCTTGTGTTGTGTGCATTCAACTCACAGAGTTGAACGTTCCCTTAGACAGAGCAGATTTGAAACAGCCTATTTGTGCAATTTGCAAGTGTAGATTTCAAGCGCTTTAAGGTCAACGGCTGAAAAGGAAATATCTTCCTTTCAAAACTAGACAGAATCATTCCCACAAACTGCGTTGTGATGTGTTCGTTCAACTCACAGAGTTTAACCTTTCTGTTCATAGAGCAGTTAGGAAACACTCTGTTTGTAAAGTCTGTAAGTGGATATTTTGACATCTTGTGGCCTTCGTTGGAAACGGGATTTCTTCATATTCTGCTAGACAGAAGAATTCTCAGAAACTTCCTTGTGTTGTGTGTATTCAAGTCACAGAGTTGAACGATCCTTTACACAGAGCAGACTTGAAACACTCTTTTTGTGGAATTTGCAAGTGGAGATTTCAGCCGCTTTGAGGTCAATGTTAGAAAAGGAAATATCTTCGTATAAAGACTAGACAGAATGATTCTCAGAAAATCTTTTGTGATGTGTGCGTTCAACTCACAGAGTTTAACATTTCTTCTCATAGAGCAGTTAGGAAACACTCTGTTTGTAAAGTCTGCAAGTGGATATTCAGACTTCTTTGAGGCCTTCGTTGGAAACGGGATTTCTTCATATTATGCTAGACAGAAGAATTCTCAGTAACTTCCTTGTGTTGTGTGTATTCAACTGACAGAGTTGAACTTTCATTTAGAGAGAGCAGATTTGAAACACTGTTTTTGTGGAATTTGCAAGTGGAGATTTCAAGCGCTTTGGGGCCAAAGGCAGAAAACGAAATATCTTCGTATAAAAAGTAGACAGAATCATTCTCAGAAACTGCTCTGCGATGTGTGCGTTCAACTCTCCAGAGTTTAACTTTTCTTTTCATTCAGCAGTTTGGAAACACTCTGTTTGTAAAGTCTGCACGTGGATATTTTGACCATTTAGAGGCTTTCGTTGGAAACGGGTTTTTTTCTTGTAAGGCTAGACAGAAGAATTCCCAGTAACTTCCTTGTGTTGTGTGCATTAAACTCACATAGTTGAACGTTTCCTTAGACAGAGCTGAATTGAAACACGCTATTTGTGCAATTTGCAAGTGTAGATTTCAAGCGCTTTAAGGTCAATGGCAGAAAAGGAAATATCTTCGTTTCAAAACTAGACAGAATCATTCCCACAAACTGCGTTGTGATGTGTTCGTTCAACTCACAGAGTTTAAACTTTCTTTTCATAGAGCAGTTAGGAAACAGTCTGTTTGTCAATTCTGTAAGTGGATATTCTGACATCTTGTGGCCTTCGTTGGAAACGGGATTTCTTCATATTCTGCTAGACAGAAGAATTCTCAGTAACTTCCTTGTGTTGTGTGTATTCAACTCACAGAGTTGTACGATCCTTTACACAGAGCAGACTTGAAACACTCTTTTTGTGGAATTTGCAAGTGGAGATTTCAGCCGCTTTGAGGTCAATGGTAGAAAAGGAAATATCTTCGTATAAAGACTAGACAGAGTGATTCTCAGAAACTCCTTTGTGATGTCTGCGTTCAACTCACAGAGTTTAACCTTTCTTTTCATAGAGCAGTTAGGAAACACTCTGTTTGTAAAGTCTGCAGGTGCATATTCAGACCTCCTTGAGGCCTTAGTTGGAAACGGGATTTCTTCATATTCTGCTATACAGAAGAATTCTCAGTAACTTCCTTGTGTTGTGTGTATTCAACTCACAGAGTTGAACTTTCATTTACACAGAGCAGATTTGAAACACTCTTTTTGTGGAATTTGCAAATGGAGATTTCAAGCGCTTTGAGGCCAAAGGCAGAAAAGGAAATATCTTCGTTTCAAAAGTAGACAGAATCATTCTCAGAAACTGCTGCGTTATGTGTGCGTTCAACTCTCAGAGTTTAACTTTTCTTTTCATTCAGCGGTTTGGAAACACTCTGTTTGTAAAGTCTGTAAGTGGATATTTTGACCACTTAGAGGCCTTCGTTGGAAATGGTTTTTTGCATGTAAGGCTAGACAGAAGTATTCCCAGTAACTTCCTTGTGTTGTGTGCATTCAACTCACAGAGTTGAACGTTCCCTAGGACAGAGCAGGTTTGAAACACTCTATTTGTGCAATTTGCAAGTGTAGATTTCAAGCGCATTAAGGTCAATGGCAGAAAAGGAAATATCTTCGTTTCAAAACTAGACAGAATCATTCCCACAAACTGCGTTGTGATGTGTTCGGTCAACTCACAGAGTTTAACCTTTCTTTTCATAGAGCAGTTAGGAAACAGTCTGTTTGTCAATTCTGTAAGTGGATATTCTGACATCTTGTGGCCTTCGTTGGAAACGGGATTTCTTCATATTCTGCTAGACAGAAGAATTCTCAGTAACTTCCTTGTGTTGTGTGTATTCAACTCACAGAGTTGAACGATCCTTTACACAGAGCAGACTTGTAAAACTCTTTTTGTGGAATTTGCAAGTGGAGATTTCAGCCGCTTTGAAGTCAAAGGTAGAAAAGGAAATATCTTCCTATAAAAACTAGACAGAATGATTCTCAGAAACTCCTTTGTGATGTGTGCGTTCAACTCACAGAGTTTAACCTTTCTTTTCATAGAGCAGATAGGAAACACTCTGTTTGTAAAGTCTGCAAGTGGATATTCAGACCTCCTTGAGGCCTTCGTTGGAAACGGGATTTCTTCATATTATGCTAGACAGAAGAATTCTCAGTAACTTCCTTGTGTTGTGTGTATTCAACTGACAGAGTTGAACTTTCATTTAGAGAGAGAAGATTTGAAACACTGTTTTTGTGGAATTTGCAAGTGGAGATTTCAAGCGCTTTGGGGCCAAAGGCAGAAAAGGAAATATCTTCGTATAAAAACTAGACAGAATCATTCTCAGAAACTGCTGCGTGATGTGTGCGTTCAACTCTCAGAGTTTAGCTTTTCTTTTCATTCAGCGGTTTGGAAACACTCTGTTTGTAACGTCTGCACGTGGATATTTTGACCACTTAGAGGCCTTCGTTGGAAACGGGTTTTTTGCATGTAAGGCTAGACAGAAGAATTCCCAGTAACTTCCTTGTGTTGTGTGCATTCAACTCACAGAGTTGAACGTTCCCTTAGACAGAGCAGATTTGAAACACTCTATTTGTGCAATTTGCAAGTGTAGATTTCAAGCGCATTAAGGTCAATGGCAGAAAAGGAAATATCTTCGTTTCAAAATTAGACAGAATCATTCCCACAAACTGCGTTGTGATGTATTCGTTCAACTCACAGAGTTTAACCTTTCTGTTCATAGAGCAGTTAGGAAACACTCTGTTTGTAAAGTCTGTAAGTGGATATTCTGACATCTTGTGGCCCTTCGTTGGAAACGGGATTTCTTCATATTCTGCTAGACAGAAGAATTCTCAGTAACTTCCTTGTGTTGTGTGTATTCAACTCACAGAGTTGAAGGATCCTTTACAGAGAGCAGGCTAGAAAAACTCTTTTTGTCGAATTTGCAAGTGGAGATTTCAGCCGCTTTGAGGTCAATGGTAGAATAGGAAATATCTTCTTATAGAAACTAGACAGAATGATTCTCAGAAACTCCTTTGTGATGTGTGTGTTCAACTCACAGAGTTTAATCTTTCTTTTCATAGAGCAGTTAGTAAACACTCTGTTTATAAAGTCTGCAAGTGGATATTCAGACCCCTTTGAGGCCTTCGTTGGAAACGGGATTTCTTCATATTATGCTAGACAGAAGAAATCTCAGTAACTTCCTTGTGTTGTGTGTATTCAACTGACAGAGTTGAAGTTTCATTTAGACAGAGCAGATTTGAAACACTATTTTTGTGCAATTTGCAAGTGGAGATTTCAAGCGCTTTGGGGCCAAAGGCAGAAAAGGAAATATCTTCGTATAAAAACTAGACAGAATCATTATCAGAAACTGCTGCGTGATGTGTGCGTTCAACTCTCAGAATTTAACTTTTCTTTTCATTCAGCGGTTTGGAAACACTCTGTTTGTAAAGTCTGCACGTGGATATTTTGACCACTTAGAGGCCTTCGTTGGAAACGGGTTTTTTTCATGTAAGGCTAGACAGAAGATTTCCCAGTAACTTCCTTGTGTTGTGTACATTAAACTCACAGAGTTGAACGTTCCCTTAGACAGAGCAGATTTGAAACACTCTTTTTGTGCAATTGGCAAATGGAGATTTCAAGCGCTTTAAGGTCAATGGCAGAAAAGGAAATATCTTCGTTTCAAAACTAGACAGAATCATTCCCACAAACTGCGTTGTGATGTGCTCGTTCAACTCACAGAGTTTAACCTTTCTGTTCACAGAGCAGTTAGGAAACACTCTGTTTGTAAAGTCTGTAAGTGGATATTCTGACATCTTGTGGCCTTCGTTGGAAACGGGATTTCTTCATATTCTGCTAGACAGAAGAATTCTCAGTAACTTCCTTGTGTTCTGTGTATTCAACTCACAGAGTTGAACGATCCTTTACACAGAGCAGACTTGAAACACTCTTTTTGTGGAATTTGCAAGTGGAGATTTCAGCCGCTTTGGGGTCAATAGTAGAAAAGGAAATATCTTCGTAGAAAAACTAGACAGAATGATTCTCAGAAACTCCTTTGTGATGTGTGTGTTCAACTCACAGAGTTTAACCTTTCTTTTCATAGAGCAGTTAGTAAACACTCTGTTTATAAAGTCTGCAAGTGGATATTCAGACCCCTTTGAGGCCTTCGTTGGAAACGGGATTTATTCATATTATGCTAGACAGAAGAATTCTCAGTAACTTCCTTGTGTTGTGTGTATTCAACTGACAGAGTTGAACTTTCATTTAGAGAGAGCAGTTTTGAAACACTGTTTTTGTGGAATTTGCAAGTGGAGATTTCAAGCGCTTTGGGGCCAAAGGCAGAAAAGGAAACATCTTCGTATGAAAACTAGACAGAATCATTCTCAGAAAGTGCTCTGCGATGTGTGCGTTCAACTCTCAGAGTTTAACTTTGCTTTTCATTCAGCAGTTTGGAAACACTCTGTTTGTAAAGTCTGCACGTGGATAATTTGACCACTTAGAGGCCTTCGTTGGAAACGGGTTTTTTTCATGTAAGGCTAGACAGAAGAATTCCCAGTAACTTCCTTGTGTTGTGTACATTCAACTCACAGAGTTGAACGTTCCCTTAGACAGAGCAGATTTGAAACACTCTTTTTGTGCAATTGGCAAGTGGTGATTTCAGCCGCTTTGAGGTCAATGGTAGAAAAGGAAATATCTTCGTATAAAAACTAGACAGAATGATTCTCAGAAACTCCTTTGTGATGTGTGCGTTCAACTCACACAGTTTAACCTTTCTTTTCAGAGAGCAGTTAGGAAACACTCTGTTTGTAAAGTCTGCAAGTGGATATTCAGACCTCCTTGAGGCCTTCGTTGGAAACGGGATTTCTTCATATTATGCTAGACAGAAGAATTCTCATTAACTTCCTTGTGTTGTGTGTATTCAACTCACAGAGTTGAACGATCCTTTACACAGAGCAGACTTGTAACACTCTTTTTGTGGAATTTGCAAGTGGAGATTTCAGCCGCTTTGAAGTCAAAGGTAGAAAAGGAAATATCTTCCTATAAAAATTAGACAGAATGATTCTCAGAAACTCCTTTGTGATGTGTGTGTTCAACTCACAGAGTTTAACCTTTCTTTTCATAGAGCAGTTAGGAAACACTCTGTTTGTAAAGTCTGCAAGTGGATATTCAGACCTCTTTGAGGCCTTCATTGGAAACGGGCTTTTTTTCCTATAAGGCTAGACAGAAGAATTCCGAGTAACTTCCTTGTGTTGTGTGTGTTCAACTCACAGAGTTGAACTTTCATTTACACAGAGCAGATTTGAAACACTCTTTTTGTGGAATTTGCAAGTGGAGATTTCAAGCGCTTTGAGGCCAAAGGCAGAAAAGGAAATATCTCCGTTTCAAAACTAGACAGAGAATCATTCTCAGTAAACTGCTCTGCGATGTGTGCGTTCAACTCTCAGAGTTTAACTTTTCTTTTCATTCAGCAGTTTGGAAACACTCTGTTTGTAAAGTCTGCACGTGGATATTTTGACCACTTAGAGGCCTTCGTTGGAAACGGGTTTTTTTCCTGTAAGGCTAGACAGTAGAATTCCCAGTAACTTCCTTGTGTTGTGTACATTCAACTCACAGAGTTGAACGTTCCCTTAGACAGAGCAGATTTGAAACACTCTTTTTGTGCAATTGGCAAATGGAGATTTCAAGCGCTTTAAGGTCAATGGCAGAAAAGGAAATGTCTTCGTTTCAAAACTAGACAGAATCATTCCCACAAACTGCGTTGTGATGTGTTCGTTCAACTCACAGAGTTTAACGTTTCTTTTCATAGAGCAGTTAGGAAACAGTCTGTTTGTCAATTCTGTAAGTGGATATTCTGACATCTTGTGGCCTTCGTTGGAAACGGGATTTCTTCATATTCTGCTAGACAGAAGAATTCTCAGAATCTTCCTTGTGTTGTGTGTATTCAACTCACAGAGTTGAACGATCCTTTACACAGAGCAGACTTGAAACACTATTTTTGTGGAATTTGCAAGTGGAGATTTCAGCCGCTTTGAGGTCCATGGTAGAAAAGGAAATATCTTCGTATAAAAACTAGACAGAATGATTCTCAGAAACTCCTTTGTGATGTGTGCATTCAACTTACAGAGTTTAACCTTTCTTTTCATAGAGCAGTTAGGAAACACTCTGTTTGTAAAGTCTGCAAGTGGATACTCAGACCTCTTTGAGGCCTTCGTTGGAAACGGGATTTCTTAATATTATGCTAGACAGAAGAATTCCCAGTAACTTCCTTGTGTTGTGTGTGTTCAACTCACAGAGTTGAACTTTCATTTACACAAAGCAGATTTGAAACACTCTTTTTGTGGAATTTGCAAGTGGAGATTTCAAGCGCTTTGAGGCCAAAGGCAGAAAAGGAAATATCTTCGTTTCAAAACTAGACAGAATGATTCTCAGAAACTGCTCTGCGATGTGTGCGTTCAACTCTCAGAGTTTAACTTTTCTTTTCATTCAGCAGTTTGGAAACACTCTGTTTGTAAAGTCTGCACGTGGATATTTTGACCATTTAGAGGCCTTCGTTGGAAACGGGTTTTTTTCTTGTAAGGCTAGACAGAAGAATTCCCAGTAACTTCCTTGTGTTGTGTACATTCAACTCACAGAGTTGAACGTTCCCTTAGACAGAGCAGATTTGAAACACTCTTTTTGTGCAATTGGCAAGTGGTGATTTCAGCTGCTTTGAGGTCAATGGCAGAAAAGGGAATATCTTCGTATAAAAACTAGACAGAACGATTCTCAGAATCTTCCTTGTGATGTGTGCGTTCAACTCACAGAGTTTAACCTTTCTTTTCATAGAGCAGTTAGGAAACACTCTGTTTGTAAACTCTGCAAGTGGATATTCAGACCTCATTGAGGCCTTCTTTGGAAACGGGATTTCTTCATACTATGCTAGACAGAAGAATTCTCAGTAACTTCCTTGTGTTGTGTGTATTCAACTCACAGAGTTGAACGATCCTTTACACAGAGCAGACTTGAAACACTCTTTTTGTGGAATTTGCAAGTCGAGATTTCAGCCGCTTTGAGGTCAATGGTAGAAAAGGAAATATCTTCGTATAAAAACTAGACAGAATGATTCTCAGAAACTGCTTTGTGATGTGTGCGTTTAACTCACAGAGTTTAACCTTTCTTTTCATAGAGCAGTTAGGAAACACTCTGTTTGTAAAGTCTACAAGTGTATATTCAGACCTCTTTGAGGCCTTCGTTGGAAACGGGTTTTTTTCATATAAGGCTAGACAGAAGAATTCTCAGTAACTTCCTTGTGTTGAGTGTATTAAACTCACAGAGTTCAATGATCCTTTACACAGAGCGGACTTGAAACACTCTTTTTCTGGAATTTGCAAGTGGAGATTTCAGCCGCGTTGAGGTCAATGGTAGAAAAGGGAAATATCTTCGTATAAAAACTAGACAGAATGATTCTCAGAAACTCCTTTATGATGTGTGCGTTCAACTCACAGAGTTTAACCTTTCTTTTCATAGAGCAGTTAGGAAACACTCTGTTTGTAAAGTCTGCAAGTGGATATTTTCACCTCTTTGAGGCCTTCGTTGGAAACGGGTTTTTTTTCATGTAAGGCTAGACAGAAGAATTCTCAGTAACTTCCCTGTGTTGTGTGTTTTCAACTGACAGAGTTGAACTTTCATTTAGAGAGAGCAGATTTGAAACACTGTTTTTGTGGAATTTGCAAGTGGAGATTTCAAGCGTTTTGGAGCCAAAGGCAGAAAAGGAAATATCTTCGTATAAAAACTAGACAGAATCATTCTCAGAAACTGCTGCGTGATGTGTGCGTTCAACTCTCAGAGTTTAACTTTTCCTTTCATTCAGCGGTTTGGAAACACTCTGTTTGTAAAGTCTGCACGTGGATATTTTGAACACTTAGAGGCCTTCGTTGGAAACGGGTTTTTTTCATGTAAGGCTAGACAGAAGAATTTCCAGTAACTTCCTTGTGTTGTGTGCATTCAACTCACAGAGTTGAACGTTCCCTTAGACAGAGCAGATTTGAAACACTCTAGTTGTGCAATTTGCAAGTGTAGATTTCAAGCGCTTTAAGGTCAATGGCAGAAAAGGAAATATCTTCGTTTCAAAACTAGACAGAATGATTCTCAGAAAATCTTTTGTGATGTGTGCGTTCAACTCACAGAGTTTAACTTTTCTTCTCATAGAGCAGTTAGGAAAGACTCTGTTTGTAAAGTCTGCAAGTGGATATTCAGACCTCTTTGAGGCCTTCGTTAGAAACGGGATTTCTTCATATTATGCTAGACAGAATAATTCTCAGTAACTTCCTTGTGTTGTGTGTATTCAACTCACAGAGTTGAACGATCCTTTACAGAGAGCAGGCTTGAAACACTCTATTTGTCGAATTTGCAAGTGGAGATTTCAGCCGCTTTGAGGTCAATGGTAGAATAGGAAATATCTTCTTATAGAAACTAGACAGAGTGATTCTCAGAAACTCCTTTGTGATGTCTGCGTTCAACTCACAGAGTTTAACCTTTCTTTTCATAGAGCATTTAGGAAACACTCTGTTTGTAAAGTCTGCAAGAGGATATTCAGACCTCCTTGAGGCCTTCGTTGGAAACGGGATTTCTTCATATTCTGCTATACAGAAGAATTCCCAGTAACTTCCTTGTGTTGTGTGTGTTCAACTCACAGAGTTTGAACTTTCATTTACACAGAGCAGATTTGAAACACTCTTTTTGTGGAATTTGCAAATGGAGATTTCAAGCGCTTTGAGGCCAAAGGCAGAAAAGGAAATATCTTCGTATAAAAACTAGACAGAATCATTCTCAGAAACTGCTCTGCGATGTGTGCGTTCAACTCTCAGAGTTTAACTTTTCTTTTCATTCAGCAGTTTGGAAACCCTCTGTTTGTAAAGTCTGCACGTGGATAATTTGACCACTTAGAGGCCTTCGTTGGAAACGGGTTTTTTTCATGTAAGGCTAGACAGAAGAATTCCCAGTAACTTCCTTGTGTTGTGTACATTCAACTCACAGAGTTGAACGTTCCCTTAGACAGAGCAGATTTGAAACACTCTTTTTGTGCAATTGGCAAGTGGAGATTTCAAGCGCTTTGAGGTCAATGGCAGAAAAGGAAATATCTTCGTTTCAAAACTAGACAGAATCATTCCCACAAACTGCGTTGTAATGTGTGCGTTCAACTCACAGAGTTTAACCTTTCTTTTCATAGAGCAGTTAGGAAACACTCTGTTTGTAAAGTCTGCAAGTGGATATTCAGACCTCTTTGAGGCCTTCGTTGGAAACGGGATTTCTTCATATTCTGCTAGACAGAAGAATTCTCAGTAACTTCCTTGTGTTGTGTGTATTCAACTCACAGAGTTGAACGATCCTTTACACAGAACAGACTTGAAACACTCTTTTTGTGGAATTTGCAAGTGCAGATTTCAGCCGCTTTGAGGTCAATGGTAGAATAGGAAATATCTTCCTATAGAAACTAGACAGAATGATTCTCAGAAACTCCTTTGTGATGTGTGCGTTCAAGTCGCAGAGTTTAACCTTTCTTTTCTTGGAGCAGTTAGGAAACACTCTGTTTGTAAAGTCTGCACGTGGATATTCAGACCTCTTTGAGGCCTTCGTTGGAAACGGGATTTCTTCATATTCTGCTAGACAGAAGAATTCCCAGTAACTTCCTTGTGTTGTGTGTGTTCAACTCACAGAGTTGAACTTTCATTTTCACAGAGCAGATTTGAAACACTCTTTTTGTGGAATTTGCAAGTGGAGATTTCAAGCGCTTTGAGGCCAAAGGCAGAAAAGGAAATATCTTCGTTTCAAAACTAGACAGAATCATTCTCAGAAACTGCTCTGCGATGTGTGCGTTCAACTCTCAGAGTTTAACTTTTCTTTTCATTCAGAAGTTTGGAAACACTCTGTTTGTAAAGTCTGCACGTGGATATTTTGACCACTTAGAGGCCTTCGTTGGAAACGGGTTTTTTTCCTGTAAGGCTAGACAGAAGAATTCCCAGTAACTTCCTTGTGTTGTGTACATTCAAATCACAGAGTTGAACGTTCCCTTAGACAGAGCAGACTTGTAACACTCTTTTTGTGGAATTTTCAAGTGGAGATTTCAGCCACTTTGAAGTCAAAGGTAGAAAAGGAAATAACTTCCTATAAAAACTAGACAGAATCATTCCCACAAACTGCGCTGTGATGTGTTCGTTCAACTCACAGAGTTTAACCTTTCTGTTCATAGAGCAGTTAGGAAACACTCTGTTTGTAAAGTCTGTAAGTGGATATTCTGACATCTTGTGGCCTTCGTTGGAAACGGGATTTCTTCATATTATGCTAGACAGAAGAATTCTCAGTAACTTCCTTGTGTTGTGTGTATTCAACTCACAGAGTTGACCGATCCTTTACACAGAGCAGACTTGTAACACTCTTTTTGTGGAATTTGCAAGTGGAGATTTCAGCCGCTTTGAAGTCAAAGGTAGAAAAGGGAATATCTTCATATAAAAACTAGACAGAATGATTCTCAGAAACTCCTTTGTGATGTGTGCGTTCAAGTCACAGAGTTTAACCTTTCTTTTCATAGAGCAGTTAGGAAACACTCTGTTTGTAAAGTCTGCAACTGGAGATTCAGCCCTCTTTGAGGCCTTCGTTGGAAACGGGATTTCTTCATATTCTGCTAGACAGAAGAATTCCCAGTAACTTCCTTGTGTTGTGTGTGTTCAACTCACAGAGTTAAACTTTCATTTACACAGAGCAGATTTGAAACACTCTTTTTGTGGAATTTGCAAGTGGAGATGTCAAGCGCTTTGAGGCCAAAGGCAGAAAAGGAAATATCTTCGTTTCAAAACTAGACAGAATCATTCTCAGAAACTGCTCTGCGATGTGTGCGTTCAACTCTCAGAGTTTAACTTTTCTTTTCATTCAGCAGTTTGGAAACACTCTGTTTGTAAAGTCTGCACGTGGATATTTTGACCACTTAGAGGCCTTCGTTGGAAACGTGTTTTTTTCCTGTAAGCCTAGACAGAAGAATTCCCAGTAAATTCCTAGTGTTGTGTGCATTCAACTCACAGAGATGAACGTTCCCTTAGACAGAGCAGATTTGAAACACTCTGTGCAATTTGCAAGTGTAGATTTCAAGCGCTTTAATGTCAATGGCAGAAAAGGAAATATCTTCGCTTCAAAACTAGACAGAATCATTCCAACAAACTGCGTTGTGATGTGCTCTTTCAACTCATAGAGTTTAACCTTTCTGTTCATAGAGCAGTTAGGAAACACTCTGTTTCTAAAGTCTGTAAGTGGATATTCTGACATCTTGTGGCCTTCGTTGGAAACGGGATTTCTTCATATTCTGCTACACAGAAGAATTCTCAGTAACTTCCTTGTGTTGTGTGTATTCAACTCACAGAGTTGAACGATCCTTTACAGAGAGCATACTTGAAACACTCTTTTTGTGGAATTTGCAAGTGGAGATTTCAGCCGCTTTGAGGTCAATGGTAGAATAGGAAATATCTTCCTATAGAAACAAGACAGAATGATTCTCTGAAACTCCTTTGTGATGTGTGCGTTCAACTCACAGAGTTTAACCTTTCTTTTCATAGAGCAGTTAGGAAACACTCTGTTTGTAAAGTCTGCAAGTGGATATTCAGACCTCCTTGAGGCCTTCGTTGGAAACGGGATTTCTTCATATTATGCTAGACAGAAGAATTCTCAGTAACTTCCCTTGTGTTGTGTGTATTCAACTGACAGAGTTGAACTTTCATTTAGAGAGAGCAGATTTGAAACACTGTTTTTGTGGAATTTGCAAGTGGAGATTTCAAGCGCTTTGGGGCCAAAGGCAGAAAAGGAAATATCTTCGTATAAAAACTAGACAGAATCATTCTCAGAAACTGCTGCGTGATGTGTGCGTTCAACTCTCAGAGTTTAACTTTTCTTTTCATTCAGCGGTTTGGAAACACTCTGTTTGTAAAGTCTGCACGTGGAAATTTTGACCACTTAGAGGCCTTCATGGAAACGGGTTTTTTTCATGTAAGGCTAGACAGAAGAATTCCCAGTAACTTCCTTGTGTTGTGTGCATTCAACTCACAGAGTTGAACGTTCCTTTAGACAGAGCAGATTTGAAACACTCTATTTGTGCAATTTGCAAGTGTAGTTTTCAAGCTCTTTAAGGTCAACGGCAGAAAAGGAAATATCTTGGTTTCAAAACTAGACAGAATCATTCCCACAAACTGCGTTGTCATGTGTTCGTTCAACTCACAGAGTTTAACCTTTCTTTTCATAGAGCAGTTAGGAAACAGTCTGTTTGCAAATTCTGTAAGTGGATATTCTGACATCTTGTGGCCTTCGTTGGAAACGGCATTTCTTCATATTCTGCTAGACAGAAGAATTCTCAGAATCTTGCTTGTGTTGTGTGTATTCAACTCACAGAGTTGAACGATCCTTTACACAGAGCAGACTTGAAACACTCTTTTTGTGGAATTTGCAAGTGGAGATTTCAGCCGCTTTGAGGTCCATGGTAGAAAAGGAAATATCTTCGTCATAAAAACTAGACAGAATGATTCTCAGAAACTTCTTTCTGATGTGTGCGTTCAACTCACAGAGTTTAACCTTTCTTTTCATAGAGCAGTTAGGAAACACTCTGTTTGTAAAGTCTGCAAGTGGATATTCAGACCTCTTTGAGGCCTTCGTTGGAAACGGGATTTCTTCATACTGTGCTAGACAGAAGAATTCCCAGTAACTTGCCTTGTGTTGTGTGTGTTCAACTCACAGAGTTGAACTTTCATTTACACAGAGCAGATTTGAAACACTCTTTTTGTGGAATTTGCAAATGGAGATTTCAAGCGCTTTGAGGCCAAAGACAGAAAAGGAAATATCTTCGTATAAAAACTAGACAGAATCATTCTCAGAAACTGCTCTGTGATGTGTGCGTTCAACTCTCAGAGTTTAACTTTTCTTTTCATTCAGCAGTTTGGAAACACTCTGTTTGTAAAGTCTGCACGTGCATAATTTGACCACTTAGAGGTCTTCGATGGAAACGGGTTTTTTTCATGTAAGGCTAGACAGAAGAATTCCCAGTAACTTCCTTGTGTTGTGTGCATTCAACTCACAGAGTTGAACGTTCCCTTAGACAGAGCAGATTTGAAACACTCTATTTGTGCAATTTGCAAGTGTAGATTTCAAGCGCTTTAAGGTCAATGGCAGAAAAGGAGATATCTTCGTTTCAAAACTAGACAGAATCATTCCCACAAACTGCGTTGTGATGTGTTCGTTCAACTCACAGAGTTTAACCTTTCTCTTCATAGAGCAGTTAGGAAACACTCTGTTTGTGAAGTCTGTAAGTGGATATTCTGACATCTTGTGGCCTTCGTTGGAAACGGGATTTCTTCATATTCTGCTAGACTGAAGAATTCTCAGTAACTTCCTTGTGTTGTGTGTATTGAACTCACAGTGTTGAACGATCCTTTACACAGAGCAGACTTGAAACACTCTTTTTGTGGAATTTGCAAGTGGAGATTTCAGCCGCTTTGAGGTCAACAGTAGAAAAGGAAATATCTTCGTAGAAAAACTAGACAGAATGATTCTCAGAAACTCCTTTGTGATGTGTGCGTTCAACTCACAGAGTTTAACCTTTCTGTTCATAGAGCAGTTAGGAAACACTCTGTTTGTAAAGTCTGCAAGAGGATATTCAGACCTCCTTGAGGCCTTCGTTGGAAACGGGATTTCTTCATATTCTGCTAGACAGAAGAATTCTCAGTAACTTCCTTGTGTTGTGTGTATTCAACTGACAGAGTTGAACTTTCATTTAGAGAGAGCAGATTTATAACACTGTTTTTGTGGAATTTGCAAGTGGAGATTTCAAGCGCTTTGGGGCCAAAGGCAGAAAAGGAAATATCTTCGTATAAAAACTAGACAGAATCATTCTCAGAAACTGATGCGTGATGTGTGCGTTCAACTCTCAGAGTTTAACTTTTCTTTTCATTCAGCGGTTTGGAAACACTCTGTTTGTAAAGTCTGCACGTGGATATTTTGACCACTTAGAGGCCTTCGTTGGAAACGGGTTTTTTTCATGTAAGGCTAGACAGAAGAATTCCCAGTAACTTCCTTGTGTTGTGTGCATTCCACTCACAGAGTTGAACGTTCCCTTAGACAGAGCAGATTTGAAACACTCTATTTGTGCAATTTGCAAGTGTAGATTTCAAGCGCTTTAAGGTCAATGGCAGAAAAGGAAATATCTTCGTTTCAAAACTAGACAGAAACATTCCCACAAACTGCGTTGTGATGTGTTCGTTCAACTCACAGAGTTTAACTTTTCTGTTCATAGAGCAGTTAGGAAACACTCTGTTTGTAAAGTCTGCAATTGGATATTCAGACCTCCTTGAGGCATTCGTTGGAAACGGGATTTCTTCATATTCTGCTAGACAGAATAATTCTCAGTAACTTCCTTGTGTTCTGTGTATTCAACTCACAGAGTTGAACGATCCTTTACAGAGAGCAGACTTTAAACACTCTTTTTGTGGAATTTGCAAGTGGAGATTTCAGCCGCTTTGAGGTCAATGGTAGAAAAGGAAATATCTTCGTATAAAGACTAGACAGAATGATTCTCAGAAACTCCTTTGAGATGTGTGCGTTCAACTCACAGAGTTTAACCTTTCTTTTCATAGAGCAGTTAGGAAACACTCTGTTTGTAAAGTCTGCAAGTGGATATTCAGACCTCTTTGAGGCCTTCGTTGGAAACGGGTTTTTTTCATATAAGGCTAGACAGAAGAATTCTCAGTAACTTCCTTGTGTTGTGTGTATTCAACTCACAGAGTTGAATGATCCTTTACACAGAGCAGACTTGAAACACTCTTTTTGTGGAATTTGCAAGTGGAGATTTCAGCCGCTTTGAGGTCAATGGTAGAAAAGTAAATATCTTCCTATAAAGACTAGACAGAATCATTCTCAGAAACTGCTCTGCGATGTGTGCGTTCAACTCTCAGAGTTTAACTTTTCTTTTCATTCAGCAGTTTGGAAACACTCTGTTTGTAAAGTCTGCACGTGGATAACTTGACCACTTAGAGGCCTTCGTTGGAAACGGGTTTTTTTCCTGTAAGGCTAGACAGAAGAATTCCCAGTAACTTACTTGTGTTGTGTACATTCAACTCACAGAGTTGAACGTTCCCTTAGACAGAGCAGATTTGAAACACTCTTTTTGTGCAATTGGCAAGTGGTGATTTCAGCTGCTTTGAGGTCAATGGTAGAAAAGGGAATATCTTCGTATAAAAACTAGACAGAATCATTCCCACAAACTGCGTTGTGATGTGTTCGTTCAACTCACAGAGTTTAACCTTTCTTTTCATAGAGCAGTTAGGAAACAGTCTGTTTGTAAATTCTGTAAATGGATATTCTGACATCTTGTGGCCTTCGTTGGAAACTGGATTTCTTCATACTATGCTAGACAGAAGAATTCTCAGTAACTTCCTTGTTTTGTGTGTATTCAACTCACAGAGTTGAACGATCCTTTACACAGAGCAGACTTGAATCACTCTTTTTGTGGAATTTGCAAGTGGAGATTTCAGCCGCGTTGAGGTCAATGGTAGAAAAGGAAATATCTTCGTATAAAAACTAGACAGAATGATTCTCAGAAACTCCTTTGTGATGTGTGCGTTCAACTCACAGAGTTTAACCTTTCTTTTCATAGAGCAGTTAGGAAACACTCTGTTTGTAAAGTCTGCAAGTGGATATTCAGACCTACTTTGAGGCCTTCGTTGGAAACGGGTTTTTTTCATATAAGGCTAGACAGAAGAATTCTCAGTAACTTCCTTGTGTTGTGTGTATTCAACTGACAGAGTTGAACTTTCATTTAGAGAGAGCAGATTTGAAACACTGTTTTTGTGGAATTTGCATGTGGAGATTTCAAGCGCTTTGGGGCCAAAGGCAGAAAAGGAAATATCTTCGTATAAAAACTAGACAGAATCATTCTCAGAAACTGCTCTGCGATGTGTGCGTTCAACTCTCAGAGTTTAACTTTTCTTTTCATTCAGCAGTTTGGAAACACTCTGTTTGTAAAGTCTGCACGTGGATAACTTGACCACTTAGAGGCCTTCGTTGGAAAAGGGTTTTTATCCTGTAAGGGTAGACAGAAGAATTCCCAGTAACTTCCTTGTGTTGTGTGCATTCAACTCACAGATTTGAACGTTCCCTTAGACAGAGCAGATTTGAAACACTCTATTTGTGCAATTGGCAAGTGTAGATTTCAAGCGCTTTAAGGTCAATGGCAGAAAAGGAAATATCTTCGTTTCAAAACTAGACAGAATCATTCCCACAAAATGCGTTGTGATGTGTTCGTTCAACTCACAGAGTTTAAGCTTTCTGTTCATAGAGCAGTTAGGAAACACTCTGTTTGTAAAGTCTGTAAGTGGATATTCTGATATCTTGTGGCCTTCGTTGGAAACGGGATTTCTTCATATTATGCTAGACAGAAGAATTCCCAGTAACTTCCTTGTGTTGTGTGCATTCAACTCACAGAGTTGAACGTTCCCTTAGACAGAGCAGATTTGAAACACTCTATTTGTGCAATTTGCAAGTGTAGATTTCAAGCGCTTTATGGTCAACGGCAGAAAAGTAAATATCTTCGTATAAAGACTAGACAGAATGATTCTCAGAAACTCCTTTGTGATGTGTGCGTTCAACTCACAGAGTTTAACCTTTCTTTTCATAGAGCAGTTAGGAAACACTCTGTTTGTAAAGTCTGCAAGTGGATATTCAGACCTCCTTGAGGCCTTCGTTGGAAGCGGGATTTCTTCATATTCTGCTAGACAGAAGAATTCTCAGTAACTTCCTTGTGTTGTGTGTATTCAACTGACAGAGTTGAACTTTCATTTCGAGAGAGCAGATTTGAAACACTGTTTTTGTGGAATTTGCAAGTGGAGATTTCAAGCGCTTTGGGGCTAAAGGCAGAAAAGGAAATATCTTCGTATAAAAACTAGACAGAATAATTCTCAGAAACTGCTGCGTGATGTGTGCGTTCAACTCTCAGAGTTTAACTTTTCTTTTCATTCAGCGGTTTGGAAACACTCTGTTTGTAAAGTCTGCACGTGGATATATTGACCACTTAGAGGCCTTCGTTGGAAACGGGTTTTTGCATGTAAGGCTAGACAGAAGAATTCCCAGTAACTTCCTTGTGTTGTGTGCATTCAACTCACAGAGTTGAACGTTCCCTTAGACAGAGCAGATTTCAAACACTCTATTTGTTCAATTTGCAAGTGTAGATTTCAAGCGCTTTAAGGTCAATGGCAGAAAAGGAAATATCTTCGTTTCAAAACTAGACAGAATCATTCCCACAAACTGGGTTGTGATGTGTTCGTTCAACTCACAGAGTTTAACCTTTCTTTTCATAGAGCAGTTAGGAAACAGTCTGTTTGTCAATTCTGTAAGTGGATATTCTGACATCTTGTGGCCTTCGTTGGAAACGGGATTTCTTCATATTCTCCTAGACAGAAGAATTCTCAGTAACTTCCTTGTGTTGTGTGTATTCAACTCACAGAGTTGAACGATCCTTTACACAGAGCAGACTTGAAACACTCTTTTTGTGGAATTTGCAAGTGGAGATTTCAGCCGCTTTGAGTTCAATGGTAGAATAGGAAATATCTTCCTATGGAAACTAGACAGAATGATTCTCAGAAACTCCTTTGTGATGTGTGCGTTCAACTCACAAGAGTTTAACCTTTCTGTTAATAGAGCAGTTAGGAAACACTCTGTTTGTAAAGTCTGCAAGTGGATATTCAGACCTCCTTGAGGCCTTCTTTGGAAACGGGATTTCTTCATATTCTGCTAGACAGAAGAATTCTCAGAAACTTCCTTGTGTTGTGTGTATTCAACTCACAGAGTTGAACGATCCTTTACACAGAGCAGACTTGAAACACTCTTTTTGTGGAATTTGCAAGTGGAGATTTCAGCCGCTTTGAGGTCCATGGTAGAATAGGAAATATCTTCCTATAGAAACTAGACAGAATCATTCTCAGAAACTGCTCTGCGATGTGTGCGTTCAACTCTCAGACTTTAACTTTTCTTTTCATTCAGCAGTTTGGAAACACTCTGTTTGTAAAGTCTGCACGTGCATAATTTGACCACTTAGAGGCCTTCGTTGGAAACGGGTTTTTTTCATGTAAGGCTAGACAGAAGAATTCCCAGTAACTTCCTTGTGTTGTGTGCATTCAACTCACAGAGTTGAACGTTCCCTTAGACAGAGCAGATTTGAAATACTCTATTTGTGCAATTTGCAAGTGTAGTTTTCAAGCTCTTTAAGGTCAACGGCAGAAAAGGAAATATCTTGGTTTCAAAACTAGACAGAATCATTCCCAGAAACTGCGTTGTGATGTGTTCGTTCAACTCACAGAGTTTAACCTTTCTGTTCATAGAGCAGTTAGGAAACACTCTGTTTGTAAAGTCTGTAAGTGGATATTCTGACGTACTTGTGGCCT